>NC_000010.11:33661388-33965671 GCF_000001405.40 Homo sapiens | reverse complement strand
TTTCTTGGCATGGAGTAGTTATCCTTGAGTTCTCTTTTGCAGCAGATGAGCAGGTTCTAACTTCTTTTGAAGTTCAGGAAAGGTCCAGGCATTTACAGGAGGCCAAGGGGCAAGGAGGCGATACGGTGAGAATTGAGGTACAAATGTAATTCTTGCCTCTGTGAGAATGCTCAGTATTTGGCTCTAGTTTATTGCATCTCAGAGCTTTGTGTCTACATTCATGTGCAGCTGGGGCAGGGCGCCATCTTTACAGGATGCTCATTTGCAGCAATATTGCCAAGCCACTGGTCGTTTAAATGAGTGTCCTGGTTATCATCAGATAGTGTTTCATTTATTATATCTATTACATGGTCCACATTAGGAAGCACTACTGTAATGAAACAAACACTGATGCTCTGTTCAAGTCAAGTTAAAGGCAAAGCTTTTTGTTGTTATTTTAGTAAAACTCTGCTTTTTTCTTTCTTTCTTTCTTTTTTTTTTTAGATGTAATCTTGCTCTGTAGCCTAGACTGTAGTGCAGTGGTGTAATCTCTGCTCACGGCAACCTCCTCCTCCCAAGTTTAAGTGATTCCCCTGCCTCAGCCTCCTGAGTAGCTGGGACTTTGGATGTGTGCCACCATGCTCAACTAATTTTTTGTATTTCTAGTAAAGACAGGGTTTCACCATGTTGTCAAGGCTACTCTCGAACCCCTGACCTCAGGTGCTCCGCCTGCCTTGGCCTCCCCAAGTGTTGGGATTACAGGCGTGAGCCACCGCATCTGGTCAAACTCTGCTTTTAAACGGTACTAACTATTGAACAACTGACATTCAATGAAATAAATATTTTATTGTTCTGTGGTTGAAATGTACTCTTTTCTTATGCTAAAGTGAAATCTTGTTGTAAGGATTTCTTTGGATTCTAAATGATGGGGCAGGAACGGTTTGGGCTTTGAAGCCTGTTAGACCTCAGTCTTACTCTTTTTTTCCAGTTCTCAGGAGCTGTGGGGTCTTGGATAAGTGGAGTCAACTTCATATCTCAGCTTCTTCCTATGTAAAGTAAGTTTTCATCATTTCATTTCTTCTCCCATGAGCTGGGGCTGTGCTCTACCAATCTGTGTTTCAGGTGAGAAGTATCCCAGGGCTTCTCCCCATCCGCAGCTTCATGAGGTGCCTTGGCTCTGCCCAGGTAATCACACCAAGCACTGCAACTCCATGCCCCAGGCTCCAGGCAGCCACTCAGGTGGTATATCATCCTTCTAGCATCCTCCTAAAAATTAACTGGATACTGATTATGGCTGGGAGGTGGGTTAATCTTTATTTGAACAGGTAAAATGTAGTCTTGATAGCTCAGGGATTAAAAAACACATATATATGGGCTCTCTATAGATGTTAAATAAACATCTGATCACGATCATTTTGTGTTTTCTTTTACCCTTGGGTAAAGGATAAAGAACATTCAAGTTTCTTCAAATGTGTCCAAAATCAGAAGAGGGGAGGAAATGGGAAAGGGGTCCTTGGAGGAAATGTTCTGAGTTGGTTTTGGTGGAAAAGCCAACACATGGAAGCCCAGAGCACCATGTGGCTCCAATCAGAGCATGGTGGCTGTGAGCACGCTGTTTTTGAAGCCGAATTGCCTTTCTGTGTGTGTGGGTACGTTTGGCATGATACTGTTCCAAAGCATTTGTTTAAGACATTTCAAACATAGTAATTTAATGAGTGGCAATAAAAATATCTTTATTCAAGCAATGGCTCTGTTTATTGGTATGGCTTATATATGTATTCATAGTTTGTGGTTTTCTGGATGTGAAACAATTTGAGTTCTGAGTATTATTGCGGAACCATGAGCCATGAAGAAGTCACTGTGAAAAATAGATTGGGGCTGCTGTTATAACACTGCTACAGATGGTTAATGCCTTAGGAGGCACACTCCTCTGTGCATTAAGGTTATATTTTTGAGGCACTGGGGTGCCAGTCCACAACGCACCTGTAGGCTTCCTCATCAGGCAAAGGTGGAGGTGCGTATTTTGCTCCTAACACATCCATTCAACTTATGCTACACTTGGTAATGTGAACTGATTGCTTTGATGTGTGACTTAGAAAAAGTTAAATGAAGGAGGATAATGTATTTTTATTTAATCTTGAAAGAGTAGGTTGAATTTGGGAGGAATTGTCATATACAGACAAGGAGGTCACTGGAACTAGGCCATCACTAAGAAGAATAATATCAGTTATTCCCACCTATGCAATCTTCACTAGGCCCTAGCCTTATATCAGGTGGCCAGACAGTGCCAGAGGCATAGATCAGTGGGTAAAATGGAGGAAAAATCACTTAATCCGTAGTGTTCTTTTTTTTTTTTTTTCAGAGGTAGGATCTTGCTCTGTCTCCTAGACTGGAGAGCAATGGCGTGATCTCAGCTCACTGCAGCCTTAAAATCCTGGGCTGAAGTGATCCCCCCACATCAGAGGACAGAAAAGTGGGGGTAAAGATGGGTATACCTCGTTTTACTGCACTTTGTTTATTTCACCAATTGAAAGTTTGTGGCCACCCTGTCTGGAGCACATCTGTCAATGCCATTTTTTCCAATAACATGTGCTCACTTCGTGTCTCCGGGTCACAGTTTGGTAATTCTTTCAAACATTTTCATTATCATTATATCTGCTATGGTGATCTGTGATCAGTGAGCTTAGATGTTACTATTATAATTGTTTTGGGGTGCCAGTCAACTTGATTGATAAATTGTGCATGTGTTCTTTTTTTTCTGAGACAGAGTCTCATTCTGTCACCCAGGCTGGAGTGCAGCAGCGCGATCTCAGCTCACTGGAGCCTCTGCCTCCCAGGGTCAAGCGATTATCCTGCCTCAGCCTCCTGAGTAGCTGGGATTATAGGCACAAGCACCACGCCTGGCTAATCTTTGTAGTTTTAGTAGAGATGGGGTTCCACCATGTTGGCCAGGCTGGTCTGGAATTTCTGACCTCAAGTGATCTGTCCGCCTTGGCCTCCAAAGTGCTGGGATTACAGGCTTGAGCCACCGTACCCCACTGAATTTTGCATGTGTTCTGACTGCTCCACTGACAGGCCAATCTTCTTTCTCTCTCCCTCTTTTCTCTTTGGAGAATAGGTCTCTCTATTCCCAGGGACACAACAGTGTTGAAATTAGGCCAATTAATAACCCTACAATGGCCCCCAATGTTCGAGTGAAAGGAAGAGTCACACATCCCTTGCTTAAAATCAAAAGCTGGAAATGATTAAGCTAGTGAGGAAGGCATTTGGAAAGGAAAGACAGGACAACACTAGGCCTAGCAGTTAGTCAAGTTGTGAAGGCAAAAGAAAAGTTCCTTGAAGGAAATCAAAAGTGCTACTTCAGGCCAGGCACGGTGGCTCACGCCTGTAATCCCAGGACTTTGGGAGGCCGAGGCAGGTGGATCATGAGATCAGGAGATCAAGACCATCCTGGCTAACATGGTGAAACCCCGTCTCTACCAAAAATACAAAAAACTAGCCAGGCGTGGTGGTGGGTGCCTATAGTCCCAGCTACTCAGGAGGCTAAGGCAGGAGAATGGCGTGAACCCGGGAGGCAGAGCTTGCAGTGAGCTTGGAGTGCAAGCCACTGCACTCCAGCCTGGGAGACAGAGCTAGACTCCATCTCAAAAAAAAAAAAAAAAAAAAAGTGCTACTCCAGTGAACAGTGATAAGAAAGTGAAACAGCCTTTTTGCCTATATCAAATCAGCCACAGCACATTTCCTTAAGCTGAAGCCTAATCCGGAGTAACCTCCTAGCTCTCTTCAATGTTATGAAGGCTGAGAGAGGTGAGGAAGCTGCAGAAGGAAAACTGGAAGCTAGCAGAAGTTGGATCATGATGTTTAAGGAAAGAAGCCATCTTTCTTTAACATAAAAGTGCAAAGTGAAGCAGCAAGTGCTGATGGAGAAACTGCAGCAAGTTACCCAGATCTAGCTAAGATCACTGATGAAGGTGGGTACACGGAGCAGAAGATTTTCAACGTAGATGAAACAGCTTTCTGTTGGAAGAAAATGCCATCCAGGCATTTTCTAGATAGAAATGCTAGAGAGGTCAATGCCTGGCTTCAAAGCTTCAAAGGACAGGCTGACTCTCTTGTTAGGGGTTAATGCAGCTGATGACTTTAAGTTGAAGCCAATGCTCATTTACTATTTCAAAAATCTTAGGGTCCTTAAGAATTATGCTAAATCGACTTTGCCTGTGCTCTAGAAATGGAATAACAAAGTCTGGATGAAAGCACATCTGTTTACAGCATGGCTTGCTGAACATTTTAAGCCCACTGTTGATACAAAAAGATTCCTATTTCTCAGAAAAAAAAAAAAGATTCCTTTCAAAATATCCCTGCTTATAGACAGTACACCTGGTCACCCAAGAGCTCTGATGAAGAGGAAGATTAATGTTATTTTCATGCCTGTCAACACAACATGCATTCTGCAGCCCATGGATCAAGGAAATTTCAACATTCAAGTCTTGCTATTTAAGAAACACATTTAGGCCGGGGCAGTGGCTCACGCCTGTAATCTCAGCACTTTGGGAGGCCGAGGCGGGCGGATCACGAGGTCAGGAGATCCAGACCATCCTGGCTAACATGGTGAAACCCCATCTCTACTAAAAATACGAAAAATTAGCTGGGCATGATGGCGGGCGCCTGTAGTCCCAGCTACTTGGGAGGCTGAGGCAGGAGAATGGCGTGAACCCGGGAGACGGAGTTTACAGTGAGCGGACATCGCGCCACTGCACTCCAGCCTGGGCGACAGACCGAGACTCCGTCTCAAAAAAAAAAAAAAAAAGAAACACATTTTGTGAGGCTATAGTTACCATAGGGAGTGATTCCTCTGATGGATTTAGGCAAAGTAAACTGAAAACTTTCTGGAAACAATTCACCATTCTAGATGCCATTAAGAACATTTGTAATTCATGGGAGGAAGTCAAAATACCCACACTAACAGGAGTTTGGAAGAAGTTGATCCCAGCCCTCACGGATGACTTCGAGGAGTTCAATACTTCAGTGGAGGAAGTACCTGCAGATGTGGTAGAAATAGCAAGAGAACTGGAAGTAGAAGCGGAGCCTGAAGATGGGACTGAATTGCCTCCATCTCATGAGAAAACTTGAATGGATGAGGAGTTGCTTCTTATGGATGAGTAAAGAAATTGCTTTCTTGATGTAGAAACTACTTCTGGTGAAAATGCTGTGTACATTGTTGAAATGACAACAAAAGATTTAGAATATTCCATAAAGTTAGCAGCAGGGTTTGAGAGGACTGACTGCAATTGTGAAAGCAGTTCTACTGTGGGTGAAATGCTGTCAAACAGCATCGCCTACTATAGAGAAATCTTTTGTGAAAGGAAGAGCCAGTGGATGCAGCCAACTTCATTATTGTCTTATTTTAAGAAACTGCCACAGCCACTCCAGCCTTCAGCAACCGCCACCCTGATCAGTCAGCAGCCATCAACATAGAGGCTCAGATGATCATTGGCATACTTTTAGCAATAAAATTTTTAAAATTACTGTATATACATTGTTTATTAGACATAATGCTATTGCACACTTAATAGACTATAGTATAATGGAAACGTAACTTTTAAATGCACTGGGAAACCAAAAAATGTGTGTAACTTGTGTTATTGCTGTATTCACTTTATCATGGTGATCTGGAACTGAACCTACAATAGCTCTGTGGTATACTTGTATGTTCAAATAAATTTGGCAAATGGTGTATACTAGATTCTTTTTTGGATATTCAGGACAAACAGATGAGGATTGTGAGACAGCAAATGCATTGAAGAAATCGGTTTTGCCTTGATGAAGTTGGTGTTTCCCCAACTCATTTGACCCTGGAATCCTTTGTTTGTGTAACTCTGTTAGATGGGTATAAAATGTTCTTTGAAAGCACTGCACTTTGATGTTCTACTTAAAGCCAGGAATAAGACAAGAATACTTGCTATCATGTCTAGAACTTACTGCTAATGCAGTAAGGTGGCAAAGGAAGTTGATGGATGGAGGTAGAGCCCCTGGAAAAGGGAAATTAAGTGGCCGGGCACGGTGGCTCATGCCTGTAATCCCAGCACTTTGGGAGGCCAAGATGGGCAGATCACCTGAGGTCAGGATTTTGAGACCAGCCTGGCCAACATGGTGAAACCCCGTCTCTACTAAAAATATAAAAAATTCGCCAGGCATCGTGGCACACACCTGTAGTCCCAGCTACTCGGGAGGCTGAGGCGTGAGAATTGCTTGTACCTGGGAGGCAGAGGTTGTGGTGAGCCAAAACTGTGCCATTGCACTCCAGCCTGGGCAACAGAGCAAGACCCTGTCTCAAAAAAAAAAAAAAGAGAGAGAGAGAAAGAGAGAGAAATTAAGTGATTATTTTTTGCTGAAAACCCAAAAGAATAAAATGCAAAAAATTTAGATGTGATAATGAATGTTATTATTATTACCAAAGCCAAAAGCTTTCTTTCATATCAGAGAAAGTGGCAATGGGGAAAAATACATTAAAAAATTATAATTCAACATGGTGAAATCTCATCTCTACTAAAAATACAAAAATTAGTCGGGCATAGTGGCACATGCCTGTAATCCCAGCTACTCGGGGAGCTGAGGCAGGAGAATTACTTGAACCCAGGAGGCGGAGGTTGCAGTGAGCTGGGATCATGCCACTGCACTCTAGCCTGGGCAATAGAGCAAGACTCTGTCTCAAAAGAAAAAAAAAGATTATAATTCATAACAGCAACCAGAAAACACAACTCCTAAAATTTAGTCTTACAATAAATATGTAGAGAAGACACTCAAATATTGATGGGACTGTCTAGTTGCAGGAAAACAAGCTCAGGGTTACCACTGATTCTACATTATAGTGAGTTGTATAATTACTTCATTTTATATTACAATGTAATAATAATAGAAATAAAGTGCACAATAAATGTAATGAGCTTGAGTCATTCCAAAACCATCTCCCCTACCCCATCCATGGAAAAATTATCTTTTACCAAACCGGTCCGTGGTGCCAAACAGGTTGGGGACCACTTCCCTAACTGGTTTCTTCTTTTTCAACTCCTGTCCGCAGCAGCCTCAATTTATTTAGTTTTTCTTAAACAATAATAAGGGGGAATATCTGATCTTGTAACCCCACTGCTTAAAGTCCTTTCATAGCTTCCTCTTACTGTTAAAATCAAAGCTAAATTCTCCTTACAGTTTCCAAGGTTCTAGATCACATGGCTCCCTCTGCCCTCGCCAGGCACATCGTGGGCTTCTTTTCCTGACCTGCTCCATGCCCTGGGCACTATGGCTTTAGTTTCCTGAATGCTTAGTATGTTTGCATCTCAAGACCTTTACTATTTTTCATGCTTTAATTTCTCTTCCCTTTCCTTTTGTCCTAGTTACTTCTTTCCTGTCCTTTAAGAACCAGTTCAAAGTCACATATTTCAAGGAGGACTTAAGTATATTTCCTCTTAATTTTATGGCCCCACATTGTATGAAGATACAATGTATAAAAATTGTAATAAATAACTTGTGTAATTAACTGTTTAATAACTATACATTCATTGGAATATAAGTTGTATGTATGACTAATGCCTCTCAGGTGATTTGCCTATTACAATTCCCTGCATTAGTAGGTACTCTAGTCTGGTAAAATATTGAATGGAAATATGGAAACAAACAAACAAACAGGTAAAGAGTTCCAAAAGGCTGGGCATGGTGGCTCAAGCCTGTAATCCCAGCACTTTGGGATGCCAAGGTGGGTGAATCATCTGAGGTCAGGAGTTCGAGACCAGCCTGGCCAACATGGCAAAACCCCGTCTCTACTAAAAATACAAAAATTAGCCGGCCGTGGTAGTACATGCCTGTAATCCCACCTACTTGGAAGGCAGAGGCAGGAGAATCACTTCAACTGGGCGGGGAGTGGAGGTTGCAGTGAGCTGAGATGGCGCCACTTTACTCCAGCCTGGTGAAAGAGCAAAACTCTGTCTCAAAAAAGAAAAAAAAAAAAAAGTTGCAAAAGACCTGCAGTAATGGATAAATAAACATGATAAAACCATAATGATTAAAACAATGTATTGCTTGTGCCAAAACTGAAAGAAAGAGCAATGAAACATAAACACCAGAATCAACCCCGAGTATAGATAAAAATTTGGTTTCTGATAAAAATAACATATCAAACTACTAGGTAAAGTAAAATTTATTTAATCTATGGTGTCAGGACAATTGGTTACCTCTTTGGATTAAAAATGTAGACCTCTACCTCCTGGCAAACAAAATAAATTCCAGTTAAGAGAAAATAGCATTTTCTAAATGTGTTTGAAGGAACACTAACATGTGAGCTATTAATAGGGTTAACATGAAAAAATAGTTTTATGGTGAAGTCTATGAAATTCATTTGGCATAATTACATGGAACTCTTTTTATTTTCAAAGTATAACACCAATTTGGGAAGTTTAGATTAAAAGCTCTAAACAAGCTAGAGGACAATTTCAAGAAACATTTTTATAATTCTTCTTGGGAAGATCTTTCTAAACATATGAAAGACAGAACTCCAAAAGAAAAATTGTACCATCAAGGTTCTTTGGTTATAAGCAACTAGAAAACCCTCTGATTAAGGTTAGTAGTTTCTCTATAATGAATTCAAACAAATCAGCAAGGAAAAAAACAAACAAAAAAAACCAATCCCATCAAAAAGTGGGCTAAGGACATGAATAGACAATTCTCAGAAGAAGATATACAAATGGCCAATAGACATATGAAAAAATGCTCAACATCACTAATGATTAGGGAAGTGCAAATCAAAACAACAATGCAATACCACCTTACTCCTGCAAGAATGAACATTAAAAAAAAAATCAGTACATGTTGGCATAGATGGGGTGATCAGGGAACACTTCTAAACTACTGGTGGGAATGTAAACTAGTACAACCACTATGGAAAGCAGTGTGGAGGTTCATTAAAGACCTAAAAGTAGAACTACCATTTGATCCAGCAATCCCACTGCTGGGTATTTACCCAGAAGAAAAGAAGTCATTATACAAAAAAGATATTTACACACGCATGTTTATAGCAGCATAATCACAATTACAAAATCGTGGAACCAACCCAAATGCCCATCAATCAACGAATGGATAAAGAAACTGTGGTATATATATGCAATGGAATACTACTCAGCCATAAAAAGGAATGAATTAACAGCATTAGCGTGACCTGCATGAGATTGGAGGTTATTATTCTAAGTGAAGTAACTCAGGAATGGAAAACCAAACATTGTATGTTCTCACTGATATGTGGGTGCTAAGCTATGAGGATGAAAAGGCATAAGAATGATACAATGGACTTTGGGGACTTGGGGGGAAGGATGGGAGGGGGGTGAGGGATAAAAGGCTACAAATACAGTGCAGTGTATATTGCTCAGGTGATGGGTGCACCAGGATCTCAGAAATCCACTACTAAAGAACTTACTCATATAAGCAAACACCATCTGTACCCCAATAACCTATGGAAAAATAAAATTAAAAAAAGGACAGTAGATTCTAATATTATGTCCAAATATTTACTGCCTCTCTTCAGAGAAGGATTATACTTTTCTTCCTCTATAGCATCTTGCTGGGCCATGTGACATGTTTTGACTGATGAAAAGTAAGCAAAAGTGACGGTGTTTCATTTTTGAGCAGAACATTTCAGAGATTTAACCTGCTTTTTCCCCTGTCCCTGTAGTCATGGCAGCATGTATTAATATTAAAGTTCTCTTGGCTTGAGTCCTCAGTGACCATAAGGAACAAAACCTTCCTGCCAACACAGAACTTGAGTGAGAAATGAACTTGGCTGAGGTTTCTGGGTTTTTTTTTGTTGTTGATGTTACCTTGGCATAGTCTTGCTTATACTGACTGATTCATTAAAGAAAAAGGTAGTCTTTGGACTAATATCAAGAGCTCACAGAATGGATGGAAATGCTTAGAAATGGGAAGGCTTGGGGGAGGAAATTGAAAGCTGTAGAAAGAATTTTACAGTAAGAAACAGTCTGGTCAGAGCACTTCAACAGGAATTAGGTGAATTCTAACCTTTTTCAGTTTCTTTGTTCCTCAGCTAAAATTTAAATGTTGAAGAGTGCATGTCCTGTGGGCCTAATTTTGATCACATATTCACCCTGTGGCCAAAGTAGGGTGGGGCTTCTCATTACAGTTTTCCTAGGTTGTACCTAAAAGAGAGTGGAGGAAGGAAACTGGAAATGGATGCCAGGAAGCCAAAATACAAATACTTGCTACCTAAAAATCAATAGATTTCACCATTAAAAAAATTCTGTAGGTCAAAAACAACGTTTAATACAATTAAAAACAAACATATTTATGACGTGTGAGAGCAAACAGCTAATGTCCTTGATATACAAATATACAAATGAAAAGCAAAAGAAGAGCATATCAATGTAAGAGAACCATACCAAAGCAAAAACATAAATACAATTTGCAAAATACGAACTATAAACAACCAAAAAATTTGAAAAAACTCTGACTTACCAGCATTCAAAGGAATGCAAATTAAAATGAGTTATTTTTTCATCTGTCAGATTTTTCAAAATTGATAATACTCTCTTTTTAAAGAAGGAGGAAACTTGCCCAGACTAATATCAGATCATAGAGAAAACAGTATTTTTCTCTGTAATGAATGTAACTTAGTTTCTCCGTAGAACCATTTGGCAGCATGCATTCAAAGCCCTGATAATGCTTACTCTTTGATGAAATAATTGCTCTTTGATAAAATAATTCCACTTTGATGAATTTAACCTAAAGAAATAGATATAAATGTTAGGCAATTGATTCATTGAAAAATTTATTTTAGCATCATTTATGATACTTAAAATTTAGGAATAATATTAATGACCAACAATAGAGAATTTGCTAAATAAATTATAGTGTATCTGTATAGTAATGCAGCCATTAGAAAGGATGTTTTAGAAAACTAATGACATAGAAAACTATTCACATAATATTATTAATTATGTCAAAAACGATGTTGTAAAACAGGTACTATAAAATGCCAACTATATAGAAAAATATTTATCCCAGTGAATAATAAACTGTTAACAATGAATTCGAATTATTTTTCTTTTTTGTGCTTTTTTGCATTTCTCAGAAAATGCAGAAAAAAAATGATTGTAACTTTTGTCAACAGAGTTAAGTCTAATAAATGTTAAAATGTATCATTTTCAGTAAGAAGCTATTGATTAGCATAGTAATTTGCACTTTCTAGTTCATTACTGCAAATAATGTTTGCCACAATTTTGGTTTAACATGTACTACCCAGTAACTAAGAATTGCAATCCACAAAAATGTTTGTTATCACTGGAAGATCCCTCTGTGAACATTTAATTTAACAAATGTATTTCCAGTGCTATTATGTGCCTGCTACCATAATATAAGATAATATAAGACTTTTCTTTGAGAAACCTACAGCGAGAAGAAAAGTCCTACTGTGAGTCCTAGAGGAGAATCAACCTTATGTGAGAAAGAAGAGCTGGTACAAGTTATACCTGACATGGTACAAGGGTGAAAATCCTTGTGATCTCAAATCACAATGAAGGATGACATTTGACCTTTCATATTCTGCATATGTGACATTCAACTTCCCTATATGAGGTTTATGCTGGAAGATGTATGTCCTAAGAATTTTATTTTCAGTTGATCTCTTCCTCAGGATATGTTTTTTGCCTAATTTTCAAAAGAAAAGAATTGTTTTAAAAAATGATCTGATGGCTGGGCATGGTGGTTCACGCCTGTAATCCCAGCACTTTGGGAGGCTGAGATGGGTGGATCACCTGAGGTCAGGAGTTCGAGACCGGCCTGGCCAATATGGTGAAACCCTGTCTCCACTAAAAATACAAAAATTACCCAGGCGTGGTGGAGGGTACTTGTAATCCCAGCTACTCAGGAGGCTGAGGCAGGAGAATCGCTTGAACCTGGGAGGCAGAGGTTGCAATGAGCCAAGATTGTGCCACTGCACTCCAGCCTGGGCAACAAGAGTGAAACTCCATCTCAAAAAAATAATAATAAAAGAAAATAAAAATAAAAATGATCTGATGTTAGTCTTGGGAAGTTGAAGTTGTCTCTTTTTTTTTTTTTTTTGAGACGGAGTCTTGCTCTGTCAGCCAGGCTGGAATGCAGTGGTGCAATCTCGGCTCACTGCACTCCGCCTCCTGGGTTCGTGCCATTCTCCTGCCTCAGCCTCCTGAGTAGCTGGGACTACAGGCACCCACCACCACGTCCAGCTAATTTTTTTGTATTTTTAGTAGAGACGGGGTTTCACTGTGTTAGCCAGGATGGTCTCGATCTTCTGACCTCATGATCCACCTGCCTCGGCCTCCCAAAGTGCTGGAATTACAGGCCTGAGCCACCGCGCCTGGCCTCATCTTTTGAGGAATGCATATAGGCTTGCCATTTGTGTTGAGCCCAGTAGTTCAGGAGACTTATTTCACCATGCACTCATGCTTCTATTTGTTTCCTACCTCTGCATTTATGACAGTATGGCAATGACTGCTTCTCCAGGAATTTCCTGGTTTTGCTTGTTTTTAGGTCACTGCTTCAGTCATCATCAGCAATGCAGAAATACAAGCAAAAGTGGACCATATTCTATAGTTAGTCGTAACATATTCATGGCTAGGTGTGTACACACGTGTATATATCACACACACAGGAAATAGGTAACAATACAAGGTTCTAGTTGATGAAGTGTTGAACAAATGACATATATGATAGGGGCTATTGGTATTCTGAGAAGATGGGGCGTAATCAAAGGGAATTTAAAAGGTTATTGCATCATAGTATAGAAAGATAATTCAGATATGAGATATTATTACATTATTTCTGTTATAAAGAAAGCATACGCTGTATGGTAAACTTATATTTAAAAGTCTGTTCCTAAAAACCAGTGTGCCAAGGCCGATGCCAGAAATGAGCTATATTGTTTAGGAGTAATTTATGTCAGGCAACAGATGCATTCCTGAAAAGTCAGGTTAAAGTGCTATTTGCTGAATTAAAATGATTTCCATAACATCTGCAATGTTAGAATAATAGCTCCGGGGCTCTTCTGTTAATCAAATGCGAACTTAAGAAAAATGCCCATCTATTTTCATCATTAGAAAAGAATGAAAATAAAGAACCACATAAACTTGCCTATTTCAACTGTCCCTGATCTTTAGCTAAAACCAACTGGTCAACTTGTTCAGTAGGTATTTTCCTTTCTCAAACCAGGGAATTTTCCTCACAATTTTTCTCTTTCTCCTACATTGTCACATTTTTCGCTCCAGTGGGTTTTTCCCATCAGCACTCAAATATGTGACTATTTCTTTCATCTTAGAAAAAACAAAACAAACCAAAAAACCCATCTCTAGAGACCATTTCCCTATTGCTGTCACCCCCATTCTCTCCTTTTCTTTTTAATAGAATCAAATTGGGCTTTTACCATACATGTTCTCTGCAATTTTCCTCCACCCATTCTCTGCTACGTTCTCTCCATCAGGGTTTTGCTGACGCCACCAGAACTTCCATGATCACTTCATGGGTTGACCAGCATGTTGCAAATGGTCAATTCTCTTTCATCATCTGACTGGACTTACAAGCAGCGTTAGACCCTCTGGTCCCCAGGATCTTCCTTAGTATACTCTGTGACTTGACTTCCAGGATCCGCATGTTCCTGGCTTTCCTCTTTCCTCACTAGCCAGTCCTTGGATTCTTGCTGGTTTTTCTGGAGGTACCCATTTAAAACATTCAATTACTGCCACGCTTAGTGTTTGGACCATCCTCTTCTATCTATCCACTTTGTCTGTGTCATCTCATTCAGTTTCAGAGCTTTAAATACCATCTACTCACTGATATTTACTAACTTAAGCCTTCAGCTATAACTTCAGACCCTGAGCTTCAGACTCTCTAGCTTTCTGCTCAGATGCCTGCTCCTACATACCTCAAACCAAACAAGCAAAAGGCTGAGCTTCTAATATTTCCCTTTAAACCTGTTTTTCCCACAGTCTTAACATTGAAGCCAATGGAACTGGTTTCCTTCTATCTGCTCATCTTTGATTCCTCTCCTTGTCTCTTATCTTAAATTTTATCTGTAAGAAAATCCTATAGCTCTACTTTCACCATTTATCCTGGATGTAACTCGTTGTCATCAGTTCTACTATGATGCTCCAAGCCACCATGATCACTTCTTTATCCAAGAAGCAACAGCTTCCTAAGTGATGTTCTTTATTCCTCTTCCCCGTTCTCCAACTATCTTTAGCACAGCAGCCAAAGGAATCCACTTTGAACAACTCAGGTCAAGTTGCCTCTCTCTTCAGACTCCAAAATCTGGCCGGGTTCGGTGGCTTACACCTGTAATCCTAGTGCTTTGGGAGGTTGAGGCAGGAGGGCCACTTGAGGCCAGGAGTTTGAGACCAGCTTGGGCAACATAGTAAGACTCCACTCACACTCCCAGCTACTTGGGAGGCTGAGACAGAAGGAGCGCTTGAACCTATGAGTTCAACATTTTAGTGAGCTATGATCGTGCCACTGCACTCCAGCCTGGGCAACAGAGTTTTCTGTTCATTCAAAGTAAAACAGTTTTCTCTGAGATAGGGTTTTGCTCCATCCCCCATGCTGGAGCATAGTGATGTGATCCTAGCTCACTGCAGCCTCTCTCCTGGGCTCAAAGATCCTCCCACCTCAGTCTCTGGAACAGCTAAGAATACAAGTCCATGCTACCACACCTGGAATTATTTTATTTTATTTTATTTTTTGAGACAGAGTCTCGCTCTGTTGCCAGGCTGGAGTGCAGTGGCGCAATCTCGGCTCACTGGAACCTCCAACTCTCTGGTTCAATGATTCTCCTGCCTCAGCCTTCCAAGTAGTTGGGATAACAGGCATGCGCCACCACGCCCAGCTAATTTTTGTATTTTTAGCAGAGATGGGGTTTGATCATGTTGGCCAGGATGGTCTTGATCTCCTGACTTCGTGATCTGCCCGCCTTGGCCTCCCAAAGTGCTGGGATTACAGTTGTAAGCCACTGCGCCTGGCCGATAATTTTTAAATTTTTTTGTAGGGTCAAGATCTTGCTATGTTGCACAGGATGGTCTTGAACTTCTGGCCTCAAGCAAGGAATTTCTTTTCACTCAAAGTAAAAGCCAAATCCTTTGAAAGGCCCTGTAGGACCTGGGCCTCCTCCCCTTTCCTTCTCTGACTGCATCTCCTGCTGTGCTCCCTCCATCTCAGCCACACCAGTTTCTTCCTGTTCCTTCAACACATGAATCAGACTCCCCATCAGAGCCTTTGCACCTGTTTCCCCTGCATCTGGTGTTCCCCCTCCATCTGGAATGTTCTTCCCCCAGATATCAAAGTGGCTCACTCCCTCACATTCTTGTCTGTACTCAAATGTCACATCCTCAGTGAGGCCTTCTTTGGCCGTTCTCACTAAAATTGCAAATTTCAGTCCAAGGGTTTTTTTTTTTACTTTTTAGCCCCTTTTATGCTTTTCTTTTTCATGATAGGAAAACTTATTTAATAGCAGAGAACAATGGCTTGACCCAACAGAATCACGTGTCATTGGCATAATATTAGCTTTCAGAAATGGCAGATAGCAAGAGAGACAGATTTTTGGTCACAGTCCTTTAAGAAACATTAAGTTATAGACTGCTAGGAATCGTGGCCTAGTTATGTCGCATAGATGTAAGCTAAACTCTTCTCAGCTCCCTTCTTCAAATGAAGCCAAAGGAACAG
The DNA here is from genome assembly GCF_000001405.40 of Homo sapiens. Taxonomy (NCBI): domain Eukaryota; kingdom Metazoa; phylum Chordata; class Mammalia; order Primates; family Hominidae; genus Homo; species Homo sapiens. The sequence continues at coordinate 33,949,951 of NC_000010.11, read as the reverse complement.
GAAGAATATGTTGGACAGGTGGTTGGATGAATAGATGGAGCTTCCACTCTCAAAGGCATATACATTTGAGATACATTAATTCTAGTCTTTACTCTGAAATGAGAATGTGGGATTGAGGCTGAAACTTCAACAGAATTCATGGTCTTATGAGTTCTTGAGGGTCTCTGCTCTCCTTCCCCAACTCTAAAACACTCTATTGAAAACTTCACAATTCATGAAGGATTTTTTAAATGTCTTTATTTTTCTTTAAAGTACCTATTACTCAACAGTATTCTCTGTAAAGGCAGAGATTTTAGGCTTCTTGTTTCTAACATTAAATCATTTATTCATTTACATTTTTTTTAAATCCCTCAGTGAGCTGAACATTAGGATTCCCAAGACAAATAAGACATAATCCCTGCCTGCAAAATATTTGTCTACTGTGAAAGATAAACAACACAGAGAAACAGAATCTCAATCCCCACACTTTTGCTAGTTTTAGGTCTTTACCACACATAAATTTTCTAAAATATAGATTAATTTTTTTTTGATACAGGGCCTTGCTCTGTTACCCAGGCTGGTGTGCAGTGATGCAATCTTGGCTCACTGCAACCGCCGCCTCCCGGGTTCAAGTGATTCTCCTGCCTCAGTCTCCCTAGTAGCTGGGATTACAGGCATGCACCACGATGCCCGGCTAATTTTTGTATTTTTTTTTAGTAGAGATGGGGTTTTATCATGTTGGCCAGGCTGGTCTCAAACTTCTGACCCCAAGAGATCTGCCCACCTCAGCCTCCCAAAGTGCTGGGATTACAGGTGAGCCACTGTACCTGGCCTGATTAATATATTTTATGAATAAAATGACATATGATTTTTATTTGAATCTTTTTGTGAGAAATTCTTTTGTAAAGTATAATCAGGGCCAGATGCAGTGGCTCATGCCTGTAATCCCATCACTTTGAGAAGCTGAAGCAAGAAGATTGCTTGAGGCCAGGAGTTTGAGACCAACCTGGGCAACATAGCAAGATCTTGTCTCTACAAAAAATAAATAAATAAATAAATATTAGCCAGGTGTGGTGGCATGCACCTGTAGTCCTAGCTGCTCTGGAGGCTGGGGTGGGAGGCCCTTTAAGCCCAAGAGAGAGGCTGCAGTGAGCTAGGATCACATCATTGTACTCCAGCATGGGGGACAGAGCAAGACCCTCTCAAACAAATAAATACATGCATAAGTAAATGAATAAAATCATTCTCTAGTTCAGTCATAGACTACTATACCTGGATGAGCCCTTAGATCTTGTCTCATCTAGTTACCTTACAGAGCTGAAGAACTTAAAGCCCAGGAATCATGTCTTAATAACAATAATGATATCTATTATTTATTGGATGTTTGTTGTCTAGCAGACACTGTGCTAAGCACTTTGCATGCATTATTGCATGTAATATTTACAACTTCATGGGTTGGGTACTATTATTATCCCACTTTCCTAGATGAAGTAAACTGAGGCGCATGGAGTTCTTTGCTCAAGGTCACCCATCGATGTAAGTGGTGGAGCTCTGTCTTATGTATAAAGCCCAGGCTCTCAGCAAAGGGATATGCTGCACTTACCCATAGTGTTCCATAAATAAGTGACAGATTGGGATCTCAAACCCACTTTCTGATTCCCAGTCCAGTACTTTTTTTTCCACAACAAAATACTGTTTTTGTTTCCAAAGTGTTTTCAATGGTGGTGGTGTTTTCTGGTCTATTGACATGCCTGCATGATGACAGCTACTCTGGTAGTTCCTCTGTGGCCATCCTTTCTCATTCATTTTTCAGTGATTTAGGAATAACAGGAAAAATTGAGATGGAGTCACATCTTTATAACAATGTCAATACCCTCTTTCGTTTATGTGCCATAAAACTAACATTCTGCAGGCGAGCAAGACATCTCAAAATGGTTCAATTACACCAGAGCAGTGAAGTAGCTCTACCACGATGTATATTACACACAACTGTTTACACATAAACTCATACTGTAATCAAAGAACAGTTTACCATAGCCAGAGAGAATGATCATAAAACTTTTTCCTTTCCTTACATCACTCAAAAAATCGTTTACTCTTCTTAATGACAGAACAATCTGTGTATTTTTGCAATCGCAGTAAGCAGCTGTAGAAAGCATTGTGATAACATCAATAGAAGCACAGTATGGTAATGTAAAATTAATGAGCGAGATGGCAATCTTTTTTTTTAGGCAAATCATGCTTTGTGATACAGCACGCCCTCTCAATTAGTCTGTTTTCAGGGGCAAGAGAATGTGGGTATTGTGGCAAAGTGCACATTTAAAGATGTGGGAGTCACTAAGGAAGATGGTTGCAATTGACAGTCAATGTACCATGGCTGCACACAGGGTAAAAAAAAGAGCCACACGCTAACAAAATATACATTCACTCTTTTGCATTTATTTGTTGATTCTCTCATAGCGATCAACAACATGGTTGAAACTTAACTGACTTGTATTTAACAAAATAAATAAAGTAAGTAACTAGGTAAACATATATATCAATGATAACTGTTATGAATACCTCCTAAGTTTTTCTCTTTTCCAAAGTGGTGTATATTCAATGACTAGTAAGGCCAGCAAAATGCATAAAATCTAGACTGGCTTCCGATAGTAATTAACACTTTCATCACCAAAGCTGAGATTCAGACTTCCCTGCCTTGTGTGGGGATGCAAATCTCCTAATAAATACTGAACTGGAGTCTTAAGGAGAAGGGGTATAGAGTGCATTCAGACTCACTGCTCCACTGCAGTTGAACTGCAGGACATCCAAGGAGACTGGGAGGAAGCTTTGCGAAACAAACTTTTGAGAAACTGTGTGATATGCTTTGGCTGTGTCCCCACCCAAATTTCATCTTGAATTGTAGCTCCCATAATTATCACGTGTCATGGGAGGGACCTGGTGGGAGGTAATTGAATCATGGGGGCGGGTCTTTCCCATGCTCTTCTCATGATAGTAAATAATCCTCACAAGATCTGATGGTTTCATAAAGGGGAGTTCCTTTGCACATGTTCCCTTGCTTGCCACCATGTAAGACGTCTCTTTGCTCTTCCTCATCTTCTGCCATGATTGTGAGGCCTCCCCAGCCATGTGGAACTGTGAGTCCCTTAAACCTCTTTCCTTTATAAATTACCCAGTCTCGGGTATGTCTTTATCAGCAGCATGAGAACAGACTAATACACTGTACAAGGTGTGTGTTGCCTTAAAATAATTTAGGAGGTATGATCTAATTGGAGCACATAAAGAAGGTGATGTGAGATTCTGTTCAGATTTGGTTCAAAGAAAACACTGCTCTGTAGGGGTGTCTTAATGGCCGCTTAATTTTCTTCTCTATATTATAGTTTCTTTTAATGCACTTGTGGACCAACAGAGAACGATGTTGAACATTGTTGCAAATGTTGTCAATAGCTGTAGAATGTTTATTTTTTTTTTAAATTTTTATATACCAATAGTAGGAAATGGAAACAAAAGTGTGTATGTATAAATACAATTAACAATTATTTGGAATCTTAATGCCCAGAGGAAAGCACTCTTGCTATTTTGGTATATAAATCTCCTACCAGTTTCACAAGGCATTTAAATTCATTACAATGAAGGGTTTCCTTCCTTCTTTTACATATTCAGTCCTTGCTAGCACTGATGGAAATGCTGACCCAAACAAGTGACACATTACAGAACAAAAGGAGGTGTTTGGTAAGGCAGGGGAAAATAAAATAGTGACTCTTTTAGTATAGTAGAGTTATGCTAAAAGATAATTATCTTTTAGCAGATCCACTTTGTAATAGAAGTCTTTTTTTTTTCTTGTAAATGTCTCACCCCACGGCTTGACTGGGAAAGAGAAAATCCAAGTGGAAAATGGAATCTGGGGAATGGTGAAGAGTTGAGTGATCTGGGGAGTAAGGGGCATGTGAGAGAAGAGGAGGAGTCCTGGCTTGTGTTCTTATTCTTTGCCTCTTGGAATTCTCCGTAAAAACTTGGATGTTGGGAGCAAGCCCCCCAAAATGTGGCCATAAACTGGCCCCAAGACTGGCCATAAACAAAATCTCTGCAGCACTGTAACATGTCCGTAAACGGCCCTAACGGCCCTAACGCCCAAGCTGGAAGGTTGTGGGTTTACGGGAATGAGGGCAACGAACACCTGGCCTGCCCAGGGCAGAAAACTGCTTAAAGGCATTCTTAAGCCACAAACAAAAGCATGAGCGATCTGTGTCTTAAGGGCATGTTCCTGCTGCAATTAATTCGGCCCATCCCTTTGTTTCCCTTAAGGGATACTTTTAGTTAATTTAATATCTATAGAAACAATGCTAACGACTGGTTTGCTGTTAATAAATATGTGGGTAAATCTCTGTTCGGGGCTCTCAGCTCTGAAGCCTATGAGATCCCTGATTTCCACTTCACAGCTCTATATTTCTGTGTGTGTGTTTTTAATTCCTCTAGCGCCGCTGGGTTAGGGTCTCCCTGACCCAGCTGGTCTCGGCACTTGGAGGTAATGATTCTTTGGCATCATTCTTTGAACTCTACTATGTGCCTGAAAAACTAATAATCAGGCTTTTCTTTTAATGGGCTAGGCCTTCAGTTTATCCAAATATTAAGGGCTTAGCAAAGAGTATGTATGTATTGTTTACAAAGTTAATTTATTCATCAAAAGGTATTTACCCAGTGCTTACTCTGTGTGAGTCACTGTATTCATTACTGATACACAGACAAGATTTCTGCACAGGTGGAAGTTACTGTCAAGTGATTTGATATACAGGGAGAGGAGGAAGAGATGGCAAAGGCAACAGGAGGCATCACTGGCTAATTGAGATCATGCTCTATACACAGTCAGAAACTGATTTTTTCCTTAATTTAGCATAATATCATGAAGATCTTCTATCGTTTCAACAAGCTCTTCATAAGCACTACTTCAGATGACTGCATCTAAATGCTTTATTTTAGGGATGTTTCATAATTTACACAACCATAACCAAAATGTCAGGCCATAAGGTTGCTTCCAATTGTTTTTAGATTGCTTTGTTATGATAATGAATTCATTAATAATATTTCTGTTGCCTTCTTTGGCCACATTTTGAATCATTTTGGGTCTAGAAGTTGGATTATTGGGCCAAAAGAAATAAACCTTTTTTTTTAAAGTTTCTGATACATGTTGCCAGATTTCTTTCCTGGAAGGGTTTCCTTCCATCTTTTACATATTCAGTCTTTGGTAGCACTGAATAGATTGGACCACTGAATTGATTGGACTTGGTAGCTTGAACCAAAGTATGTTCTTTGCAGCAGTATTCAGAGTGACTAACGCCACAGCCATCGCTTCTCCCCAGTCTCAAGCACAGCCAGGGTTCTCAATGTAAAGTCGGCATCACCCCCTAACATCTCCACTGGCAGTTATCTTTCAGTTAACTCACACACAACGTCTCCTCTCTGGGGCACCAGGACATCTTTCCACCAATCTTAGCCCTTCTCTAAATCTCAGTAAGCAGGGGTCATTCTGGTGACTTGCCAGGTCAAAGAAGATACACTTCACTGGTGAATTGATGTCTTCATAGAGAACTGCCAGCACTTTCTGGTTCAAAAAATAAAACAGTGAAAAATGTATCGCCTTTTTTTTCTGGGAATACTGCTCCCTTATAATATTTAAAAATTCTAAATAATTAAAATGCAATTTATTCAATGTTAAAATTACATTAAGCATCATTTAATCTTGGGTGATTTCAAAGGTACATATTAAAACATTCTCTTGTTCCCTCAGGTCTTAGATGTGTCAGTCACTCTACCTGTAACAGCCTTCCTTTCATTTGAAAAAAAATCCTATTCACTTTCCGAGACCCAGTTCTGTGCTCTCTCCAGGTGAAGCAATCTCTACCTCTTCTCTCTCCTTCTCCCCTCTCCCTCTCTCCCTGTTTCCCTATTGATGGGACCTTAACCAAAGCTCCTCAGTCCAACCTCACTTCCAGTGTTCAGATCCTCTTTACCTCACCTTGCCAAGGGAACATTTAGCTCAAGATTAGATAAAACCAACAACAGGGACATTTTTTCTCCTTAAGCAGTGTTCAGCCTTCAGAGTTTTGTTTGAGATTTCTAGAACTCATGGTGAAAAGAGGTAATGCAGATGATTGGAAATGCAGGGTTTCATGTCGGTAGAGATGAGAGTTGGAGACGGGTTTGGAGCTGAGGTGATAAATTGACATTGTGACAAGTAGCTATGAGAAATAACTGATGTAGTAAGAAAGAAAGAAGGAGGAGAGAACCACGATCACCTTTGGAGGGCAGAGGAAAGGAAAAGGAACCTCAAAGAAGAAAGAGACTAGGAGAGGAAAAGATTAATCACTGTTCAAGAAGTCAAGAAAAGAGTTGCAAGAGAAGGCAAATTATGGCAAATGTTGCAGAGAATGAGCAGAAAGAACAAGATTAGGAAATTCTTCTGGTTTCTTCTGGATCAGACCTGCATAGTGTGACTTATTTATCTTGTTAGAAGTCATTTCTTAGAATATCACACATAACCATGTACACATTCAAGGGTAAGATCAAATTCCAAAGCCAGATATAAATGGAGTATTCTTTTCTATGTGTTTGAAATTTGTGCATGTACCAGGCTTGATAACAATATGGCTTCTTGTCAAATACAAATATTTGAATATTAAAATCAGGAAACCCTGAGAGATAAAAGTCTATTATCTCTAGTAAGGAGAATATTGATGTGATGAGTATTCTTTTTTTTTTTTTTTTTGAGACAGAGTCTCATTCTGATGCCCAGGCTGGAGTGCAGTGGCATGATCTCAGCTCACTGTAACCTCCACCTCCTGGGTTCAAGTGATTCTTGTGCTTCAGCCTCCCAAGTAGCTGAAATTAAAGGTGTGGGCCACCACACCCAGCTAATTTTTGTATTTTTAGTAGAGACTGGGTTTTGCCATGTTGCTCAGGCTGGTCTCAAACTCCTGATCTCAAGAAATCCTCCCACCTCGGCCTCCCATAGTGCTGGGATTACAGGCGTGAGCCACCATGCCCTGCCAAGGTGATGAGTATTCTCAGTAAGCTTTTATACAAATGCTTTCCCATGTATTTTCACACTGTTTTAGTGGACTCATAGTGAAGTGGTTTGACTTATGAATGTGCTTTTGGGAGAGCCGGTCCAAGTCTGTCACAGGTCGTCAATGTAAGGTCGTTGATGATTTCATTTTAATCCATCCTGGACATCTCTCCATATCGCAGCATCACTGACCATGAAATTTGGCAGAAGTGACAAGTTTGTTCACTGCAGGGCTGGCACTAACAGGATACAGGATATTACAGATCAGAAGGAAAGCATTTTATTGCTTTCCTGGGAAAGCTCGGTGTTACCCAAAGTTATTTCCTACAACCTGTTACCTCACCTATAAATCTGATCATCGTGGCTAAATCATTTATTTTGTTTTATATGGATAAAAATGCTATTGACACAAGAGGCCTAAGGTAACCAGGAGGTATAATTTGAGGGATATGGAAAAGCATCCTTCAGAGGAAAAAAGAAGGCTCACTTCATTGGTCTCCCTACAAAGCCTTAAAAGTCACACATTATTCAGGTTTTGGGGTTGAGTTAAGGCATTGACTCATGGACATGTTGATCTGATCAGTTAACGCTGGTGATACCCTTCCCTTTGTCAACCTAAAATAATCAAAAGGCCCAGGATCCACTTAAAAGAGTATACTCATGTTCAAAGTGTGAGGGCAGCTGTCCCAGACACATGGACATTAAAAAATGGACCAGCGCTCCTCATGTAGGGAAAATGAAGATCGTTTATATAGACAAAAATTGAGGTGCTGACAGAATTACAACATTTTCCATACAAAGGCTAACGTATAGATACAGGATGTGATTGGCTACAATTGATTACACTCTAAGGGAGTTGCTTAACTTTCTGTTATAAAGAGATACCAGTCACAAGGGTCTCTATCGCCAACATCATTAAGTCTAGGTTTGAATGAAGAACAGAGAGCCTGGTTCATCTGTAACAAGCTTGTCCAACCCTGTGGCCCAGGACGGCTTTGAATGCACCCCAAAACAAATTTGTAAACTTTCTTAAAACGTTATGAGATTTTTTTTTTTTGTGCTGTATTTTTTTTTTTTTTTAGCTCATCAACTATCGTTAGTATTAGTGTATTTTATGTGTGGCCCAAGACAATTCTTCTTCCAATGTGGCCCAGGGAAGCCAAAAGATTGGCCACCCCTGCTGTAAAATATCTCACTCAACACAAAGGTCAGGAAGCCACAGTCACTCATGCCCCAAAGAAGAAAAACCGCCATATTATGTGACTCAGTTTCCAGGGTTTAACTTTTCCCCTTGGCATAATAAATCTAGAAAGTCCTAAAATTTTACTTTCTTTTTACTCTTTCCATGAGAGGAAACATGGAACATTTTGATGGGTGGAAAGTTTGAGAAAGGCCTAGGGTTTGGCTGGGAAAGCTGTGAGTGGTCAGACAAAGGGTGTGGTGCAATCGGAGGGAGCAGGCACTAGGTTAGAGGAGCACTGTGATGCTGTTTGAAGAACATTCTTATTGCCTTATTGGTTTTCCTCTTTCACTGTATGTAATAGGCTTGTCCCATGGCAAAGAATTGCTAAGAATAGCCTTTTCCTTGGGCACAGAAAAACAAATATCACATTCCCTTTTACATATGGGAGCTAAGAAAGTTGATCTCATGGAGGTAGCAAGTGGAATGAAAGATACCAGAGGCTGGGAAGGGGATGTAGGGAAGGGGATGATGGCAGGTAGGTTAATGGTTACAAACATACAGTTAGATAAAGGAATAAGTTTTTCTTTTTTAAAAAATAGAGACAGGGTCTCACTCTGTCACCCAGACTGGAGTGCAGTGGCACGATCGTAGCTCACTCACTGCAGCATCGGACTCCTGGGCTGAAACAATCCTCCCGCTCTGGCCTCTGGAATAGCTGGGACTGCAGGTTCTCACTACCAAGCTCAGCTATTTTTTTTTTTTTATTTTTTGTAGAGATGGGATCTTGCTGTGTTGCCCAGGCTGGTCTCAAACTCCCAGCCTCAAGTCATCTTCCTGCCTTGGTCTCCCAAAGTGCTGGGATTACAGGCATGAGCCACCCTACTGGGCCTAAGGAATAAGTTCTACTATTCAATTACAGAGTAGAGTGACTGCAGTTAACAATAATATGTTGTATATTTCAAAACAGCTAGAAGAGAGGACTTGAAATATTTCCAACACAGAGAAATGATAGATACTCAAGGTGATAAACGTTCCAAATGCCCCCACTTCATCATTCACAGTCCATGCATGTAACAAAATATCACATCTACACATAAGCACGTACAGATATTTGTATCAATAAAATTTTTTAAAAATTAAAAATGGATAAGCTTTCCTGCATTTACAGACAGTAGTGGGGCAAGCTTTGAGAGAAGCCTGACCAGTATTCAAATACAATCTCTCTCACTAGAAAATTGTAAAATTTGGGAGCTTTTGTTGTTAACGTTCTTTGAGTTTCTTTCAACTGTTAAACTGGCATATCTTCCTCAGAATGTTGTTCTAGGGTTCAACGCAATCCTAGGTATTAAATACGACCATCTGTATAATGCCTGACACTGATCAATGCTCTTTTGCTTTCCTTTTCACCCCAAGCTGCCTCTCCTAGTAACAAAGAGGAGAACACACGGAGGCTGAGGGAGAATACCAGTGATGTCACTTTTCTCTGTCCTTCTCCTGCTGAAGATCCTCTCCTTGGCTGCTTTGTTTGTGTGTTTCTGGAGGATCCAGCCCCATTTGGGAGGGGCTCCCTCTGCCAGAGGCAGGGCATATGACACCTGTGCAGTCCGCCCAGGGCATGAGACCTGTGCAGGTTTCTAGGGCATGAGACCTGTGCTTAAAAGAGCCTGGGCTTGGCTGAATCCTCTGCTATTGTCACCTAAATATTCTTAATAAGTTTTGAAACAGGGGCCTGGCATTTTCATTTTGGTTTGGACTCAAAAATTATGTAACTGGTCCAGACCAGAGGGCATTCATTCGGTGGCATATTCCTGTTCTATACACAAGTGCAGGCATGTTTTCCCCCTGCTTTTCAAAGAGATGAAAAACTCGAAGGTGATGGCTAGGCCACCTGCCTGCTGTGGGGAGGATGAGGGGGTAAAATGGAAGAGACTCTTGGGAAATCTTTTTTCTGGCGTGAAAGAATAAAGAAAAAAACAATGAAAGAAACATCTTTTTACTAAGGTTTACTTGGTCAGTGAAAGCATTGTGGGAAGTCGGCATGACTATTTAACTATATTCCTTCTCTACTTTACATTACATGTTTGGAGCCTTAAAATATACATATTCACATATCCTGAAACACAAACCAAATAATACAGCTGCCAAAGGATTTGGATATTTTTGGACACATTTGTTTCTCTTACATTTTGTTGATGTCTAAACACAGACCTTTGAAGTGAAAATTCCCTCGTCTAACTTAATTTATTCACATCTTTACATTGACTATCTGGATGGTTTTTATGACGACTTATGCTCAAGCTTTGTTTCCAACCTCCAAAAGCAAAGATCAAGACCCCTGTCGAAGATTTTCACTGAAGAGAAAAGATGTGGGTGATTTAAATCAACTTGGTGATTTATTTTGTTTTACCAGGAAATTGCTTCCTGACATGAATTTGCAAAGAATAGAAATCACTGTGATTGCAAAGTTGGCGACATCTAACACGAGTCCATGATTTGAGTCAACATGGAAGCCAATGTGCAGTGAGGAAGGCCAGTGTCAAAACTAAGCCTTGTGAACCAATTTGACACAGCTGATGTGTTCGTATAGTGACCTTGAAAGCAATCGTGCTCTGAAATATAAGGAAATGCTTTGTCAGAGACTCTTCATCTTCTATCTGGAGAAGTTTTCAAAGACCTTGAATAGCAAGAAAATGGCATCAAGATAACTGTGAACACAGGAGCCTCCGCGGATACACAGCTCTCCTTGTGTCTAGGTGACACTGTCAGTCAAAGACCCACGGGGGCTGGCGCTGCAGGAAGAAATGGAAATGGGACTTGGCACAGTTTAACCCCCGCCCCTACCACCACCATGGCTTATCACCTATACAAGGGAGTTCAGCATTGAAGAAAAGAAAAAGGAGCAGATGAAAAGATTTGATTTTGATATTCTCCTAGATTTCTGACCAGACTTGGGTTGAAATGCCGAATTACCATGTGAAAACCCAGTGGCAGGGTACCGTCTTCTAATTTAAAGCAAAACAAGAAAAAGGGCCACCCTTTACCACGGTTCAGAAAAACCTGGAACATGGTATCATGAACCAAAGAAGTTTGGGTAAGCATCTAAAATTTTAATTAAATGAATGAGCAGACATGAAAGGATGGTACAAAGGATAAACTGCCATTTAATTGCCTGGTGTCATTATTATTAATGAAAGTCAATTAAACTTCCATGTGAGCCTTGTGTCCTTTTCTGAGAAATATGCAAATCGTTCTTAGATATAGTCCTTCACTGGGAGATAGAAGTAGTTTTTATCAGGGAAGGAAAACAAACCGGGATTGACTGGGAACCCGGGAAACAGGATTACTGTGAAGTGCAGGAAAACGTGATGATGGTTAAAGTCAATTCCCTGAAAACTGAAACAAACCCAAAAGCAAAAAACAAAATTTCATTTCTAATTTAAAAGGGGGAAAAGTTTTGCATTGGAATGCTGACAAACCAACAGGAGGCTATCAACTGGTTTGGAAAATGGAAGGCAAAGTTAGTACCATGTTGCTAGGCAACAGATTTCTAAGCCCTGTTCTCCTCATTTCTTAAAGGACCGGTGCAATGCTTGGTTTTGCAAATACTATCTATTTATTGACTTATTCATTGTGAATTAGAATGATTGGTCTCAGAATAAGACTGGCTAAGCCAGAAAAAGCACAAATGCAGTCAATTAGAATATGATTAGGAAGTCAAAAGTTGGGCACCTCATAAGGCATTTGCTCTGTGGGATGAAATGATGGTTCTTTAATGCTACTCAGACAAAAGGGGACTGGGTGTGACCAAGACAATTCCTAATTAGAGAGCTTCAGATCTAATGGAGTTATAGATGATCAACAAAAATTTACTGTGAAAACTAAAATGAATGACTAGAGATGAATGGCAGAGAGACTGACAGGGAAGAAAGGAAAGAGTTGTCCTTTGGAAGAGGATCTGGGATGTGTGCTCCAGGGTCATGGCCCACAGGAGGCTGTCCCTTGTAGGTCGGCACTTCACAAACACGCCAGGTTGGTCACTGCCAGTTCTCAGATGCTGCCTTCAAACCCCACGACGAAGAGGGCTGCGAGGGGTCAGATAAGACGTGGCCTGATGGTTTAGCAAACAGGTCTGACTGAACGAGATGGAATCTGTGGCCTTTGAGATGAAAGCCCCTCTGGGTCTCTCTCATAACAGAGCTACTTCATCAACTTTCCTAATGTGGAATCAGACTCACAGCTAGAGGGAGGGAAAGAAAACACTTTTGGAACTTGAGAAAAAGGGGAGGATTTGATTAATGTATAGCTAGGGAGTGAACCAGTTCTCAGGAAAAGAATCTTTGATCAGCGGTATGGAGAAGCATCTTTCAAACCTCCCAGATTCCAGCCACTTTAAAAGGAACAAAAGGAAGCGAATTCAGAGCACAGCTGTTGTTATTTAAAAACAAAATCAAAAAGAAAGAAGAGAAGGGGAAAAAAATCACAGCGAAATATCATCTCAAATGGATTTCCTGGAATAGCAACAGATGAATAATGCGCATCAAAATTCACCTCAAAACTGGAGGAGCGCCGTGTAGGCCACTGTGCTGGAATATATTCAGGTCTTCTGAGAGAGAATTTGTGCATATTTACTATTGGCCATCTTTTCCTATAGCCGTGCCTGTGTCTGTGCTTAAAAAAAAAAAAAGGAACGTGACCTATCAAATATTAGGAAGGAAACTAGCTCTTATCAGGGGCCTACTGTGTGCAAGACACTCTCACTTGGGTTATCTGGTTTCAACAGTAATTATTTTTTCTGGGAATTCAAACTGTAGGAAGTTGCTGAGTGAAAAATAGGGGTTTTCTGTCCTTCCATTAGCGACTGATGGGCAGATGCATTAGAAAGCGTGACAATCATTTCATCTCATAGTCTCGAAGGGCAAGTTTATTCCTATAATCTTTGAAAATCAAATGCCAGCTTTCATGTCAGCTCTTTCTTGAAACATGTTTTCCCTCTTTATTTATTTATTTTTTCTGTTTAACAGCCAGGCATTAATTCAAACATTTTTGACTGTTTGACTTTTCTCTTCCAATCCTCTCTATGAAGTAGTGCACATATTGGCAGAATTGTTTGTTTGTTTGTTTGTTTGTTTTGCCTATTTGTGGTTTCACTTCAGAAGAGGTGTAGAGTCCAGGAACCCAGGTTCCTGTTACTCCTCTCACTGTGTGAGCCATCCATGACTAGCTGCTAAAATGTTCATGGTGGCTGCTTTTCTCTAACTTTTTACTATTACTTGCTGTGTGTCTGGTTGAATTACCATCGCTACTCTCAAAACCTTTTTTTTTTTCTTTTGAGACAGAGTTTCACTCTGTTGCCTGGGCTGGAGTGCAGTGGTGCAATCTTGGCTCACTGCAACCTCTGCCTCCTGGGTTCAAGCTATTCTCCTGCCTCAGCATCCCAAGTAGCTGGGAATACAGGTACCCGCCACCACACCCAGCTAACTTTTTGTATTTTTTTAGTAGAGACAGGGTATCACTGTGTTGGCCAGGCTGGTCTCAAACTCCTGACCTTGTGATCTGCCAGCCTCGGCCTCCCAAAGTGCTGAGATTATAGGTGTAAGCCACCGCACCCAGCCCTCAAAACTTTTAATGTGCTTCAAAGTTCTCCAGCAAAATTGCATATTTGGCAGGCCATTCAGAAAAAAGAACCCTGTCTATATTGCTACATACCTGTCTAGTGAAATAAATCTGAATCTTAATCAGGAGAACTGTCACACTGGAGAACTGTCTGTGATCAGAACTTTGCCATCGCCAATTCTCTATCACCACTTGCCCTTCTAGATGTTTGATCTGTAGGCTATGTTAGGCTAAGTGCAAACAGTAGGGAGAATGTAGTTGTGGTAACTAGTCCAATCACAGCCGCTAGTCAAAGCCAGCTACAGAGTGTGACTGCAGAGGTGTGGTGACAGCACTCTACTTAATTAGAACTTCCATGACCCTCTCCTTGAAGCAGTTTCCCCAGTCTGAGTCCAAGAGAGTCCCTGTGTTCATAGAACTTCTTTGGTGCAGAATTTGTAGGCAGAGTCCAGATTTCACATTAACTACCCTGTGCTGCACCAGATCTCAATTCTGTTGACTTTTAGATGTGATCTCTTGTCCATGCCAGTCAGCGTCTCCCTAAGGACTTTCATATGGTTTTCTTCTCTGTTTCCTGGGGCCTGGCTTGTCAGTGCACTGCTGAGAGGGCATCAATCATTGACAGCTCCCAGTCTTTTGTCACCAGTGAGGATCTTTGACTGTGTGAAGGGGCTCTGGTTCATAACCAAACGTATTGATCAGAGCCTGCTGGAGTCTGGGCTTAATGTGTATGCCGAAATGGAGTTTGCCATTAAGTGTGGAGCTAAATAGTTCATTTTCTTCTGTGGGATAGAATAAAATTGCTCAAAGAAGCACTTGGGATTGAAGATCACAATAGCTGAAAAGCTAAGGAAGAAAAAAAATTAGGTTTTTCAGAATTGATTACAATATTTCTAAAGATATTCTTTATCTTTTGACAAAATCAGACTTTCCATTTGGACTTGGCAGTGTTAGCTTTTAGTGAAACCTATTTTTGTGGTTCTTTCTGATTAATGGAAAGGAGTCATTTTCTTTTTCTTCACTGTAATAAAAATCAAGCTGTCTTATGGTCCCCTTTGAAACAGAAATTAAGGGATGATTTGAACAGAATATTAATACTGCTATTTTCAACTTTGGGGTTTTACCTCGTCTTAATAAACTAAATTTTAAACGGATCTTCTCTCTAGAACACTATCTTCATTTTGTGTCTATCTGAGTGTTTATGACAGAACTTGATCACAATCTTTCCTATGTTCCTTTCTATGTACAGATAGCAGAGAGAAGAAAGGCCACGGCTCATCCTTTTGTGCAGTGTGTGTGCTTGAATGGGCCAGACAGAATGTGAGATTAGATGAATTTGAGCATCTCAATCATTTTATAGTAGCTATTGTTATAGTTTAGAATTCATGGGGCATAATTTTTAATTCAAGAACACAGAATAGATTCCTCTCTTCTAACAAATGATTTCTCAGTTTCCAATAAGGCTTTTTAGAATCAGGCCATGATCTAAGAACACAAGGTAGTATCCTTTACTATACATTGATTTAATGTAATCCCATCCTACAGGAAATCTTAACACTTCTGCCAATCATGATGTCTTCCTGCAGCTCTGAGGCCCCTTCTGAATCCTTAGAGGGCATCAGAATTATTTTAATGGCTAGAGCTTAAAATCTCTTCTGATCATTCTAGGATTTTTCTACCACCATATTTGCACCAATGTATTCCACTAAAGTGTTATTTCTCAATCTTTTTTCATTATTAATCCCCCACCCCACTGGTGCCTTTTTAAAGTATTTCTTTCCTCAATTGTACCCCTTTCCATGAAATTTTAATTCCACAGATAATACTGTGTATCTGTTTGTGTGATGTGGCCCTCCATATAGCCACAAAACATAATAGCCAAGATTTTTTTTTTTTGCCTCCCAGGAACTATTTTTCATTCCCCAACTTTAAATGCATGTACTAAAATATGCATATGCAATACTCTACTACCAAGTAAATATTACATTTTATTTCCTTAATACACTACATGTGACTGAAGCCTTTTGAAATAATTGGCTACTGATTGTAATGTACTCTTTTTTAAAAAAAAATTTATTTCTATAGGTCTTTGGGGAACAAGTGGTATTTGGTTCCATGAGTAAGTTTTTTAGTTCAGTGAGTTGTGAGATTTTGGTACACCCATCACCCGAGTAGTGTACACTGAACCCAATTTGTAGTCTTTTATTCATCACCCCATTCCCACCCTTTCCTCCATGTCCCCAAAGTCCATTATATCATTCTTAAGCCTTTGTGTCCTCATAGTTCAGCTCCCACTTGTGAGTGAGAACATATGATGTTTGGTTTTCCATTCCTGAGCTACTTCACTTAGAATAATAGTCTCCAGTTCCAACCAGGTTGCTGTGAATGCCATTAATTTGTTCCTTTTTATGGCTGAGTAGTCCATTGTGTGTGTGTGCATGTGTGTGTGTGTGTGTGTGTGTGTGTGTGTATCTCACAATTTCTTTATCCATTTGTTGATTGATGGACATTTGGGCTGGTTCCATATTTTTGCAATTGTGAATTGTGCTGCTATAAACATGCGTGTGCAAGTATCTTTTCCATATAATGACTTCTTTTCCTCTGGGTAGATACCCAGTAGTAGGATTGCCAGATAAAATGGTTGTTCTACTATTAGTTCTTTAAGGAACCTCCACACCGTTTTCCAGAGTGGTTGTACTAGTTTACATTTCCACCGGCAGTGTAGAAGTGTTCCCTTTTCACCACATCCAGAGCAACATCGATTTTTAAAAAATTTTTTGATTATGGCCATTTTTGCAAGAATAAGGGGGTGTCGCATTGTGGTTTACAAATTGCCAACAAACATGAAAAAATGCTCAACATCACTAATGATCAGGGAAATGCAAATCAAAACCACAATGTGATTGCAATATACTTCTAATGTTTTGCTTGAAAAGAAGTTGCGATTAAAGTTCACATGTTGTATGTGCATCTCCTGTTGGTAATGTCAGCCCTGCAGCTGCTGGGCTGATGAGGGAGTGAGGATATAGTTGGACCCAAGCTGGACATCAGAAAACAGTTCTTGGCCTACAGCGAATCATCAGAATTTAGCTCTATCCACTGTGGAAGAGAAAGTGACTTCAGCTAGGTGTAATGTGCACATTGCACTCTATTTTGTAGGGTTTCCACCATGGCTTTAAGGTAAAAAAGTTTTTTCTCCCTCTCTACCCTCCTCCTAATCTTTTCAGCTTCATCCTGACACCTTCAACCATAAAGACGCAGTTTCTCTTTTTCCACTTCGCTTCTGCAACATTGAGTTTTGGTATCAAGGAGGGCAAATACAAAAAAAGTAGGAATAAAAAAGGTGATACAGAAAGACAGGAAAGAGAGAAGAAAAAATAGGAGGAGACACTGGGAACAGCATCATGAAGTGTCTGATAAGAGGTGGGTGGATGGGAAGAGGAAGAAGGGTTTCACTGTGGTATGCGGATTGTTCTATGCACCTGATTATGATTCACAACATCTTTCCAAAAAACCTTTGCTGATCAACATCCTCCTTTTACAACGGGGGACAGAGATGATGAAGAAGGTGTTACAGGAAAGGGGCCCCAATCCAGACCCCAAGAGAGGATTCTTGGATCTCGTGCAAGAAAGAATTCAGGGTGAGTCCACAGAGTAAGTGAAAGCAAGTTTATTAAGAAAGTAAAGGAATAAAAGAATGTCTACTCCATAGACAGAGCAGCCCTGAGGGCTGCTGGTTGCCCATTTTTATGGTTATTTCTTGATGATATGCTAAACAAGGGGTGTATTATTCATGCCTCCCCTTTTTAGACCATATAGGGTAACTTCCTGATGTTGCCATGGCATCTATAAACTGTCACGGCACTGATGGGAGTGCAGCAGTGAGGACGACCAGAGGTCACTCTCGTGACCATCTTGGTTTTGGTGGATTTTGCCCGGCTTCTTTACTGCAGCCTATTTTATCAGCAAGGTCTTTGTGACCTGTATCTTGTGCCGACCTCCTAACTCATCCTGTGACTTAGAATGCTTTAACCATCTGGGGATGCAGCCCAGTAGGTCTCAGCCTCATTTTACCCAGCCCCTACTCCAGATGGAGTTGCTCTGGTTCACACGCCTCTGACAAAAGTACTTAGAGGAAGCTTCAGTGACTTGCTCATGTTTACATAGCTACTAACCAACAGAACCAGGATTCAAACCCAGAAGTCCAGGGAGCCTGTGTTCATCACCATGTGCCTCTGCCTTTACACCAAGAACCCACCAAAGCCCCACCCTCTCCAAATTCCCCAGTACTGAGTGCTATTGCCTGAAAGTGTTTTTCAAATTGTCCCTTAGCAGGGCTCTTGAATGTTGTTGCTCAACTTTTACTGTTTCAAAGAATCCCCCAAGGATTTCATTCAAAATGCAGATTCCCATGCTCAGTGCTGGAGAGAAGTAGATACAGAGCCTGGAAACCTGTCATTTTAAAGAGCACTCCCAGTGGTCTTCAGTGTCTTCAGGTGGCCTTTGTACCCACTTCTCAGTTCCACTTCACTCAGAGCTGCTCCATTTTGTGTGTTGCATTGTTAGGTTTCTGCCCAGGATTCCCTTCAAGGACAAGGCTGTTCAGCCTCCATAAGTCAGAAATCCACTGGTCTGGCGGGGCATGGTGGCTCATGCCTGTAACCCCAGCACTTGGGGAGGCCGAGGTGGGTGGATCACTTGAGGTCAGGAGTTTGAGACCAGCCTGACCAACATGGTGAAATTCTGTCTGTACTAAAAAAATTAGCTGAGCATGGTGGCACATGCTTGTAATCCCAGCTACTTGGGAGGCTGAGGCAGGAGAGTCACTTGAACCTGGGAGGCGGAGGTTGTAGTGAGCTGAGATCTTGCAAGTACACTTCAGCCTGGGTAACAAGAGGGAAACTCTGTCAAAAAGAAAGAAAGAAAGGAAGGAAGGAGGGAAGGAAGGAAGGAAGGAAGGAAGGAAGGAAGGAAGGAAGGAAGGAATCCACTTATCTTACTCTTTCCACACCTGGGAGTCATCATGCTCTGTTTGGGAACACTATGGCAAATCACTTTTCATTAATAAATTGCCAACAATCTTAAGTACAGAAACATGAGCATAAAGTGTATATTTTACTTGTATTATTTTATTTGTATCCTGCCTTATTAAGCTAATTACTGAAATTCATGCAATACAATAATACTTAAAAAGTGAAGAATGCATTATAAAGGAAAAAATTAGGCTGGAAAACTAAGATAAAGGTGGGGTATATTTACACAGAACATATGCTATGCAATCCCATATATTTGCTAGACCTGAGTAAATTGGCCTGTGAACTTTCTAGCAGATGAAAAGAGGGAGAGTGATCAGTGTTCTGATTCTTTTCGATAAGCCATTTTCCCAGGAGTACAACCATTCCTGTGATCACGACCGGAGAGAAATTGTCCACCCTGAAACACATTGTGTGATGCTCTGGTGGCATCTTCACAGTAAACCCAATCACAAGGTTCATTTGCTGCTTCATATACCTCCCTTTGTGCGATTTGATGGTAACGTGGCAAAACCAATTCAGCAAATGTAACTTGGTGAAGGGTCAAAATGAGAAAGTCCAGGTGCTCAGTTCTCCAATAGTCATGTTATGGTTTGAATGTTTGTCCCCTCCCAAACTTATGTTGAAATTTAGTCCCCAGTGTGGCAGTAGAGAGGTGGAGACTTTAACAGGTGATTGGGTGGGTCATGAAGGTTCTGATTAATTGATTAATGGATTAATAGGTTAATAGATTGATGAGTTTTCAAGGGAGGGGAACTGGTGGCTTCATAAGAAGAAGAAAGAGGAACCTGAGCCAGCACCCTCACCACGTGATGCCCTGTGCTGCCTGGAAACTCTGCAGAGAGTCTGCATCAGCAAGAAGGCCCCCACCAGACTCAGCCCCTCAACACTGGACTTCTCAGCCTTCATAACTATAAGAAATAAATTCATTTTTAAAATAAGTTACCCAGTTTCATATGTGGTCTTATAAGCAACAGAAAGCTGAGACACCAAGGATGCATTTTAAAGCATCTAGAATTTAGGACAGGGGTTGGCAAACTATGGCCTGTGAATCAAATATGATTTTTTTTTTTAAATTAGTGGTTGAAAAAAAGAATAATATTTCATGATGTGTGAGAATTATATAAAATTCAAATTTCTGTTGTCTGTAAGTAAAGTTTTGTTGGCATACATCACATTCCTTTATTTTAATGTCTATGCCTGCATTTTTGCTACAACAGCAGAGTTGAACAGGTGAGGCAGAAACCACGTGGCCCACAAAGGCTAAAGTTTTTACTATCTGGTCTTTACAGATAAAATTTACTTCTGCTTTAGATGATTGAGAAAGGGATGAACTACATATCGTTCAGCCTTGTTTTTCTCAACTGACCTTCGCTTGCTACTGAGAGGCAATGAGTTAAAAGCCACAGTCCCAGAGCAGTGTTTAGAATATGCATGTGCTATTTTTCCTCTCTTGAGGTAGACACATATTTTTAGAGTCAACTGAGCTGTGTGCGAGACACCCCTCCTCTTCTGAAAAATTGCAAAACTTAATGGGAGCATGCTATATATTTATGATATAAAACCACAGCCATGAACACACAGATATATGGGAAAAGAAACAGACTGTTGAAGCAGCAGGATCCTCAGTTACTGAGTTTTCATCTGATCATTTGCTATTTGTTCTTCTATTTTGTCATCTGCCAGTGGTATTCTAACAGACACGTGGGAGCAAACACCGAGGTTGTAAGAAAAATATATGTTGGAAAACCAGCTTGACGGTCATTAACTCAATATTCTTCCCAGGACTTGTTTGTGTCTGATATCCTTGGATTTTATTTGCAGGATATTTTGACACGGCTTATAGAGCACTATTGTTTTACGGGAACAGTTTGAGAATGACAAGTTTAAAACAGAAGTGGACTCTAACTCCTTTATTGCAAGACAGGGTTCTGAAATTTTACAGGGACAGGAGAATCTACTCAATTACTAACCAACAACTTTATAATCTTATCACGATAATGAATTTTACACAATCTAGTTGCCTGCCGATGTCTGTTCCTAACAGTATAAAATGTAAACAGCACTAGCAAGCCTGTTTTGGGTTCATTAAAGTAAGCATGTACCAGTCACCTGAGCAATATGGACTGGTGTGATAATAAAATTCTTAGGAAGCTCTCTTTTTAATACAGTAGATTAGAAAACTTGGGTAGGGTATTTTCTCCCTAATAATGCTTCAAAGGTATAGAGAAAGCTGTCCTGGATTCAACTGTCAATCTATGCTTAGAAATGTCACCAATAATTTGTAGCCTGGAAGTGCCTGACTTATGGACCCCTGGTGCTAATTGGATCCACTGATTTCTGTAAAATCCCCACCTGTCATCAGCTCAGTAATAGGTATGGTACTGAAACTCTAATGAACCCAGGACTAACTTTAAATAGCCACTGATTTTTTAAAATGTTGTTACCAGGCCACAAGTTTGGATTTTTAGGGAGGGAACTTTATTCTTTTATAGCCTCTATATAATCTTATAATCTTTGATTAGGATCTAAGCTGTTTAAGAAGGAGGTCAAGTTTTATCCTGGAGGACACCCTATTCTTGTAGAAAAGGTTGTTGGAATTTCAAAACTCCATCAGGTAGAGCTTGCTTAGAAACTGCAGAGAAAATGAATCTTGAATTCTTGTTAGCTAGGAACTGACTTGCTTCACAGCAGCAATAGAAAAATTCATTTCAGGAATGAGGAATCCGTTTTCAGGAGTCCAATGAAATGGATTGATCTGAGTGGGTGACCTGAAACTGCATTGCTGCCTGCATAGTTTAACTTTGGTCGCTATTTTCTTTGGTGCTGCAGTTTTGGAGCAGAAAACTTGCAAATCTGTTTTACATTACAGTGGGAGGTCTTCTCCTCTAAAAGAAGTGACTCTCCTGGGTGACAGGGTAGTGTCCTCTGGGAGAAACAGGAATACATTTGGAGGGGCTCCAGTAAGCATCATTGTTCTTTGATTCCTACCAGTGTCCTACCTCTTCTTAGCAGGACACTCCCAGGAGCTGTTTGCCATGGAGGGGACCAGGCTGCTCCAACTGCAGTCTGTCACCCCCTCCAGCTGGACTGGAGAGGCCTATGGAAGCAGCTGGGGTCTTGGTTGGAATATTCTCCTCATGCTAACTAGGTCAGAACCATTTCTGTTACATTCTTCTGTTTAGCTTGATGGATGGAATATAAAATGCTCCCCTTCCCAACACGTACCACTTTACCCACCTGAAAATCCCATGAGGACCTCCATGTTATGAAATGTGCTTACTGAGAAGTGGCTTTTGCTTTTATGGCGATGAAAACCTTGGGTGTCCACGAGGAAAACACACTGTATCCCACTATACCGTTTGCCAAAACTAGCAATTTATGATGCTATTCCCCTAAACCAATGTCCAACTAATATCAACTTGAGTAATTTCACCGATGTGATTCCTGTTCTTGGAGCCCTTGGGCCATAGCTGCTGTGGCTTCCACCCATGCACCAAAATAGATTAGCAAGGAAGGACGTGTTAAGTCATGCGGCCCAGCCCAGTCATCTGACCCTGGGGAGTGTTCCCTCTGGAATGGCTTTCTGATGCCCCAACTCGTCGGATTGGAATAATGCCAGCACAGGACTGTGGCTTCTTCCCGTGGGAGTTGGTAATATAGTCTCTTCCTGGTTTCAGCATTTTTTAACCCCCATTTCTTGATTTATTCAATCCTTCCTGGGAATGGCCAAGCCAGCCGTCTGCTTATGGAACCCTTACTTCTCCTTTCCATATTTTCCAAGATTATCCATTAGCTAGATGTGGGGCATCTTATATCTATCTGAAGTCATCCTTTTGGTAAACTCTGCTTAGGATTCCTTTGTGAAGTGGGTTGTCCTTCATCTTCCTTATTTTGTTGCTACATATTCATAAATTCTCTTTACTTTTTCTCTACCTCTTCATTCTTTTTAATTTTTAGTTTATTATGAGTACACAGTAGGTGCATATATTTATGGGGTACATGAGATATTTTGATACAGGCACACAATGTGTAATAATCACATCAGGGTAAACGGGCTATCCATCACCTCAAGCGTTTATCATTTATCTGTGTTACAAATATTCCAGTTATACTCTTTTACTTGTTTTAAAGTGTACAATAAACTATTGTTGGCTGCAGTCACCCTGTTGTGTTATAAAATGCTGGATATTATTCATTCTCTTAACTATATTTTAGTACCCATTAACCATCTCCACTCCCCCCGTACCCCTTACCTTTCTCAGACTCTGGTAACCATCATTCTACTCTCTACCTCCATGAGTTCAATTGTTTCAATGTTTAGGTTTTGTGAATGAGTGAGAACATGGAAGTTAGTGCTTCTGTGCATTTAGCCTTTTCATTTTTCATGCTATGGGTATGTCAACATGAGAGAGAAAGGGAAATGGGAAGAAAGAGGAGGTGCAGACTCTGGGGGTCCCTCACCAGGGCACTAGCAGCAAATGTTTGGTCTCAGGGCTGACTTGGAGTCAGAGGATGCCAAAATGGAAAAGCGACTGCCTGGAGATGTTGGTTTTCCAAGACCTGAGATAGGAACTATGAAACCAAAAAGCAGGCACTGGAAATCCTGCTACCTGCCATTTTTTTGGATCCCACTGCTGGCCTGAATTTTTAGCTTGAACCAGTTTCCTTTCAGACAACTCATCTTTTTTCTCTATTCTCACCATGGCTACATTTCTCTCCTATAACCACAGACCATCAGATTAAGGCTGGAGGGTACCCCAGAGACCATCTCCTGCTACCTTCTAAAATTAGATGGGAAAAATCTGGTCCCGAGGGGTGATGACTTCTTCAAGGTCACACAGCAAGCTGGTGGAGAAGCTGAGACTAGACACCCATCTACTGAATTCCAGGCCAAAGCTGTCTTCTCTAATGGATAGCTGGTTCAATCTGTGGAATTCAGCAAAAGGTAACTTCTGCTGAAGCAGCTGCCTCCAAGTGTGCTCCAAGAGTAATGGTGTGCATCAATTTGTCAGAGAAAAATGGCAACGGATAGAATTCACAGCACTGAGAGAAGAAATGTCAGATAAACCTTCAATTAGCCTTACTCTTCTGTAGGAAAACTGAAATTAACATAGCACATAACACCAAATTATGATTTGACTTGGAAGCTACAGTCATCTACATCTTCTGGGTTTTCTCCCTTCATAAATTCAGGTGTTTTTCTTTTTTTTTTTTTAAATAATAGAGTGTAAAATTTTGAGACAGGTTTTCTAGGCATTATTTAATCATTCAAAGTTTTTTAAAATCTATAATCCCTGAACCAGGCAATAAATAATTGGTAATTATAATTTGGAATTTGCAATAAAGTATTTTAAGCAGATCCTATGGCAGGCAGCAATGGGTATGACTAGTAATAAGGTGATAGCCTCTGGTTGTAAATTCCTGTGCCTCTGTTACTGTTTACAATCTGTCCTTCGGCTGTCCTGTGGTATATTGCTAACTCATTATTTTTTTCATTGACATGTGCACGTGAGAATACAGTGTTAAAAAAATTTGGTGTTCCGGGCTGGGTGCAGTGTTTCATGCCTGTAATCCCAGCACCCTGGGATGCCAAGGCCGGCGGATCACCTGAGGTCGGGAATTCAAGGCCAGCCTGGGCAACATGGTGAAACCCCATCTCTACTAAAAAATACAAAAATTAGCTGGGTGTGGTGGTGGTACCTGTAATCCCCGCTACTCAGGAGGCTGAGGCAGGAGAATTGCTTGAACCCAGGAGGTGGAGGCTGCACTGAGCTGAGATTGCACCACTGTACTCCAGCCTGGGTGACAGAGCAAGACTCCATCTAAAAAAATTTAGTGTTCCGTACATGGAGACTCCTCTCAACCATAAATGAGCTTTTCTCATGATTAATGATGTAATTTACCAATTATTAACCCTAAACTGCTATCCAGTAATGTCAGTGAGTCCAAATAAAGGTGGGTAAAGGTACTTATCTTCTATTTTGGTCCTTAGCACTTGATGCTAATAACTGAATCTATTTCTCATGTCGTAAAATGTAAAAAAAAAGAATGGAAAGTAACTAAAATGTCCCCAAAGATCTATATGGCTTTATATTCTAGCTTTACTTGCTGCAACATTAAAATACAACTTCTAAAGTGGTTGTAAGTTTGAGTGTGGAGGCTCACACCTGTAATCCCAACACTTTGAGAGGCTGAGGTGGGAGGATTACTTGAGGCTAGGAGTTCAAGACCAGCCTGGGCAATATAGCAACACTCCATCTCTAAAAATAAATAAGTAATTAAATAAGTAAATAGCTTAGCATGATGGTGCACACTTGTAGTCTCAGCTACTGGGGGGTGAGGGTGGGGGGCAGGGCTGAGGTGGGAAGATCACTTGAGCCCAGGAGTTCGAGGCTGCAGTAAGCTACGATCACGCCACTGCACTCTTGCCTGGGCAACAGAGTGACACCCTGTCTCTAAAATAAAATAAAATAAATAAAATAAAATAAAAATAAAGTGATTCTATATTGTCAATGTCCTCTGCCTAGGAAATCGGAAACCTAGAAAGCAGATTGGAGCAAGCATCCACACAAGGAGTGTCCCACAATTATAGTGGAATGATGAACAAGGGGTAGGACAGCATGGTGAGTTCACCTGAGAGGGAGAAGTTCTTTCTAGATACTTCAGATGATTGGAACTGAATTGATATGTGTGTGTCATTTTTTATCTTTGTGTGCCTCAATGCTTAAACAAGTGTGTGCATACTGAAGTAAGCTTGTTTCAGTTGCACTCTTCCTTGAGAAGCCAAATCTTTAGTTTGAACAATATCCTTGTGAAGCAGGAAATTTTCCCTGACTCCTTCGTGGGCAGAAGCTGGAGTGTAGGTGCTGTAGCTAGCCAGCCACTTTGGTGCCTTCAGGGGTAAACTTCATTCACTTGAACCCACTGTGCTCAACCCCTCCTGGGAGGGAGCACACAAGTGAGTGGGTGCAGGAGCCAGGGCAAGTACTTTTGGGTAATGGCAGAAATGGACTTCATACCGGCCCTGCAGCAGCATCTAAGGGGGTTCCCACAATGCCTGAAGCCCTAGAGGGTGTGTATTACAGTGCTCTTTTAGCTCTGCCATTCGCAGATGGTTTAAGTATTAACAGCTCAGTGTGACAGCCTTTTGTACCCACACCTGTGGTACCTGAGCTCTTGTTCAGTGTCCAGGAAAAATCAGGTCACATGAACCAATTGAAGGGTGGTGAATGTAGAGGATTTTATTGCTGATAAAAGTGGCTCTCAGTGGGAAGAGGAGCTGGAAAGGGGATGAAGCAGGACGGTATTCTTCCCCCAGAGCTACCCCGTCAAGCTGTCCCTCTGAAGTCAAGCCGCTTTTCCTGGACTGTAGTCTCTGACATCCAGCTGTTTCTCCTCTTCTCCTCTTTTCTGCCTCTGGAGCCTTGGGTTTTTATGGGCACAAGATGAAGGGTGGGGTGGGCCATGGGTTGTTTTGGAAAAGGCAGCTTTGGAGTGGGAAAACAGGAATGTATGTTCTCACTTTAAGCCATGGTTCCAGGCTTGAGGGTGGGGCCCTCACTAGAGGCCCGCCCTCTTTTGCCTAGAATTTCCCTGCCTCCTGTCCCTATCACTTGTTGCTGAGTGTAGCCTCTCGAAGTACTTCTAGGTATACAGGCAGAATTTGTCATCCCCTCTACCCCACATACCTGTACATCCCAGTAAAAAATGTAGCAGTACAGAATTTTATTAAACAAAGATATGTGTAATGATAAGTCTGTAGATTGGACATGGAGAGGAGGGACCTTGGCCCTTGAAGGACTCTGTGGATAGATGCCCAGCACTTCAGGACATCACCCTTTCCCCACCCAGACACATCTGACCCTGTCCCACTCTTCATTGGTGCCCCCATGCTTCTGTTACAATGCCCCACTTTACCTTCCCAGTGTCAAGCACCAAGCTGTTACTTTCCTATTTTAATATCAACCCCATTTTCTGATAACAATTCTAATTCCCATCCTAGGTGATTCTATGGACAATCCTTCGAGGAATGCCATCTGTCTCACAGTGGTAGAAACACCATTATCTGTGAACTGTCCTGATGGGAAGCCCAGAGTCTCAGGCAGGCCCCACTCACAGGTAGACCTGAACAGCCGAGTCATGCTCTGGTCTCCACACATCCTTACTGTGAGTTATACAGGTACTCAGTTGATTTTTTGAATTTAGACTCTAACAATGTTCATTTTTTTTTTAAATTTTTGTGGGTACATAGTAGATGTATATATTTATGGAGTACATGAGGTGTTTTGATACAGGCATGCAATGTGAAATAATCACATTGTGGGTGTCCCTCCCCTGAAGCATTTATACTTTGTGTTAAAAACAATCCAATTATACTTTTAGTTATTTTAAAATGTATAATTAAATTATTATTGACTATAGCCAATATCAAATACTAGGTTTTAGTCATTTTTTTCTGATTTTTTGGTACTCATTAACTATCCCCACCTCCCCTTCACCACTGTGCCCTCCCCCCGCAACTACCTGTCCTAACCTCTGGTAATCATTTTTCTACTCTCTATCTCCATGAGTTCAATTGTTTTAACTTAGATCCCACAGATAAGTGAGAACATGCAATGTCTGTCTTTCTGTGCCTGGCTTATTTCACTAAACATAATGATCTCCAGTTCCATCCGTGTTGCTGCAGATGACAGGGTCTCAGGCTGAATAGTACTCCATTGTGTATATGTACCACATTTTCTTTATCCGTTCTGTATTAGTCCATTTTCATGCTGCCAATAAAGACACACCTGAGACTGGGTAATTTATAAAGAAAAAGAGGCTTAATGGACTCGCAGTTCCACATGGCTGGGGATGCCTCACAATTATGGCAGAAGCCAAAGGCATGTCTTACATGGTGACAGGCAAGTAAAAGGGGTTTCCCCTTATAAAACCATCAGATCTCATGAGACTTATTCACTACCACAAGAACCATATGGGGGAAACCACCCCCATGGTTCAATTATCTCCTATCGGGTCCCTCCCACAACACATGGGAATTATGGGAGCTACAATTCAAGATAAGATTTTGGGGTAGACACAGCCAAACCATAGCACATTCATCTGTTTATGGACACGTAAGCTGCTTCCAAATCTTGGCTATTGTAGACAGTGCTGCAACAAACATGGAAGTGCAGATATCTCTCTGAAAGACTGATTTCTCGATTTCTCATCTTTTGGGTACATACCCAGAAGTGGGATTGCTGATCACATGGTAGCTCTATTTTTAGTTTTTTGAGGAACCTAACAATGTTCATTCTCAAACTGAGGGGAAGATGAGGCAGAACCTTCCCTGCTCTTTTCCCACCTGCTTTTGGCTCTCACCTCTTCATTCCAAGAATCTCTACCCATTTTACTTCCCCAGAGCTCTCGACATGACAATGTGGCTTGCATTCTTGTGTGGCAAACCCAGGAATATTTCCAGGACTATCTTGGCTACCCAAGAAAGGAGATGTTATTTAGTGTATGAAATGTGTTTAAATTGATAGGGTCATAAATATATGCTTGCAGGACCTGATTAATGATTTGGTATTTGAGAAGTTTCCTAACAATGAATGGGCTCTAAAGTCAATCAGATCTGCATTAAAAATCCAACTTTGCCATGTGAGTGACCTTAGTTTTAACTTTTCTGTACCTCACTTACAACATTCACAAAATGAGAACCTACCTCATGGAGTTGTAAAGATGAAATGAATGCTTCATGTAAAGCTCTAGCACAGTGCTGGGAATAGTAAGAGCTTGATGCAGCCTCAGATTCCAATGTAGCCTGTCACTGAGGAGAAGAGGATACTAGAATGGCACATACAGAAATGCGTAACAAAATTCCAAAATATTAAGATTCATTTAATTCATTTAATTGGAGCTGTCCTTACAGGGTTAATGAGAATTCTGGACAGAAATATAGTTAGAATTAAGCATAAATCAGGTTGCATTTTGACCCACTTCCTTGTAACCCAAAGTTGTGTGGCACTAGATACATTCACATCCCAATTGTTTGTTTTTTTGTTTGTTTGTTTTGTTTTGTTTTGAGACGGAGTTTTACTCTTCTTGCTCAGGCTGGAGTGCAATAGCACAATGTCAGCTCACTGCAATCTCTGCCTCCCGGGTTCAAGTGATTCTCCTGCCTCAGCCTCCTGAGTAGCTGGGATTACAGGCATGTGCCACCATGCCCAGCTAATTTTTTTGTATTTTTAGTAGAGAAGGGGTTTCACCATGTTGGCCGGGCTGGTCTCGCACTCCTGACCTCAGGTGATCCACCTGCCTCAGCCTCCCAAAGTGCTGGGATTACAGGTATGAGCCACTGTACCTAGCCCCCCGTTGTTCTTAGAGATAGGATTTCTGAGCTTAGAATCACAAGACTTTTGTTTAAGAATTAGTTATGATGCTTTTCAGATCCTGAATTCTAGTGGAACAGCTGACACCAACCAGTGAAGATTTTTCCCAGATAAACCAAATCAGCATGAGAGTACAGCTTGTTTATCTCCCTGTCCCATGACTTCACCCTGCATTCTTTGGTCAATCAATAATGTCCACACTTTGGCTCACTCCAAAACTCTTAAAAGCCTTAGCCCCAAACTCTTTGAGGAGAACAGATATGAGGTTGCTTCCCATCTCCTCATTTGGTGACATTATGATTATATCTCATTCTCTGCTGCAACCCAGTGTCTCTGTGTATTGACTTGCCATATGTTTTGGGCAACAAACCTATTATGGTTATAAAATTATTTTCACATTCCCCTTCCCCAGATGTGAAATATGTGCCTTCTGTGAGAAAGACTGTCATGCTTCTATGGATCTTGCAGGGTGTATGCAGGGTGCAAGGCCCAGGTGGCTCTTTATCTAGGCCAGTTCTCAGGGTTGTGTTTGGAGCCAGCAATCCTTAGACTTCAGGTCACATCTCTCTGCAGACAATGAAATGGCTTTCCTTTTGTGCAAAAGGAGTGGGTTCTCCAAGCATAGTGTTCCTCATCTGTGAGGAACCTCCTCTCCTCAATCCCACTGTGTGCACAGTCTCCTCTTGGGCCCACATTGCTTCATATCCATGGGAATTAAGTGTGGGTGAGGTAATGAACAGACACACTGTGTTGTGAGTAACAAAGTCCTTTGTCTCTGACCCAGGAATCTTGTGTTTTCTGTCAGCATCCATTATGTTAATGTCTCAAAAGAGATTCAGAGCAAGACAAGATATTGTCTCCTAGCTCCGTTACACCAGATGCCCAAAAAGGTGAAGCTGTGTTTACTGAGAGAATGAAAGCCTGCAAACCTAAATGGCCCTTTCCCTGGGAAATATTTTCATATAACATGAAATGGACTGGACTAATGATTAATGACTGAATGGGATTCTAGGAACGTGCCAGTGTCTGTTGACTTTTATGATCCTTTTGCTCTAAGGGATCTTGTTCCAAGACCAGAGGTCAACTGTGTTATTGGGATTTATAATAAGAAATAATATATTTGGTCTAAATCCCTGTTTCCTCTCACATAGCTCCTAAAACACTTGGCCTCTCCAAGGTGACAAATGCTGTTTTGTATGCTAATGGGATGACTGATGGCTGGGGGATCCTGGGTAGCCTCAGGATGGGCAGCTGGTTGCCTGGAAACCAACCTTGTGATGAAACCGCTGGAGTATTCAGTTCCCTCCCCTGTACCTCTGGGAATGGAGAGAGGCTGAAGGCTGAGTTGATCACCAATGGCCAATGACTTAATCCATCATGTCTATGTAATAAATCCTCTATAAAACCCCCAAAGGACTGGGCTGGGAGAACTTCCAGGTTGCTGAACACAAGGAGGTGATGGGAGGGCATTGCACCCATAGAGCACATGGAAGCACTGGATGCCATCTCCTGTACCTTGTCCTATGCATCTCTTCATTTGGCTGTTCATTTGCCTCCCTTCTAGTATCCTTTCTAATAAATCAGCAATAGTAAAAGAAAAAAAAAAGGCATAGAATCAACGAATGATTCAGTCACTAAGGCCTCACTCTGAATTTTGGTGACCTGATCCACAGATTCATATAACCCAAGGGCTGAGAAGGTTTTGAGAGAACATTTCTAACACTTCATGTTGCAGGCAAAGCATTTCCTTGTTGAATGCTAGGACGCAATTCAAATACTTGATGTCCAGTGCAGAAAATCTTGGGAACAGAAATAATAATAATCACAGTGGGAGAAAATAGTTCAGTCCAACAATCAGTCTAATATCTAGTTATTAGATAGATGGTGATATGGGCAGGAGGCAGAGAAATACTGGGAGAAGAGGGTAGGGTCCCTGGCAGAGGCTCACCCACCCTCAAGCCTGGACCAGTGGCCCAAAGCAAGAACATGCATTCCTGTTTTCCTGCTCGAATGTTGCCTTTTCCAAAACCATCCTGACCCCCACCATGCCCCCATCCTGTACCCATAGGAACCCCAGGCTTCACTGGAAGCAGAGCAGCAAAGAAGGAGAGAAGAGAAGAAGCAGCTTAACATCAGTGAGAAGCAGCTTGACTTCAGAGGGACGGCTTGATGGTGGAATCTCAGAGAGAGTTCAGCTGGGGACGGCCAGACTCCAGGAGAAGATCACATTCCCACTCCATTCCCTTTCCAGCTCTCCATCCCACTGACAGCCACTTTCATCAGCAATAAAATCTCCTGAATTTACCATCTTCAACTCATTTGTGTGACCCAATTCTTCCTGGACACCGAACAAGAGCTCGAGATACAGAGGGTTGTCACACTGAGCTGTTAAACACCTAAGCTGTCCACGGATGGCAAAGCTAAAAGAGCACACTGTAACACACACCCTCTGGGGGTCCAGGGGTCAAGGGTACCCTCCAGATGCTGCTGCAGGGCTGCACAGAGTTCTGCTCTTGCTGGCACCCAGAAGCATTCATCCCGGCCCCTGCGCCCGGTCACATGTGTGGTCCCCTTCCCGTGAGGGGTTGGGAGCTGTGGGATAAGTAAACAAGCCACCCACGTCACAAGTCCCACAAAGGGGTCAGGGGAAATTTCCTGTTTCAGTAGGAAGTTTGTGTGAAGGTGGAAGATGTTGAAGTCTGGTCTGCCTTGTTGGGCTCAAGCTTCAAAGTCAAGAGGTAGAAATCATTTACTCAATTGTGACCTTGATGATAAACCATCCTTGACTCATCTTCTGTCTTAAAGCCTATGGAGGCATTCAATAAATGACTACAAGGTGGATGAAAAAATTGTTCAAGATAGTGTAGAATGCCAGAGACGCAGTCAAATGGAGAGAGAAGTGATAGGAACCAGTTTTTATTAGGTCAATGGAGGTGTGACTTAGGGCCTGCTGTAGATAGAGGAGCTGTCCTGGTTGGGGGAGTGAGACAGGAAGACAGGAAAGGAGTTTGTTCCTCTACAGGAAATGAGCTCCTTTTATCCTCTGATGTATCCCGTCTTTTTATTGTCTTTTGGTTTTCCTTTTCTTCTCTCTGTTTGTCTCTCCCATAAAAATTGCTGTCTGTATTTGGCATCGGTTCAGTTCTTTAAAATGCGACCACCTGTGAGTGTGAGAGAGCATATGCTTTTAATCCCCTCATAAGCTGTATTTAGAGTCAGTACAGTTCTGCAAGAGTGGAATCTGCCCAAGAAAACATCGAACAACTTGTGGAATATGATTAAACTTTGATGAACCCAATCATTTCACCTAAAAAGTGACTTTTCTCACAGACAATTCATAACCGGCTAATTTGATATTTGAAGTATGTCCTCAACCTGGTGATTTGCTTCTTTAACTGAAGGCTACTGTCCTCATGAGTGCCCTTTAACCCACCAGCTTATCATTGTTAAAACAAAATTTTTTTTTGAGGCAGGGTCTTGCTCTGTTGCTCGGGCTTGAGTGCAGTGGCACTGTCACGGCTCACTGCAGCCTTGACCTCCTGGGCTCAAGCGATCCTCCTGCCTTAGCTTCCTGAGTAGCTGGGACTCCTGGTACCCTGGGTAATTTTAAAATTCTTTGTAGAGACATAATTCTCACTATGTTGCCCAGGCTGGTCTCAAACTCCTGGCTTTGAGCTATTCCCCCAACCTCAGCCACCCAAAGTGCTGGGATGTTAAAACATTTTTAAGCCAGAAAGGGAAAACAAAACATGAGTTCTTTGTGTCTAATAAAAAAAGAAATTCTGCCTGTATGCATGCATGAAGGCTTTGAACCAGGACCATTAAAAAGTACTTCTTAGGATAGAAAATGAAGTGTTAACAAAGTTCCTGACATTTATAGATGCAAAACAGTGACTATAATTTTAGATTTTATATCTTCAAACACAATTTACAAAGAGATATTCACTATGACCTAGATGTTCTTTCCCTGGGCTACAAAGCATTGCAGAGAGGCTCAGGTGGTGACTACCTATGATCTATGTTATTGTATGCTCTTGTTTACGCTCTATGTTCTTCCATAAACTTACAAGTAATGTACAATGAAGGTCATTCTTGATAGATATTTACAATTCATTATAGAAAAATTTGACAAAATATTTTTGTTCCAGAATGTTAAAAGGAACTGTTTGTAGATGCAAATCCCCATAAACATGCTCCTTTGTTCATGTACAATTTCATTTTAAATGGTTTCTTTTCCCATTTTCCTGATTCTTCTTCCCCCGTTGGCCAGACCAACCTGTTATTTATAAAAGCCTAGTAAGTGCTGGGTAACAGCAGCTTCTGAACAACCAAAGAGAAAGAGGAGGGACTGCTAGGAACTAAGTGACTTTTCAGGCTTGTCTTCTGTTCAGGAAAGCTGTCATTATTTTTCTCTGAGAATTTGAAATTAATGTGCCAAGCAATGAAAGCATCCCAGCACCTTTATTTCTATATTTCTGACTTCTTTCTGATGATCATTAGTTTTACCAGAAACTTCTAATTTCCTTTAAATATGCAATTTTAACAAGGTTTGGTACATTCTTAAGTACCTCTATTCCATCTTCTAGTCAAATATTTTTTGACTAGAAATTTATAATGGAGTTTGATATAATTTTAATATTTGATGAATTTTTAATTTTTAATTTTTGAATAGATTATATATTACATAGTAAAATATTCAAAGGAAATAAAGGATAATATGAAAAGTAAACCTTTCCCCCATCCTTTACCCCTTGTTTTCCATTTCTAATTCTCCTTTCCAGAGATGACCATGATTATGAATTTTTTTTTTTTTTTTGACACAGGGTCTCAGCATGTCACCCAGGCTGGAGTGCGGTGGCATGATCATAGATCATTGCAGCCTTCAGCTCCCAGGCTCAAGCGATCCTCCTGCCTTAGTCTCCTGAGTAGCTGGGACTACAAGTGCATGCTACCATGTCTGGGTTTTTTTTTTTGAGACAGGGTCTTGCTATGTTGCTCAGGCTGGCCTCAAATTCCTGGCCTCTAATGATTCTCCCAACTTGGCCTCCCAAAGTGCTGAGATGATAGACATGAGTCACTGCAACCAGCCGAGTATGCATTTCTTATGTACCCTTTCAGAGAAGAACATATACATATAGCATCTACACTCATCCCTCATCTTTTACACAAATAGTAAAATATATACAATGTTCTGTGTTTTGTTTTCTTCATATATCTACACATCTAAGAAAATATTCCACATCAGTATATGTAGAAGTAGTGTTTTCTTATTTTCATAGCTGTACCTTATTCAACTGTATGGGGATACCAAAATTTATTCAACCAGTTCCCTATTGATAAATATTTAAGCCATTTTCAATATTTTACTGTGTTCCTCCATTCTGCAATGACTATCTCTGTCCATATGTTTTTGTGCACACATGTAAGACTTTCTATAGGATAAAATATTAGACTCAATTTCTGGGTTCAAGGAAATATACATTTCCATTTTGATAGGTATTGCCAAATTGCCCTCCAAAGATGTTCCCCCAATTAACACTCCCGACAACATATTTTGAAAATATAGATTTATTTTTAAAATGTACACTATCTTTAAAGAGAGGTAAACCTGCTCCATATTTGCCACTATGCCTTGCAATCAGTGACTAAATGAATCTACCAGACACCAAATATAAATAAGAGTGCATTAGAGTTACTATTGAAATTAGTCAGTGTAATGCACCTTCTCACCTTCCGCAGCTGATTAAATGTATACTTAATGTCCATGCCTCAACTTGCAATCTTGAGAGTGTTTAGTAGCTGTGCACAGAGCATCTGACAGCTATGCTTATTGACAGGAGAGAGCGTTCTGTGTGTTTTAGACAAATAAAGATCAATGTCATAAGACTGATGCTCTTTTGTTAGACAAGTATTTAAACTGTGATCTTATATCTCAAAATTCAGCACAGGATTAAACATGACGGTGAGTTCATCAGGTGTCTGCCATTCCTGCTTAATACTGTCTACACTTTTGATATCGGCTCATAATCAGATCATTTAGACTCAGCCTGAAACAATTTTGTCTGCTTTTAACATGTCAATAGAAAAAAAAAAGGTTTCAACTGCTGTATTTAGAATTAGGAATTTCAAAGTTATTATTATGATTATTAATGGAATAAATATTTTATAGTAAATTTCTTGCACAGTTATTTTTCAAATTTAAAAATTCTCAGTTTATACCATGAGGCTTTTTTCTCTTTGATTGTGTTATGTCCAAGCTCAGCATCTTCTCTGAATGCTGAAGTAAATTATTTATGTTTATTATTATTATTTTTTTGAGACAGAGTCTTGCTCTGTTGCCCAGGCTGGAGTACAGTGGTGTGATCTAGGCTTACTACAACCTCTGCCTCCCAGGTTCAAGCTATTCTCCTGGCTCAGCCTCTCGAGTAGCTGGGATTACAGATGGCCACCACCACACCCAGTTAACTTTTGTATTTTTCAGTACAGATGGGGTTTCACCATGTTGGCCAGGATGGTCTGGAACTCCTGACCTCAAGTGATCCACCTGCCTCAGCCTCCCAAAGTGCTGGGATTACAGGCATGAGCCACCATGCTCAGCCCCCAAAGTAAATTCTTATACCTTGCTTTGTCAATCTGGCTGAATGCTTTGACTTCTCTGAATATACTTCAGAGGTCCCCATCCCCAGCCACAGACTGGTAGCTGTCCATGGCCTGATAGGAACTGGGTAGCACAGCAGGAGGTGAGTGACCTGTGAGCAAGTGAAGCTTCATCTGTAGTTACAGCCACTGCCTATCACTAGTATTACCACCTGAGCTCCACCTCCTGTCAGATCAGCAATGGCATTAGATTCTCATCGGAGTGCAAACCCTATTGTGAACTGTGCATGCGAGGGATCTAGGTTTCCTGCTCCTTATGAGAATCTAATGCCTGAGGATCTTTCATTGTCTTCCATCACCCCCAGATGGGACCGTCTAGTTGCAGGGAAACAAGCTCAGGGCTTCCACTGGTTCTACATTATGGTGAATTGCATAATTATTTCATGATATATTACAATATAATAATAATAGAAATAAAGTGCACAATAAGTGTAATAAGCTTGAATCATCCTGAAACCATCGCTCCACCCCAATCCATGGCAAAACCACCTTCCTTTAAAGCAGTCCCTGGTGCCAAAAAGGCTGGGGACCGCTGATATAATTCTGCCATCTACATTAGCAGTAGTGTCTTCTTGATAGGATGTGACAGCTTGTAACATAAGAGCCTGATGGTGCAAATCAAGAATTTTTAAATACGTAAAGATGGTGACTCATAGGATATTCATTATGAAACCTTTACTCCATTAATAAAAATCTTGAACATTCCTAATTCTAAAGTCAGATGTTGAGGCCATTTAAATTTTTTATTGACATATCAAAAGCAGTCAGCAGTGGTCAGTGAAACATCCATGTTTCTGTGTCAAATAAAATAAATACCTCTAACAAAACAGAGCAGCAATGATCCATAATTACCATAAAAAAGCGTGATCACAGCTTTTTTCTTTTTCTATGCTTTACAGCCTATGTTGTTTCTTACTATTTCATCTTCAAGATTACCTTTTAATAAGTCTCTATCACTCCATAAACACTTGACCCATCCAAATCAAGTTGGACATATCCCAGCTTGATCTTACCTCAACGCACAGCAGCTTCCCTTTCAGAGTTTGCTATGTCAGGGAGTAGTGTCACCATGCACCCAGCAACACTTTTTTCTCCCTCCCTTGCCCCTCCTCCTGCACAATCCACTGGTCACCAACTACTATTGATCCTACCTCCCAAATATCTCTCAAAACTATCCACTTCTGTCCATCTCTACTGCTCCTTCCTCCTCTTACCTGGATGCAAATGCAAAGCCCAACTGGATCCTCCATGTTTACGCCTGTTCCTTCCAGGTCACTTTTCTATATAAAGGATATAAGAGTCAAATTTCCATTTCAGGCCAAAAGAAATTAACAGGTACTAGATACATCCTCTTACCTGTAAAACTGGAAGACTAGAAAAAAAAATATACAAAACAAGAGTTCACTTCTGCCAAAAGCCTCCTGGAACTGATAAACAACATCAGTAAAGTTTGAGGATACAAAAATCACTGTAGAATAATCAGTAGCATTTCTATACACCAATAAGATTCAAGCTGAGAGCCACATCAAGAATGCAATCCCATTTACAATAGCTACAAAAAAATCCCCCACAAGAACCTAGGAATACATCTAGCCACAGAGGTGAAAGATCTCTACAACTACAAACCACTGCTCAAAGAATCATAGATGGAACAAACAAATGGAAAAACATTCTGTGCTCATGCATTGGAAGAAACAATATCATTAAAATGATCTTACTGCCCAAAGCAACCTACAGATTTAATACTATTCCTATCAAACTACCAACGTCATTTTTTGCAGAACTAGAAAAAAAGCATTCTTAAATTCATATGGAATCAAAAAAGATTCCAAATGGCCAAAGCAATTCTAACCAAAAAGAACAGCTGGAGGCATCACATTCCCTGACTTCATATTATACTGTAAGGCTACAGTAACTAAAACAGCATGGTACTAGTACGAAAACAGACACATAGACCAATAGAACAGAATAGAGAACCCAGAAATAAAGTCACACACCTACAGCCATCTGATCTTTGACAAAGTCGACAAAAGCAATGTGAAAAGGACTTCCTATTCAATATTTGGTGCTGGAATAGCTGGCTGGCCATATGCAGAAGAATGAAATTGGCCCTCTAACTTTCACTATATACAAAAATTAATCTAAGATGGATTAAAGATTTAAATGTAAGACTTCAAACTATACGAGTCCTAAAAGAAACCTAGGAAACATCATTCCAGACAATGGCCTTGGGAAAGAATTTATGACTATGTTCTCAAAAGCAATTGCAACAAAAACAAAAACTGACAAGTGGGACCTAATTAAACTAAAGGGCTTCTGCACAGCAAAAGAAACTATCAATGGGGTAAACAGATAACCTACAGAAGGGGGGGATATATTCACAAACTATGCATCTGACAAAGGTCTGATATCCATAATCTTTAAAAAACTTAAACAATTAGGTTTGCTATGTCAGAAAGTAGTGTCAGCACAACCTGGCAGCACACGTCAGCACCTCTTTTTCCCTCCTCTGCCCCTCCTCCTGCACAATCCTTTAGTCACCAACTACTGTTGATCCTACCTCCCAAATGTCTCTAAAATCTATCCACTTCTGTCCATCTCTATTGCTCCTTCTTAGTCTTACCTGGATGCAAATGCATTAATTAAAAAAGGGAGTATTTGTCTTTTGCTTGTTCAATTATTTAAGTTTCTTAAAGATTCTGGATATTAGACCTTTGTCGGCTGCACAGTTTGTGAATTTTTTCTCCCATTCTGTAGGTTGTCTCTTTACTCTGTTAATAGTTTCTCAATGATGGACTGAATAAAGAAATTGTGGTACAGATACACCATGGAATACTATGCAGTCATAAAAAGAAATGAGATCATGCCGTTTGCAGGGACATGGATGGAGCTGGAAGACATTATCCTCAGCAAACTAATGCAGGAGCGGAAAACCAAACACCACATGTTCTCACTAATAAGTGGGAGCTGAACAATGAGAACACATGGACACAGAGAGGGGAACAACACACATTAGGGCCTTTTGGTGGGTCAGGGAAAGGAGAGCATTAGGAAAAATAGCTAATGCATGCTGGGCTTAATACTTAGGCGATAGGTTGAAAGGTGTAGCAAACCACCATAGCACATGTTTACCTATGTAACAAACCTGCACATCCTGCACATGGACCCAGAACTTAAAATAAAAATAAAATTAAATAAAACAAAAAACAACAACAACATACAGGCAAAAGACATGAACAAACACTTCTCAAAAGAAGACACACAAGCAGCCAACACACATATGAAAAAATGCTCACTACCACTAATTGTCAGAGAAATGATAATCAAAACCACAATGAGATACCATCTCACACTAGTCAGGGTGACTATTATAAAAAGTCAAAAAACAATGGACACTGGTGAGAAAAAGGAATGCTTATACACTGCTGACGGGAATGTTAATTAGTTCAGCAACTGTGGAAAGCAGTTTGAAGATTCCTCAAATAACTTAAAACAGAAGGCCGGGTGCGGTGGCTCATGCCTATAATCCCAGCACTTTGGGAGGCCAAGGCGGGTGGATCATGAGATCAGGAGTTCGAGACCAGCCTGGCCAACATGGTGAAACCCTGTCTCTACTAAAAATACAAAAATTTACCGGTCGTGGTGGTGTGCGCCTGTAATCCTAGGTACTCAAGAGGCTGAGGCAGGAGAATTGCCTGAACCCAGGAGGCAGAGGTCGCTGTGAGCGGATCACGCCATTGCACTCCAGGCTGGGTGACAGAGCAAGACCCTGTTGGAAAAAAAAAAAAAAGGAACTTAAAACAGAACTACTGGTTGACCCAGCAATCTCATTACTGGGTATACGTCTAAAAGAAAAGAAAATAAATCTTTCTATCAAAAAGAAACTTGGACTCGCATATTCATTACAGTACTATTCATGATAGCAAAGACATGGCGTCAATCTATGTGCTCATAATGGTAGACTGGATAAAGAAAATGTGGGATATGTATACCAGGAAATGCTACACAGCCATGAAAAGGAATAAAAAGGAATGAAATCACGTTTTTGTTTTTGTTTGTTTTTTGAGACAGAGTTTCACTCTGGAGTGCAGTTTGTGATCTCTGCTCACTTTAACTGCTGCCTCCCGGGTTCAAGTGATTCTCCTGCCTCAGCCTCCTGAGTAGCTGGGATTTCAGGCACCCACCACCACACCTGGCTAACTTTTTTGTATTTTTAGTAGAGACAGGGTTTCACCATGTTGGCCAGGCTGGTTTCGAACTCCTGACCTCAAGTGATCCACCCTCCTTGGCCTCCCAAAGTGCTAGCATTACAAGCGTCAACCACTGAGCCCAGCCTGAAATCATGTTCTTTGCAGCAACATGAATGCAGCTGGAGATCGTTATCCTAAGCAAATTAACACAGAAACAGAAAACCACATGTTCTCACTTATAAGTGAGAACTAAATATTGAGTACTCGTGGACATAAAGATGGCAACAATAGACACTGGGAACTACTAGAGGGGAGGGGGCAAGGGTTGAAAAATGACCTATTGGGTATATTCTCAGTACCTGGGTGATGAGATCATTTGTACTCCAAATCTCAGCATCATGCAATACATGCTGATAATGAACCTGCACATGTACTCACTGAATCTACAATAAATTGGAAAAAAAAGTTCACAAGATATTGGATATCAAGCCACTAGGTCATGAAGAGCAAGGATAACTGAAACAAGGAAACAAACCTGGTGAGTCCTATGATTGATTTAGGCTATCATGTGGACGGTTTCCAGGCCATGATGCAGGCAGAAGAAGCCACATGGAGTCTAGGAGTCTCTCTGAATTAAGGAAAAGGGAGCAGGGAGATCAAGGTAGTTACATTTCACATGGTGGAGTACCTGAAAGGAGAGAGCTGCAAAGAGAGAAAACTCGGGAAATCTGCTAGGTGTCCTCTGCAAGTATTTAGCTGAATACTGGTTAATGAATGTCAGTGAGGAAACTACTCACGCTTGATAAATAATCACTCAGAGGAATTAGTGGGAAATATACCCAAAGCTCAATCAGGTTCTACAATAATGCCCATTTTCTTAGCAGTCAGAGTGGGAAACCTCACAATTTATGGTTTATCAAGTAGGATACTCAGAAGGGTTTTGCCTCAGTAGGGAGGAAAATTGTCCCTGAACTTAATGCTCCACTGGTCCTATCTAACAATGCT
This sequence comes from Homo sapiens, assembly GCF_000001405.40. Taxonomy (NCBI): domain Eukaryota; kingdom Metazoa; phylum Chordata; class Mammalia; order Primates; family Hominidae; genus Homo; species Homo sapiens. The sequence continues at coordinate 33,908,852 of NC_000010.11, read as the reverse complement.
TAAGAGCAAGATCAAAGAGAACCAAAGTATTTTGAAGTAATTTATCACATACCAGAAAAAAAAAAAAACAAAATGGACAGGAATACAAAAATATTCAGCAGCCAGCAGTGTAAGAATCACAATGTCTGGTTCATGAAAAAAAAAAAAGCAGAAAAGTACAATACAAAATAAGGATAAACATCAATTAATCAAAACTGACTCAGAATTGACACAGTTGAAAAAATTAATAGATAAGAAGGACATTAAAATAGTTATTATAACTGTATTTGTACGATCAAAAAGCTAGAGGAACGATAAAATGTGCTAAGTAGAGACATAGAAAATATTAAAAAAAGTAAGTCAGATTTTGAGAGACAAAGCCTACGATGTCAACGATGAAAAATCTCTGTGGTTAATAGCAGATTAGATGTTGCAGAAGAAAAAATCAGTTAGCTTCAAGACGTAGCAATAGAAATGATCCAAAATGAAACAAAAAGAAAACAGACTGAAAAAAAAGAAGAGCATCTGTAAGCTATGAAGCAACTTTTAAGAGACCTAATATATGCATAATTAGGGTAGGACAGAAAAATGGTTTGAAGAAATAATGGCTGAAATATTTCCAAAATTTATGAAATCTGAAACCAACAGATCTACAAAGCTTAAACAAATGCAAGACAAGAATCACGAAGAAAACTGCATCAAGACACGTCATAATCAAATCGTTTAAAATCAGCAATACAGAGAATATTGAAAACAGCCAGAGACAAAGGACACATTATATACAGCAGAACAAAAAAAAAGTAGCTTTCTCCTCAGAATTAAGGCAAGTGAGAAAGTTCTCAAACACAAAAGCTGTCAACTTGGATTCTTTATCAGGAAAAACATCATCTTTCAAAGACGAAGACAAAATAAAGTCTTAGACAAACAAAACTGAAAAAATTTATTGATAACACATCTGCACTATAAGAAACGTTAAAGAAAGTCCTTCAAGCAGAAGAAAATAATTCCAGATGGAAAATTATATCTACACAGAGTGACAAGGAGCCTAGGAAATGATAACTATGTGGATAATTTAAGAGTTTTTTCTTATTTAAATCTCTTGAAAAGATAATTAACTGCTTAAAGCAATAACAATGCATTGTAGAGTATATATTATTTGTACTATATATGAAATAAAATTTATGGCAAAAATAGCAGAAGGCTGGGAGGAGAAATGGAAGTATACTGTTGTAAGATCCTTGTACTATATATGAAATATAATAACATTTGGCAGGGTGCGGTGGCTCCCGCCTGTAATCCCAGCACTTCGGGAGGCTGAGGCAGGTGGATCGCCTGAGGTCGGGAGTTCGAGACCAGCCTGACCAACATGGAGAAACCCCGTCTCTACTAAAAAATATACAAAATTAGCCAGGCATGGTGGCATATGCCTGTAATCCCAGCTCCTCGGGAGGCTGAGGCAGGAGAATCACTTGAAACCGGGAGGCAGAGGTTGTGGTGAGCCGAGATCGTGCCATTGCACTCCAGCCTGGGCAACAAGAGCGAAACTCCGTCTCAAGAACAACAACAACAACAACAAAAAATATATATATATGGTATATATATACACCATATATATATATACACCATATATATATATATATATACACACACACACCATATATATATATATACACCATATATATATATATATATGGTAGTTTCTAATAAGGTAAAGATGTACAATATAAACCCTAAAACAATTACTAAAACAATGTCACACAGAGTTATAGCTAATAAGAAAACACAATGGTCAATGAAATCATTAAAAATACACTCAATCCAGGGATTTCTGATCCAGGTGAAATGGTGTACAAGTCCATCTCCAGTTAAATTGCACTTAACTCCCTGTTAAGTACAACTATAAACCCTGGAAATAATGTAAGAGGCAATCGAAGGAGAACTATACATGATGGGAAGAGGAAGGAGGACTCTGGGGGGAGTCTCTGGACTAGAGAAAAACAGCAGCATTGTGTCTTACGTTCTCCCCATCCAACACAAGAAAGGGACTTAGGCCTGGCATTTTCTGATTCCGGGCCTGTCCACTAAAGGGGGCTCAGATCAGCTCATTTCTTCCTTGGAGTGAACAAAAGCTCCGCCATTAATTTGTGCAGCAGCAATGGAAACAAACAAACTCTACCAGCAACGACAAACAAGTTCGGCAGCTCCCGCAAGGGAGACCGATTGAAGGCCCTGCTAAGAGTAAGTGTCTAGGTTAAGTACTCTCCTTCCCCACTGGGGCTAAGACACTCATCCCCAACCCAAGCACCAACAGGCACTGGGAAGGGAGACCCACTGCAGTAAGCCCCTGGCCCAGAAAGCACTGTAATTTCTTGCCAGGCTTGAGACTCCCATCCTCCACCCAGAGACACCAGGTGGCCAGGCAGCACTGACAAGGGGGATCCCCCAACTATAAAGACCTGGTCCAGGAAGTGTATTTGTCCCCTTGGGTCAGAGATTTCCTTTTTCCTCCTAGGAAGCACGAGACAGCCTGGCTTAGGGAAACTATACTACACCACTGCAAGCAGTACCAGCAGGGACTAGTGGGAGCCCCGGTGGCACCAGAGAAAGCAAGCAGCCAAAACAGCTCTGAAAATGAAGTTGTCACTAGAACCACACCCCACAACATTAGGTCAGAACCGCTGTGCTAAATCTAAATAGGCTGACTGCTGTCATCACAGATCTAAATAGGGCCCGGATCTCCTAATATCAAAGCCAAAACGTCCAGGATATAATAAAAAATCACCTGCACATCAAGAACCAAGATTTTAAAGCAGCCATCATAAAAATGACTCAACAAGGTATTATTAATTTTCATGAAAGGAATGAAAAGAATCGTAAATCTTAACAAAGACGTAAGTAATAAAAAAGAACCAAATTGAAATAACAGAAATTAAAAAGGCAATAAGAAACAAAAAACTTGCTAGGTGAGTCCCTCAACTGAACTTCTTACCTGAGTTTTGTCCATTCTTCTCCTTGCACACCTTACTGTAGTGTTAATGGCCCCGTTATTATCTCTTCAACTAGAATTTAATTCTCACAAGGCAGGTATCTTATCTGTTTTACCCACTGTTGTATTTCCAGTGTCTACCACCATGCCTGACAAATACTTCTTAAATAACTGAAGGAATTTTTAAAATACCCAACCCCAAAAAGGCAGAGAAAATGGAAAAACGGAAGAGGAAATATAACTTAATCATTTCTATAATTACATTAAATCACAATGGCCTAACCCCCAAATTCAAAGGCAGAAGTTGTCACAAGAAAATAAAATCAAGAGCCACTCTCTGCTGCCTGCAAGAAATGCAGTTTAATTGTAAAGACACAATTAGGTTAAAAGTATGGAAAATAATACATCATGCTAACACTAATCATAAGTAAGCTATAGTGGTTATATTAATATCACACAAAGCAGTTTTCAGAGCAAAGCATATTAGCAGCGATAAAGAAGGTCATTTCATAATGATAAAAGGGTCAATTCATTATAGAAAACAACCACTGTAAATGTTAATATACCTAAATAACAGAGTCCAAAATACAGGCAGCAGAAACTGGTAGAATTTCAAGGATAAATAGACCTAGAATAGAGTGTCCATAAATGGATTCACACATACATGTAAGTGAATTTTTGACAAAGTTGCAAAGGCAATTTTGTGGGAAAAGAATAGCTTTTTCAATAAATTGTACTGGAACAATTGGATAACCATATATGCAAAAATGAACCCTGATCCCCACCTTGCACCACATACAAATATGAACTCACAATGGATCATAGACTTAAATATAAAATATAAAACTATACAACTTCTAGAAGAAAACATAGGAAGAAAAATCTTTGTAATGTTTGATTGGGCAAAGATTTTTTACATACAGCACCAAAAACATGATTCATAGAAGAAAAAAGTCTGACAAATTAGATTTCATTATGACGAAGAACTGTGCTCTTTGAAAGACACTGTAAAAGGAAAGAAAAGACAGCCACCGACAGGGAGAAAATATTTACAAATCACATATCAGCTAAGGAACTTGTATTCAGAATATATAAAGAGATTTCCAAGGCTCACTTATAAGAAGACAAACAGCCAAAACCAAAATGGGCAAAAGATTTGAATACACATTTCTCTGAAGAATATATATGCATGGCAGATAAGCACATGAAAAAATGCTGAACATCATTAATCATAAAGGAAATGCAAATTGAACCCACAATGACTGATACGATTTGACTGTGTCTCCCCTCCGCCAAATCTCATCTTGAATTCTAGCTCCCATAATTCCCATGTGTTGTGGGAGCAACCTGGTGGGAAATAACTGAATCATGGGGGCAGTTTCCCCCATACTCTTCTTGTGGTAGTGAATAAGTCTCATGCGATCTGATGGTTTTATAAAGGGAATCCCGTTTTGCTTGATTCTCATTCTCTCTTGTCTGTCACTATGTAAGACGTGCCTTTTGCTTTCCGCCATGACTGTGAGGCCTCTTCAGCCACGTGGAACTGTGAGTCCATTAAACCTCTTTTTCTTTATAAATTACCCAGTCTGGGGTATGTCTTTATCAGCAGTGTGAAAACGGACAAATACAATGACATATCATTATACATTGGTTAGAACATCTAAAAAAAAAACAAACACCAACTTGTGATACCAATGTTGGCAAGGATGTAGGGCAACTGGAACTCTCATACCCTGCTGGAGGTAATGCACAAGGATGCAACTTCTTTGGAAAAGAGTCTGTCAGGTTCTCAAGGTAAAGATATACCTACAGTATGACCCAGTTTCTATACTCCTAGAACTCAAACCTATGTCTCCACAAAGACTTATACACAAACATTTATAGCAGCTTTATTTGTAACAACGCCCAACTGGAAACCATCCTGATGTCCATCAACAGGTGACTAGATAAACAAACTCTGGGATCTTCATAAAGTGGAATACCATTCAACAATCAAAAGGAATAAGTGATCAGTATTCACAACAGCATGGATGAATCTCAAAGTAACTATACTGGGTGAATGGAGCCAGACAAAAAAAATTTATATATATGCTTCTGTTTATATAACATTCTAGGGAACACAAAATAATCTACAGCAAAACAAAGCATATCAGTGCTTTCCTGGGGAGTGGGATTTGGGGAGGGGAGAGGCAAGAAAGAAGGACTACTGAGGGACACGAGGAATTTATCCGGGTGATGGAAATGTTCATTATGTTGATTACGGTGATGAGCATTTACAGAAATCAAACTTACCAAATTATACACTTTATGTGTTATTTATTGTATGTCACAATTTAAAAAAGAAAATAGTAATACAACTATTTCAAATGCTGTCATTTAACCCACAAAATATCAAGGATTTTTAAGGATGTGTCTTTGACTGCAATGCAATGATATATTCCTGAAAGTATAGGTGGATAAAATTCATCATGTTATGAAATATACAATCAAAGAGATCTCAGGGATTCTGTAATTTTTTTAGGTGAAGAAACTGGACTAGATGGGGGTAAACTGACTTGCCCCAGACCATATAGGAACTCCATGTGCCTAAACTAGCTCATGAAAATGAAAGCTTTGGTTTTCTGCCACCCATAAAGCTAAGTCACAGTGACATTTTAATAAATGGTCAATAATGTTGAGTCCCTGTAGTCTTAAAGTTTACTGCCTGATAGGAAATTCGTTGGCTAAAAAATTCAAACAGCCTTTCTAATTGTTGTTGAGTATAGCACAAAATAATCCACATATTCTATCTGACCATAAATGTCAGTGAGAATGTTTTGGTATATTCTATAGCCCATACTGATGGCTTTAAATGAAATGTATTTAATTTATTTAATATTTGCTTCTGCATAAATTAAAAAATGGCACAAATCACTCAGGATACTTTACTTTCCAAGCTCAGAAAAATGTCATATTATGCTGTTTTTGGTTTGTTTAAGATAAAACCACTTTAATTCTATCTGCTGCAGAGTGGTCTTAATAAATACACAAATCTATGATTTCATCAGTGCAAATGGCACCCTATAGAGTTTTACAGTGCTGAAGATCTTAGATGTATATTTATTAGAAAAGAAAATGTGCCATCAATTTATTAGAAGTATAATTGCTATAAATGATTTCAAATGCGACGCTTAAGTATCATTAACTCTGAAACTTTAATCTTCTTCAACTGGTAAACAGAAGTGTATTCTCATACCAATGTACATAACTAAGTTTGCTTTTTTCTTTTAAAAATTTTTTTATTTTTAATTTTTGTGGGTAAGTAGTAGGTGTATATAATTATGGGGTACATGAAATGTTTTGATACGGGCATGCAATGTGAAATAATCACATCATGGAGAATGGGGTATCCATCCCCTCAAGCATTTATCCTTTGAGTTACAAACAATCCAATTACATTCTTTTAGTTGTTTTAAAATGTACAATTAAATTATTATTGACTATAGTCACCGTGTTGTGCTATCAAGTAGTGGGTGTTATTCATTCTTTCTAATTTTTTTTTGTACCCGTTAACCATCAACCACCCACCCCGCTCCCATCCCCACTACCCTTCCCAGCCTTTGATAACCAGCCTTCTATTCTCTATGTCCATGAGTTCAATTGTTTTGACTTTAAGACCCCACAAATAAGTGAGAATGTATAATGTTTGTCTTTCTGTGTCTGGCTTATTTCACTTCACATAATGATCTCCAGTTCCATCCCTGTTGTTGCAAATGACAGGATCTCATTCTTTTTTTATGGCTGAATAGTACTCCATTGTGTATATGTACCACATTTTCTTTATCCATTCATAATAGCTAACATTTGGAAGCAACCTGAGTCTATCCACACTTCAAATTCAAACAGCCTTTCTAATTGTTGTTTCTATATGTCCATAAACAATTAGGTTGCTTCCAAATCTTGGTTATTGTGAACAGTGCTGCAACAAACATGGGAGCACAGGTATCTCTTTGATAGACTAATTTCCTTTCTTTGGGGTATATGCCCAACAATGAGATTGCTGGATCACATGGTAGCTCTATTTTTAGTTTTTTGAAGATTTTTCTTTTAAATTTCGGGGACAGGATCTGGCTATCTTGCCCAGGCAGCAGCTATGCACAGTTATCATCATAGGACATTATAGTGTCAAACTCCTGGGCTCAAGAGATCCTCCTATCTCAGCCTCCTGAGTAGCTGGTATTACAGGCCACCATGCCTGGCTCTAGGGATAACTTTTAAAGTAATTTTGTTTATGTTGAAGTTTTTTGTACATTTGAGAATTAGAGATGAGGTTTTTCTTGGTCTTTAGGGAGAAATGCCTTAAACCTTGTGTTTTATGAGTGGAATGTATGTAAATAAACAAGCACAATTATATTTCAGAAAAAATAATTTGTAGTAATATTCTTTCTAGTTTAAGATGACTAAGAATGAGGTAATAGTGGCCCAGCAACATGTTTTAGTTAAGACTGCACTCAAGAGAATTTGGTTTGCTTCCCAGCTCCACAGTTGGGCCAAGAAAAGTAATTACAGTGATTAATAATAATATTTGATTTTGTAGTCCCTGAGCCCACTTCTCAGAGCTGGTATTATCTGGGGGCAGAGAAACAAATTGCAGGAAGGAAATGAGAAGCATGTCCTACCATTCGAATTCTTAAGCATTACACCACCTCAAAGCTGCCATGGCAGACCCCGCATGTGCCACCCACGAATTTTTACACCAGGGACTTCCAGTATCTTGTGTTCCTGAGGTAATGTTTTCAGTCTTTAGGGACACATTTTAATTAATACTCCTTAAAGTGCACCTCCTCATGTTCATACATGCTGTTAAGGAGGTTTTAAGTGGTGATGGAGAGGACAGATTTAAATGAATCTTTGAAAACTGCTTTGAAAACTGTAAAAAACAAAAACAAAACAAAAGCAACACATCTTTTGTCCTTAAAAAAATCTCATGTTCTCATCTCTGGCATGATTCTGATGGTCAATGCAAGGAGAGTTCTAAGATACCCAAGGTTTAATATAAACAAATAAATGAAAAGAGAGAAAAGGAAAAAAAAAAACCTTCTCAGGGCAGGGCCGGGTTTCAAGACCACAGTAGCCTTCAGCTCTGCCACTACCAGGAGGAGTTGCCATGGGAACCATTGCAAAAGATTAAATATATCAAGAGTACATGATTGTGAGAAATGGGTGGGAAAGGGAATTATATTAAGTGAAATGATCGTTCTTCTGTTTGTGGTTTTCCAAATCTTTTTTCCTAACTCACATACAAAAACTCCTTTTAATTCATAAACATATAATTCATTAACTAATTACTTTTTGCTGTATGCTTAATATAGAGAAAAGAAGTGTTCATTTTTCACAGCAAAAATTAAAGGATTATTATTTTTTTTGCAGTGCTTTTTTTGTTTTCTGACCCCAGTATTGATTCTGGGGTAAACTCTGCCATTTCCCCTGGACTGGTAAAATAACCTTCTAGGTTGGCCAAAGGGTCTGGAGCAGGTCCAAATGACCTTTTTTTCCTCTCATCCTGCCACACATCACACACACCATATTTATGTTGGCTCTAGGATTTGGAAAATATTTTGTTTTTTAATCCTATTGTCTTCTGTTGCAATTCTTCTTAGAAAAAAATTAGCAGGAGGGCCAAAGCTAAAAACATGAGTCTCTTAAGAAAGTTCCTTAAAGTAGTATAAATGCTGTGATTTGAACTATGTATTCACAAAGTTCAGAAACTTTCTTTTGGTTGTTACTGGAGAACTTTTCTCAATGTATGGGACGTCAGCTTTTGGAATCTCACCTTGCAGGTAAGGAAAGCTGGATCATAAAGCTTTAGGAGCTGACTCATGGAGTCCTGAGACTTCACATGGCCAGTTCAATGTGGTTTTGTTTGTAATCACGTCGTCCCTTTGCCCTGTTGGACAAATTTATTTATTTGACAAAGTAAAATTAAAATCAGAAAAGCTCATTGTTTCCTAATTTTAAGTTCAAATGAGGGAGGTTTCTGAAGGGTGGGAAATTATTTCCCTCCTTTGCAATGATGATGGGTCATGTTTCAAAGCAAAGCTCTGTAAGGAACATAGTGCACTTTTTTGTTTACTTTGCCTTTTCCCACAGCACAGAACTGCACCCTTTATTATTACTGTCATAGTTGGCTGAAGAAGAGCTGTCTGTCCAACTGGAGGATGCTCTCTGAAGATCTGTTCCATACAACGTTCTGCTCTAGCAAAATCGTCCAACAAGAAGAAGTTTATATTTAAACAATGTCATCTCTACCACATATACATGTATCTCACTTGAAGTTTTTAAAATTAAGACATTGTCTGTGCTAATGCTTTTTAAAATATGGCCCCACATTATTTCAATTCTATAAGTTTCTCACTTTAAAAGTGATTAACCCCTAAGAGAAGGGAGAAAGGGCATCGTAGCCAGGAGGGAGCAGTGGAAACTTCCTCTCTCCCATGCCAGGCCCTCAAGGTAAGGGCCCCAGAATAGATTTGACCTCTGCTGCATTTCCAAGGCCTTAGAAACTTCTTCCTTAGCTCAAAGCTTCCCTTTGGTTGTTTCCAAAAATGTGATGAGGGCAGGGAAGGAGATCAAAGACTGAGGGATGAAAGGTTGGAGATGGGCCTCTGGGTAGGAGAAGAGGGGTAGTGCCTTTGCAGGATGTGAATGGAAAGCATGAATAGAGATATTTTTGTTGGATAAAAGAAGTGATCACCAAGTTTTCTTCAGTTAATCAATACATAAACCATAACAAGCAATGCTAAATCTGACATGGAGTGAAAGTGTTACTGACACACCAGGAGTTTGGTCTAGGTCCTGCTGCTGGCTGCACAGGAAGCAAATCACTGAGACAATGAGGACTGCCAGGGAAGAAGGATTTAATAGGGTGCTGCAGCTGAGGAGCTGGGAGCTCAGTCTCAAATCCATCTCCTTGACCAACTACAAGTAGGGGTTTATATAGCAGGGATAAAATATAACTATATACAGGTAAACAAGAATTACAGAGGGGTAAGAAAATAATGAGGGACCCGGCACAGTCCCAGTACTTTGGAAAGCTGAGGTGGGTGGATAGCTTGAGGCCAGGAGTTGGAGACCAGCTTGGCCAATATGGCAAAACCCCATCTCTACTAAAAATACAAAAAATTAGCCAGGCGTGATGGCAGGCGCCTGTAACCCCAGCTACTTGGGAAGGTGAGGCAGGAGAATCGCTTGAACCAGGGAGGTGGAGGTTGCAGTGAGCTGAGACTGCACCACTGCACTCCAGCCTGGGCAACAGAGCAAGACTCTGTCTCAAAAAAAAAAGAAAAAAAAAGAGGGATGAGGGTTCTGGCTTCTTATGGTCTGCATGTGGTGATCTGGTGAGCTTCAGTTCCTTGATACCATCTGGGAGGACTGAGAGTAGGTTTCCTGAGGGGGGAACTCACATAAGATGAATGCAAGTTTCAAGCTTTAAGACCAGGAGGGCCAATTTCTATGTTCATTTAATGAGACTGAAACATCAGTTCTGTGGGACAATTGGGCTGGTTTCAAAAGTCTACCACTTGCTTTTCCAACACAAGCATGTTGACTCTCTTCTTTAAAGCAACTTGATAAGGTAGACTTTCCTGTGCAAGAAAACTTTCCTATTTACAGATGGCCTGGCTCACTAGCTAAGAGGCATTCTAAACAAATGTATTCACCTTACCCACAGTTTTAGGAGGTAGCAAGAAACAAATTAACATCAGAGCACTCCGAACCCCTTTATTTAATAGTTAAAGACCTTGGAGGGCTTTGGCCAGGGACAGTGATACTCTCCAAGTCAAGTGTCACCAGCTGACCCCACTCCCCATGCCTAGCCGCCTTTCATGAAGCACTTTTGGTCTTTCCAGCACTAGAAACATGCCCATACTTATTTCAAGAGGTTGACAGTTTGGTCATTAAATTAATCCTACCACCACCCTTTGCTGTAGGGCTTCAGCAAGAGCATATTAAATGTATACACCTTGTTCCTTTTATAGATTGGTTCTGAATGATCTCACTGTGGAAGGAAATAAAATGTAAAGTTGTATTTTAATGCATTTAAAACTAGAAGTTTACATTCAACATGCTTCTGTTTCATCTGCAGGTCTTTTTCCTCCTGAAGTGCTATCAATTGCCACTTGGTTTGATTCTTTTCAAATGCAGCCTGGCAGTAATGCTGACCACATCAATTTCATATTCTCTTTTGTCTGACTCAAGGATATCAGACACTGTTTCATCTTAATGAGGGCTAGTTCTACTCCTATTACCAGGCGATTTTTCTCTGATAAATCATAGCGTCCCGTGGTGTCATTGCACCCATAATAACAGGCAGGTGAAGAGCAAGGCATGCTCCCAAGCCCTGGTGCTTCTTTCCTAACTGGGCTATTGCTCTCGTGCAGCCCACAATCCTGAGCAAATTCCTATCCTGTGCATTTCCCTGTGTCATGCCTCAGCTTGCCCCTCACAGAGGCTCTGATTCATGGTGTGAAACAAGGTCTCTTTAAGAGGACACGACATGGGGCTTACTTGAAAGGTTTTCTACTTCCCGAGTAGGGTTGCTTTTTCTCTTTGGTGATAAAGAAGTGCCAAATCAGGCCAAAAAGACTCCCCCTACCCCTGCCAAAAAAGACTGAGTCAAATAAATGGGAACTAACGAAACAAAAAAAAATAAAGTCTTACTTCTCTGGATGATGCAGCCAAGAGAAAATTCTGAAATAAATATTCATTCATCTTTTCACTTATTCATTCAACATTAATTGAATTCCAATTTTGGAAATGACATTATTTTAATTAGTGTATGGAATACACAGTTGACTGGCCCTGAAGAATAGGTGGGCTTTGGACCTCATTTTGCGGGGGAGCAGAGAGATATTTCCACTGGAGGAGACAATATGCACATTGGCAAAGAGATGGGAAAGTTCAGAAACTGTAGGGGGCCAGGATGTTTGGGAAGCCAAAGAGAGTTCCAAAGGCATAGCACTTATTCTGATGAGTAAAAGAAAACAAGAATTTTAAGGTTAGAGGTGTGCCTTAGGAATCTAGAACTTAATTCTAACCAAACTATTCCAACTCTTTTCAATTTGTCTAGACTAAAAGGATATTACAGAGTCCAATAATTCCAGGTGACATGCAATGATAACCCAACATAGGGCAGTAGCTGAGAGAAGACAGTGAAGACCAAGATATGAAATTGATTTTAGAAATGTCATTACGAGGACTTGGCAGTTGATTGAAAACAGTGGTAAGGCCAAGAGAGCAAGAACATTGACTTTGAGGTTTCAAATTTGCAGAACTACTCTGGAGGCTGAGGTGGGAAGATTGCTTGAGCCCAGGAATTCAAGGCTGCAGTGAGCTATGATGGCACCACTGCACTCCAGCTTGGGCAACAGAGAGAAGCTCTGTCTCTAAAAAACAAAAACAAGAACAAATCTGTATAACACGAAGGGTATTGGTGATAATGAAGCTGATTAAGAAGAAGAGAGAATCTCTTTTAAAGAGACATGAGTAAACCCATGGGTTTGGGTTTAAAAGACTGTTAGGAGATTCATGTGATGATGTCTGCCAGGCAAGTGAGAATATACTGTGGCTAGGGAAAGGTAGCTTTAAAGAGCAAAATTTTTGGTGGGCTGGTTAAATGTTGTATTAGGCTGCTTTTGCTTTGGTATAAAGAAATACCTGGGCTGGGTACAGTGGCTCATGCCTGTAACCCCAGCATTTTAGGAGGCTGAGGCTGCTGGATCACCTGAGGTCTTGAGTTCAAGACCAGCCTGGCCAACATGGTGAAACCATGTCTCTACTAAAAATACAAAAATTAGCCAGGCATGGTGGTGCATGCCTGTAGTTCCAGCTATTTGGGAGGCTGAGGCAACAGAATCACTTGAACCTGGGAGGCAGAGGTTGCAGTGAGCCATGATTGTGCCACTGCACTCCAGCCTGTGTGACAGAGGGAGACTCCCTATCAAAAAAATAAATAAATAAAAGAAAAAAAAAAAAGAAATACCTGAGACTGGGTAATTGATAAAGAAAAGAGGTTTCATTGGCTCTCATGGTTCTGCAGGCTGTATAGGAAGCATGGCTCCAGCATCTGCTCGGCTTCTAGTAAGAAATTTACAATCATGGCGGAAAGCAAAGGTGGAGCGGGATTGTCCTGTGGCCAGAGCAGGAGCAAAACAGAGACAGGGAGAAGGTGCCACACAATTTTAAGCAAGTAGATCTTGCGAGAAACCATTCACTATCACAGAAACAGCACCAAGAGGATGGCGCTAAACCATTCATGATAAATCTGTCCAAGTGATCCAATCAGCTCCCACCAGGCTCCACCTCCAACACTGGGAATCACATTTCAACATGAGATTTGGGCAGGGACAAACATCCAAACTATATCAACTGTATATACCTGTTTGTGTCACTGAGTGTGAAACTGAAGAACAAAACTAAGAAAATGTCACAACTATTTAGGGCACGAGAATAAGTGGCAGCATCTGAGAAGTACCTTTGAGAAAAGTAAAGAAACAAGCCAAGAGGGTTCAGAGTCACAGAAGGCAGTGGAGGAAGCACATAAACAATAAGCTAACAGGGTCAAATACTTAGCAACGATGGTAACCAACTCTAGCTGCCCAAAGGAGCTTTACAGATACTAGGATATTCACTCAGAAATTCTGATATGTTACCCTTGGGGTGATGCGTTTTTAAATAGGTCCCCAAGTGATATGCAGGAGGAGGACTGTGGGACATCGTTCAACATTTTTCAAAAGCTTGGTTTCAAAATAATAATAAGTAGGAAAGATTACCTGAAGGGTATGCAGTCTATCTAGTTTGCTACATACACAAAATTTTCTTCTTCAATTAGATCAGCCTAGGGTACAGCTGATTTCCTGGAATGCACCATTCTGCCCCTTCATTGCAATGCTCGACAGAGCTCTTTTTCAGGGTTGAGACACTGGACTTTGTTGAGAGGTGTATAGAACTCAGTCTTTTAAAATTCATTATTGACCAGGCATGCTGGGTGGCTCATGCCTGTAATCTCAGCATTTTGGGAGGCTGAGGCAGGAGGATTGAGAATGCAAAAAATCTATATCTCTAGATGTATATCTGTAATAAATCTGCCTCTATGATCCAATCAAGACCAGCCTGGGCAACATGGTGAAATGTGTGTGTGTGTGAATATATACATACACATATATATTATATATATAATATATATAGTATATATTTTAGAAACCCCATCTCTAATATATATATATTATATATCTCTAGATATCTATCTAATATATATTTTATATATATAAAATAGAATTATAAATATATATCTCTAATAAATCTGCCCCTATGATCCAATCAAGACCAGCCTGGGCAACATGGTGAAATATGTGTACATATATATCTCTAGTAGAGATAGGGTTTCTAAAATATACATATATTAGAGATACATATACATGTAATAGATATCTATTATATATTATAGATCTATATCTGATATAGATCTATAATATATTATATGTAAAATATAGATCTATATATGTAATAGATAATCTATATGTAATATATAATATAATCTATAATATATAGTATATAATATAGATCTATATATGTAATAGATATCTATTACATATATGTTAGAGATTCTAAAATATGTATCTATATCTCTAAAATGTATATGTTTATATATATAAATTAAGACTTATTATTATGCTATGTAAGAAAGTTGTTGAGAATGTTATAGAGTAAGTTGACCCATGTAAAAAATTTTACTTAGGTCTTAGTCCCAGGACTAGTCTTACTTCTCTTGAGCAATTGATTTTCTTTATTTCTAATAGTTTCAAAAAGAGTTTTCTTTTCTGGGTTGGCTGTAGAAAATTCAGGTCCCAAAATGCAGCCAACCTGTAGTGAAATATACATATGACAATTATTTTTTCTTTTCCCCCATTTTTTGGCTTGCTTTTTAAAGTATTGTATGTACTTTTGTAAGTCACATCAAGTCATTTTAGGAGTAAAAAGTGACATAAATGATAACTCAAATGTGAACTACAGAAAATGCTTAATATTTCAAAATATTCCAGGCAAAACCCTGAACTTTCTCCCTTCTTTTCCCAAGGGTTGAAGCTCTGAGTCACAGAAAGATTCATTTACTGGACTCCAAGGCAGGAAAACAATATTTGAGAAAACTTCCAGACTTGCAGAGGGCCAAATATGTTCTCAGTTCACATTGTCTTATGTGACCAGTTTCCACATAGTTATTTAAAGAAAGCTCCCAAGCATAAATTTGAACCAGGAAAGAAAGGATGTGTTAAATTTGGAACTCATGAATCCCAAACAAAAATGAGGATAGAACATTAAGTTTTTAAATCTTCTCATGCAGAAATTCTGATATCAAGAGCTATAATATAAGAAAAGTTTCTCTTTTCTCATATGTGCCCAAAGAGACAAACGTATGACACACAGGGGAACGGTTCCACACTATATAGACTTAAACTAATTTTCCTCTCTCAGGCAAATTTGGTCAAAACTTTGCATACAAAATTTCTCCTGGAAAATATACATGTTAATTCCAGAGTCAGAAACATCTGTAAATAGTTGAAAATCAAACAGTTCATGCCACTTACACTGCCAAAGTGACACCCCATTTAAATTTTTCATAAATGTTTTCCAGATTTGCAAATCCTCTTTGATGTTTCAAATTTAATGAACAAGTGCTGAAATGGTTTCGCAGTGGAAGGGAGGCTTTTCAACCAATGGTTAAAGTGGTTGCCTTGCTCAGATCACCTGGGGACACAATTTTTAGGTGTGTAAACACCATAAACCTGCCTGAGAGTCACTGAGTTTTTCAGTTAAAAGTATTGTGTATATCCTTGCAATTTCCCTTTGGGAGCACCTGAGCCTGTCATCACCAAATCAAGTTCAACGCCAAACAAAGCCAATGTGTCTGAAAGTCTGTTTTCCTTCCAGACTAGTGTGATTCTCCGTTCTCTGAATGGGTGTTCAAAAGTCTCCAAGGACTTTTAGTAGGCCTGGAGATAAACCACTGCTTGTGAAGAAGAGTAGGAATTAAGTCCTGGTATAATATGCAGGAGTGATATGGTTTGGCTGTGTCCTTACCCAGATCTCATCTTGAATTCTAGCTCCCACAATTTCCACGTGTCTTGGGAGAGACCCAGTGGGAGGTCATTGAATCATGGGGGCAGGTCTTTCCCGTGCTTTTCTCATGATAGTGAATACGTCTCAGAAGATCTGATGATTTTATAAGGAGGAGTTTCCCTGCACAAGCTCTCTCTGTTTGCCTGCCGTCATTCATGTGACTTGTTCCTCCTTGCCTTCTACCATGATTGTGAGGCCTCCCTAGCCATGTGGAACTTTGAGTCCATTTCACCTCTTTCCTTTATAAATCACGCAGTCTCAGGTATGTCTTTATTAGCAGTGTGATAACAGACTAATAAGGGGTATCTGGAGTTATGTCTTATAGACTGAGAACATGAAAAAGTGGAATAATAGAATAACAAGTGTTTTTCTTACTTTAGCAAAGGGTCCAAAAAGCTATATGTATATATGAACCATGTCCCCAAATTTTCCTAATGTGGCCCTCGGTAGAGATGATTCTGTCACAAAGAACCAACACTCAGCAAATGGGTCTCCTCTCCTGATTCTTGAGAACATAGGCCCCATGGGACGGTCACATTCTCCTCACCTGCAAGGAGGCCAGCACCATCTTCTACTAAGAGGCCTGACAGATGATGCCACTGTACTGCCAGTGAAGAAAAATGGAGACTAAATTCCCTATAAAAGTCCAGTCTCTTGAATATTAACCAGGGGCTCTTGGAGAAATGTGAAAAGGTGCTAGTACCCACAGTACTAGCACCAGGAGCAATATGGTTTGGCTGTGTCCCCACCCAAATCTCATCTTGAATTGTAGCTCCCACAATTTCCACATATCGTGTGAGGGACCCAGTGGGAGGTCATTGAATCATGGGGTTGGCTCTTTCCCGTGCTGTTTTCGTGATAGTGAATAAGTCTCTTCGGCCCCACCCAGATCTACTGAATCAGTCTCTGGAGTGTGAGGCCTGGCCCCTGACCCCCACGCATGGTAACGGTGATTGGGATGGGTATGAAGCAGTGACCTGAGGTCTTCTTCTGCCCCCCGGACTCTTCAGGGCTTTGGTGTTGGCCTCTGCCAGGTACCTTGCTCTCAGCTGTCCTCAGTTATTGTCCCTGGAGATGCAGTCAGCTGTTTCCCTTCAGCTGCTGCATTTTCCTTACCCCATCAACAGTACAACACATCTTCTGTTGTTTCTTCCTAACGTTAGGGCCATTTTATGTTTCCTTTCTTCCTATTGAAGGGGGAGAAGAACTGGTGACTATTGCTGGAATCAGAGACTAAAGTCCTCCTTCAAAAAAGGAAAAAACCCCTTTTATAATCTTTTCATTTCTCAACAGCCAATACCATGAACTTCATTGGCTATTTCTCACTCATTTTATTCTTGGTCCCAAAACTTGAATATCTCACCTTCCCAGAGGTGAAGATGGATCTATTATCTAATTTAAAACCTGCATGAAACAAAAATCAAGCAATCTTCAACATTCAACATGGCTGGTCTAGTAACTATTTTATTATTTTAGAGATGGGATCTCACTATGTTGCCCATGCTTGTCTATTTTTTTTTTTTTTTCTTGAGACAGGGTCTTAGTCTATCATCCAGGCTGGAGTACTATGGTGTAATCATGGCTCACTGCAGCCTTGACCTACTGGGCCCAAATGATCCTCCCACCTCAGCCTCACAAGTTGCTAGGAGCACAGGCACATGCCACCAGACTTGGCTAATTTTTAATTTTTTTTTTTGGTAGAAAGTGGGGTCTCACTATGTTCCCCAGGCTGTTCTTGAACTTCTGGGCTTAAATGATCCTCCCTCTCACCTTGGCCTCCCAAAATGCTGGGATTACAGGCATGAGCCACTGTGCCCAGCCTTGTCTGACTACAGACAAAGGCCAGATGGTAGTCCGGGGTTCTCCTGGAGTGATAGCTGTTGGGGGGCAACTGGCTGAATGCATGTCTCTGTTTTCTATTCTGAGATCCTAAACAACTGGCCGGTTTTCGACCTCTGCTCACTGTAGTGTTACCAGCTGTTCTGTTTCTGCCAAAATTCCTGGTGGAGATAGTGTGTGTGTGTTCCTGTGAGTATAAAAGTTGTGTAATGGCCGGGCGCAGTGGCTCACGCCTGTAATCCCAGCTCTTTGGGAGGCCGAGGCGGGTGGATTGCCTGAGGTCAGGAGTTCGAGACCAGCCTGGCTAACATGGCAAAACCCCGTATCTACTAAAAATATAAAAATTAGCTGGGTGTGGTGGTGCACACCTGTAGTCCCAGCTACTCAGGAGGCTGAGACAGGAGAATTGCTTGAACCCGGGAGACGGAGGTTGTAGTGAGCCGAGATCACGCCACTGCACTCCAGCCTGGGCAACAGAGGGAGACTCTGTCAAAAAAAAAAAAAAAAGTTGATTAACAACATGGAGAAAGAAATATAAAAACACAATATCGTTAATAAAACTCCCTGAATGAAGGACATGTGGGAGCGAGCAGTTGAGTGTTAAAAGCAAACTTTGAGGATTGTGTGAGATGTGGTTGAGCACTTGGAAGTGAAGGTTATTTCCTGGTTCTTTCATTAGGACCTCAAATTTGTCATGGTTAAATTGAATGCTTCCAAACTTTTTTTTCTTTTTTTTCCTGAGGATCTTAAGGAATTTACCTTCCAAAAGAAAATTTGGAGTAAGGTCAAAGGGCTGTGTTCCCCCTCTCAAATATACAAATTAAAGAATGCATTTTCCAAGAGCTGGCTTTAATTATTAGTCATATGGAAGATTCGGGATCCTCACTCGGGGATCAGGATATTAAGTCGTCTTTCTATCGGACTGTTTTGAGCCTTAACAGACTGATCCGATTAATTGCTCTTTCCTACTTATTGCTGCCTTTTGCGAGCTATTATTCTACCTCTTTTGAACTCCACTTCCTGCTCACCACTCAACCTTCACAGTTCTACACAGATACCCTTTTTTCCCTCCCCTTTATCTTGAACTCTTTTGGTTTAAATATCTTTCCAAACCTTTGAAGAAACACTTGAATTGCATAAGGATGTCACCTGTGTGCTGCATTTCCCAGAAAAAATGTGTCCCTCATTGCAACCCCAGTGTTAACTTTCCCTGACCGTAATTAGCTCATCCAGCAAGTGCAATTAAAACTGTCATCCTGGTGGAGTCACAGGGCAGCTCAGTAGCTGAGCCTACCTACTTTGCCTTGCAAGCTTTGAAACATGCTCAGTCCTGTTTATCTCTTTCAATACACTGTTCCCATCTAGCCCAGAAGACGAGAGAGTGCTTGCCTGTTAACTCCCAGCCTTTTGACTTTGCCCTGACACCTCTCCCTAAGACCATGAGAACACCAGTGTCACCAAGGATGCACTGCTTATATTCAGGAGGAGAGTATGAGAAAGAGGAAGATTTGTTGTTTTAGGATTGCATATTAACATGTGAATATCAGGGCAGCTGTGGTGGCTCACACCTGTAATCCTAGTGCTTTGGGAGGATGAGGTGGGAGGATCGCTTAAGGCCGGGAGTTCTTCTTCTCTTCTCTTTTTTTTTTTTTTTTTTTTTTTTAAGACAGGTTCTGGCTCTGTTACCCAGGCTGGAGTGCAGTGGTGTGATTGTGGCACACTGCAGCCTTGACCAACCTCCTGGGCACAAGTAATCCTGCAGTCTCCTGAGTAGCTGGGACTACAGCACACACACCCAGCTAATTAATTTTTTTTTCTTTTTTTAGCGGGGGGCGGTGGGGTCGGGGAGGTGCCGGGTGCAGTGGCTCACACCTGTAATCCCAGCACTTTGGGAGGCTGAGGCGGGCGGATCACCTGAGGTGGGGAGTTGGAAACCAGCCTGACCAACATGGAGAAACTCCGTCTCTACTAAAAAATACAAAATTACCCGGGCATGGTGGTGCATGCCTGTAATCCCAGCTACTCGGGAGGCTGAGGCAGGAGAATCGCTTGAACCTGGGAGGCGGAGGTTGCAGTGAGCCGAGGTCACGCCACTGCACTCCAGCCTGGGCGACAAGAGCAAAACTCCGCGCATATATATACATACATATATATATATATATATATATATATACATACATATATATATATATATATATATATATACACACACACACACACACACACACACATATATATATAAAAACACATATATATATACACACACACACATACACACACACACACACACATATATATGTGTGTATATATATATATGTGTGTGTATATATATATATTTTGCAGAGACAGGATCTCACTATTTTGCCCAGGCTGCTCTTGAGCTCTTGGAATCAAGTGATCCTCCCACCTTGGTCTCCTAAAATTCTGTGAATACAGGCATGAGCCACCGTGTCTGGCAAGGCCAGGAGTTTGCAACCAGCCTGGGCAACATAGCAAGACGTGTTTCTACAAAAAAAAATTTTTTTTAAATGTGAATTTCAGAGAATTAACAGATGTTTTAAGTGTTACTCTTTTGGTAGAAACACACCTAATTGTTTAGGGAAAAAAATGAACAAAACTAGGAGTTAGACAAAGGAAGGAAAAGGTGCTTCTAGTTAATCCCCCAAAGCTTCCTGATGGTGAAATGAAGGCTGAAACCAATGGCTGTGCTTCCAGAAGGTCCTTCCTTCTCTCCTCTTCATTTTTCTAATACTGTTGGATGTTCACACTCAAGTACGGCCACCACGTGCTCCTCCAGCCCCACCCACTCCCTCTCCATTCCCCATTCCCCAGCGGTTCCCAGGCTTTAGTCAGTTGTCAATGGCTTGGGCTTTCAGCGACTCTGTGTCAGTCTTCAGTCTCGGCTGTTTGCATTTCAACAGAGGAGAATGCTTCCATCTGGAAACTCCATGAAGGCAAGGCGCTGAGATCCATAGTGGGCACTGCTAAGTATCTGTAGATTGATTGATATGATTTTGAATGGCTGCTCTTCAGGTCTCAGACCACCAGGAGAGCCAGCACGATGTGGGAATGCAGGTGGTGCAGAAGAGGGATCTTCAAGATGCTTGTTGGCCCATATTCAGAAGAGAGAAGCTGATTCTGTGAGTCTGTGTGTTGTAAGTTGCCCTCTGGGTAAGCCACCCTGGGGATGGGGAATTCACTTTTCAGAATCAGGTGAAGACTGGATTGCGTGCAGGTGGAAGGAGGCAGGGAAGACCTGCAGACCCCAAGCTCTCTGTCCCCCTTTAGGCCCTTCTGTATTTTGTCATTCTATTAAGTGATAGGGGCATGGTGGGGAATAGAGACCTAGAGACCCAGACTGAGGTTGGTGTGAAGGGACTCAAGGATAGAAACCTGTTTCTTCCCTGAAATTCAGCCACCAAACTGGCCATTCTTAAAATCTTACCAGCGTGCAGTTCACGGCTCTGTCTGGCTGTGTCACCTTCACCGCTCTACTGTCTCACATTGGTGAAGCCACTGGCATGCTCCAGACCAGGCCCACAGAGTGGCAGCAATGGGCCAAGAGAGAGCCAGGTCTGGAAAAGCCAATACTTCTGCTGCCATCAAGAAAGAGAACACTGCTAGATGTGGTGGCTCACATCTGTAATCTCAGTGCTTTGGGGTGCCAAGGCACTTGAGCCCAGGAGTTCAAGAACAGCTTGGGCAACATACTAGACACATACCCCCCTACCCCCTGCAAAAAAAAAAAACAATTAGCTGGGTGTGGTGGCATGTGCCTGTAGTCCCAGCTACTTGGGAGGCTGAGGTGGGAGGATCACTGGAACCTGGGAAGTCCAGGCTGCAGTGAGCTGAGATCATCATACCACTGCACTCTGGCCTGGGCCACAGAGCCAGACCCTGCCAAAAAAAAGTAAAATAAAATAAACCAGAAAAAAGAAAAATCAAAAAGTAACAACCAGTTGTATTAGTCTGTTTTCATACTGCTGATAAAGACATACCCGAGACTGGGCAATTTACAAAAGAAAAAGGTTTGATGGACTTACAGTTCCATGTGGCTCGAGAGACCTCACAATTATGGTGGAAGGCAAAGAGGAGTAAATCCCATCTTACATGGATGGTGGCAGGCAAAAAGAGAGCTTGTGTGGGGAAACTCCCCCTTATATTACCATTAGATCTTGTGAGACTTATTCACTATCATGAGGAGAGCTCGGGAAAGACCTGCCTCCATGATTCAATGACCTCCCACCAGGTGCCTCCCACAACATATGGGAAATCAAGATGAGATTTGGATGGGGACACAGCCAAACCATATGACCAGATCTTGTTAAGAGGCAAAAACAAGCTTCCCCAGCTGCTGGAACGCCCAGAGGGGTCCCATGAGTATCTGTCCCATGGCCCTGTTTGTATTTAGTGCCATTCCCTTTGCTTCTGGTTTCTGTACTTTGCCCCATTTCTGATTGGCTGGAGATTGCCTTGTGTGTTGTGTAATGATATACCAAATTATAACACTGCAGGCCTTTGATGTGTGTTTTCATTAGACACCAAAGGAGCAATATGAAAATAAAAATATTTATGTTAATTTTAGAGTACTATTTGAGAATTATTATCATTATGAGGTGCCTCTTTACCATAGATCTCCTAAAACTATGCCTGTTTAAAAGATGTTGGTTTGTTTTTCTTATCTCACTTAAGTTCAGTCCTTACTGTATCTAGGAAGTCTTTTTTTTTTTTGTGAGATGGAGTCTTGCTCTGACACCCAGGTTGGAGTGCAGTGGCGTGATCTCAGGTCACTGCAAACTCCACCTCCCAGATTCAAGCAATTCTTATGCCTCAGCCTCCTGAGTAGCTGGGATTACAGGCACCTGCCACCATGTCTGACTGGCTAATTTTTGTACTTTTAGTAGAGATGGGGTTTCACCATGTTGGCCAGGCTGGTCTCAAACTCCTGACCTCAGGTGATCCACCTGTCTCGGCCTCCCAAAGTGCTGGGAGGCATGAGCCACGAGCCCAGCCATGTATCTAGGAAGTTTTGTTGTGTTCTTTCTTTGGTATATAACAAAAAATGTTGTCTCTGATCGTATTATGTTGCAAGAGAATAAATTGTTTTGCACAACTGTATCTTTCTTTTTTTAAATTGTGCCTGATTTTTTATATAAATGGTTAAATTGCTGTTTCATGATCTTCCCATCTAAAAGTGATCCTCAGCTATGGTTTGAATATTGATTTGGAGCAGCACTGTCCAAGAGACATTTCTGAGAAGATGGAAATAAACATTCTGTGCTGTTCAATATGATGGCCACCAGTTACGTGTGACCACTGAGCCCTTGAAATATTTAGATTCATTGAGACTCTGAATTTTAAATTACTTTAATTCTTTTTTTGAGACAGGTTCTTATTCTGGTGCCCAGGTTGGAGTGTAGTGATGCGATCTCAGCTCACTGCAGCCTCTGCCTCCTGGGCTGAAGCCATCCTCCCACCTTAGCCTCCCGAGTAGCTGGGACTAACAGGCCCGAGCCACTATGCCCAGCCAATTCTTTGTATTTTTATAGAGGTGGAGTTTCACCATATTGCCTAGGCTAGTCTTGAACTGCTAGGCTCAAGCAATCGGCCCAATTCAGCCTCCCAAAGTGTTGGGATTACAAGCATGAGCCACTGTATTCAGTTGATTTAATTTTGATTAATTTAAATGTAAACAGTCACATGTAGCTACCATATTGGACAGTACAGGTTCAGAGACTGAAGAATGTTGTGTTGTCATATGAGTAGAGTTATTTCAGACAGGTCTCAGAAAGCACTCTTTGCCCTCAAATTACCGCCCCACACACCAGTTCATAATGCTTGAAATAGTTTGAACTGCAACAACACCTTAAGTGCAAATGTCGCTGGGACTTAAATTTTTGCTAAGAGTTGGGTGGGGCTGTCTCTACAAGAAGGGAGGATACAGCTTTCCATAAGCCATGCAAGAAAAATCAGCCTCCTTACTTTAGTGACTGTCTGTTGTTCAAGATGCTTTGCTGTGTTCTGATCACAAGAGAAAATACACACCAGTTCTTGTTCAACAACAGACTTCAGACCCTTTCCTGAGAGAGTGAGGAAGATGTGAACCAAATGGTGATGTTTCTGAGACGGGCCAGGGAGGGAGGACAAGCTTCATGGAGAAGAGAGAAGTGGATGGATAGGACCAGAGGAAGCCACGACAAATTAAATAATTCATAGTTTTGCCCTGCCACTTCCTCTAGGCTAAAAGAGGACATATTAGAAGGGTTTGCAAATAGCCCAAGGAGGCTGGGTGCAAAGGTTTGCTGGCTCAGCCACCTCCAACAGTGGCACCAAGGGGGAGTTTCCTAGCCCCTCCCTTGATAAGTGATTTTTGAGGCCAGGAGCTGGGTTTTACTTATTTTGGGATCCTTCACAAAGCTAGCTCCCAGCAGCCCCTCCATGAATATTTGAGGGCTAAATGGAAGGGCAGCCGAGCCGTGTTTTTCTATTTTTGCTGACTCTCTTTTCATAATCTGAATAGATCCGATCTCTGCTCCTAGCTGCCTGAGGGGAAATCACTGGTAGGGCTGGAAGGCAGAATTGCTAGTTCACCATCTCTGCCTTTCTTTGAGGGTTTGTGGCAGTGAGAAAAGGACAGTGGCTGAGAGGTATTTTAAATGCCTTACCTGCCAATTCATTTGAGGACCACACAAAAGAATGCTAAAGTGTAAAGGTGCCCAGGCACTTACAAATGATTTATGAATTCCATTAGCTAGAACTCATTTTACCTTATCCTTGGCAACTGGCTTGAAAAAAGGTGAGGAGTAACTTGGAAATTTCTGGACTCCATTGACAGAGTTGGAATGTCCTTTTAATCATTTACTTATTTATTCATAGTTAAAAGGTGCACGTTGCACAGGAAGGTTTCTCTACACAACTCTCTTCTCCACTTTTCCAGCTCACTCTTTTCTTTCTACCTTCATCCTGCACCATTACTCAGGTGGTAACATTATTTCCTTTGAAAATTAAAGGCCCATGATTCTTCAAATTGTTAATCCTGCTTGGCTCTGCACCTAAGGGAATTTTAGTGAAAACCATTTCGGGTGATATATTCACTACAGAGATTTAGAAAGAACTGACCATTCATGAAAAGAGGACTCGGATTTAAGAGTTGACATCTTAATAATACTCTTTATTGGTGGAGTACAGAAAGTTTTATTGACCAGGCTAAAAAATCTATAATATGAATACCATCATATTTTCCACGTACACTGTTGTAATGTAACAGTTCTAAAACCATTCTAAGCTCTTTCAAGTAAGGATGCTATATAAATACAGATTGGTAATATTATTACAGTCCCCCATTTCTTTCCCACCACTGACAGTTTCTTGGACAAGTATTCACATTTATCTTCCACTAGCACCCAAACTCCCAAGAAATGAGAAAGAAAAAAATCAAGTGCTTGGAGAATTGACCATTGTCTATAACTTTACTGTTATCACATGCTGCTAATTTCAGGAGGGTAAACAAAGTAGAATAAAACAAAACAACAGTTGATGGATGGAATGTACTCAGATTCAAAATGCTTGACATCCCATGTAATGAGCCACTTCTGGCAGTATAGTGCCTGAATTCTTGGATTCAGAAATTACATTACTTTAGAAGGATGCCATAGATTCATTTTGATTACATAATTTACTGAGCAAAGGAGTACTCTTGATACTTTAAAAATATTATTGGATTTCATGAGTGGTTGTTATACTTCATTAATGCAAGTTATGTCCTATGCCATAATTACATCATGCTATGCCTATTTTATTAAGTCAATTCTAGATGGCAGGAATGGTTTCAATTTAACTAAGCTTTTTAGAGCACGTGCTTCATCAGGTCTTTTATACTTTCCAGCCTTTGTTTATATCTGAATTTCATTGCATTCAATCTTTGTTGTAAGCGGGTCTAATGAATGTATATATATGCATATTTTTCTCCCCCATTTCACTCTTATTCATTTAATTAGTTCAGATGATCCCTGACTTATGATGGTTTGACTTAACAATTTTTCAGTTTTGCAATGGGCTTATTAGGACATAACCCCATCATAAGTTGAAGATCATCTGGACTTACAATGGTTCAACTTACAATTTTTTGGCTTTGTGCTGGGTTTATTGGGGCATTAAATGTGTCTTCAACTTATGCTATTTTCAACCTAGGGTGGGTTGAAATTGGGACATTGCCCCATTGCAAGTTGAGAAGCACCTGCCTTTGTTGAAAAGGTACTAAGTAAGCAGCACTGTGCGAGCTGCCCTGGGGTCTTCTATGGTTTGGATATGTTCCCCATAAAGCATGTGTTGGAAACTTAATCTCCCATGCAACAGTGTTGAGAGATGGGACCTTTAAAAGGTGGTTAGGTCAAGGGTTTAGTCCTCATGCATGCATTAATGCCATTATCTTGCAAGTGGGTTAGTTACTGCAGGAGAGGGTTAGTTATTGTGGGAATGGGCTCCTGATGAAAGGAGAATAACATTGGCCTCCTCTCTTTCTTGCACACACATGCTGTTTCGCCCTTCCACCTTCTGCCATGAGATGACACAGCAAGAAGGCCCTCGCCAGATGTGGGCCCCTTGACCTTGGACTTCCCAGCTTCCAGAACTGTAAGAAATAAATATCTGTTCTTTATAAATTACCCAGTCCCAGTTATTCCATTATGGCTGCACAAAATTAACTAAGACAGGGTCCTACCTTGTGCATACCCTTCCCCACCACCAATCTGCGTTTCTGGCTGTTAGCTCATTTCTGTCCTGCTGTCCTCTAACTTTGTGGCTAGACTTGGATACATATCTAAGATTGATTCCCTTTGTCCATCCTTGGTAACTTAGAGGCCATTGTCACTTTGACTTGGAAACTAATGGTAGCCTTGTAGTTCCCTTTTCCATCTCCCTTCAGGTCCAACTCACATGCAAGTCACTGATCCCTCTTTTCTCACATATCTCCCTTCTGTGCCTGACTTCCCGTATCACTGTCACCTGTGACCCACACCCTCATTTCACTTGAGAATTACTCAATGGCCTCCTAGTTGATGTCTGCTTCTTGTCCTTCCTGTCTCCAATCCAATCCACTAGCACAGTCAGATTCGTCTTTCTAAAAATCTGCTCTGATTATGATACTCTCCTTCTCAGGAATCTTCAATGGCTCCCATGTGTCCAGAAAATAATCTACATCCCTTGTGATATGGTTTGGGTGTGTCCCCACCCAAATCTCACTTTCAACTGTAGTTCCCATAATCCTCACATGTCATGAGAGGGACCTGGTGGGAGGTAATTGAACCATGGGGTGATGGTTTTATAAGGGGCTTTTCCCCCTTTGCTTGGCTCCCATTCTCTCTCCTGCCACCCTGTGAAGAGGTGCCTTCTGCCATGATTGTATGTTTCCTGATGCCTCCCCAGCCATGCTGTATGAGTCAATTAAACCTCTTTCCTTTACAAATTACCCAGTCTTGGTTATGTCTTTATTAGCAGCGTGAGAACAGACTAATATATCTTGGCATAGAAGTCAGAATTCACTGGGGTAGGACCCTTAAGCTGCTTTTTCAGCTTTTCTCCTACCTCTCCTCCTACTGTCAACTCCCATTTTTGCCCCACCACCTCTGCTTCCGTTGCACACTGCCACTCCCCAACTCCTCCACATGACAGATCCACTTTCTGCTTCCTCTGCGCAGTCTTGCTCAAGTGCTATCTTCTTCATAATTGCTGTTTTCTGAAGTTTCTAATCAGGAGTGAGTGTTTCCCTCTGGGTTCCTATAACACATATGTTATGGTTTGAATATTGTCCCCTCTAAATCTCATGTTGAAATGTAATTCCCAGTATGAACCCTGAATATCTGAGACAGGGTCAATGTAGAAAGCTTATTTTGCCAAGGCTAAGGATGCATACCCGTGACTCAGCCTCAAGAGGTTCTGATGACATGTGCCCAAGGAGGCTGGGGCACAGCTAGGTTTTATACATTGTAGGGAGACATGAGACATCAAACAATATGTGTAAGATGAAGAATGGTTTGGTCCCAAAAGGAGAGACAACTGGAAGCAAATATGAGACAACTCGAAGCGGGGAGGGGGCTTCCAGGTCATAGGTAGGTAAGAGACAAATGGCTGCATTATTTTAAGTTTCTGATTAGCCTCTCCAAAGGAGGCAATCAGATAGCATTTATCTCAGTGAGCAGAGGGATGACTTTGAATAGAATGGGAGGCAGGTTTGCCCTAAGCGGGTCCCAGCTTGACTTTCCCTTTAGCTTAGTGATTTTTGGAATGCCAAGATTTATTTTCCTTTCACAGCAGTGTTGGAGGTGGAGCCTGGTGGGAGGGTGGTTTGTTGGGGGTGGGGGGGGGTGGGGCAGATTTTTCATGAATGGTTGTGTGTCATCCCCTTCGTGCTGACCTCATGATAGTGAATTATTTCTCAAGAGATCTGGTAGCTTAACATTGTGTGGCAACTTGCCCGCTTTTTCTCTTGCTCCCGCTGTAGCCATGGGACAAGCTTGCTCCCTCTTTGCCTTCCACCATAATTGTAGGCTTCCCGAGGCCCTCACCAGAAGCTGAGCAGATGCTGGGGCCATGCTTCCTGGACAGCCTGCAGAACTGTGAGCCAATGAAACCTCTTTTCTTTATTAATTACACAGTCTTAGATATTTCGTTATAGCAATGCAAGAATGGCCTAATACACCATGAATTAAATAAGCTGAATTTATTTCAATTGAAACCTGAGAATTTGGGCAAGACCTAAAGACCCTGCATTGTATCTCAAACTAGCACTGCCTAGCTTTGTCCAAAACCAAAACTCACTTCACATTTATCTGTAAGGTCCACTGCAGGTGAAATTTGACAAGAATATGTGTCATTCCTAGGTTTCCCATGCTGTGTTGCAGAGACAATGCTCACTTTGGGGTGAGTATCCGTTACAGATGGCCATGCCTTTTCATCATCATCAGGATGTAGCGATAAAGTGGCCCTTCTCAGGCACACTGCCAGGTAAGCCTTGGTCTTGTGTAGAGCAGGCCTTGGGTCTGGGTCTAGGGGCCTGGGAGATCAGAAGCAGCAGAGCAGACTGACAGAGAAGCAAGCCATGCTTTCAACTGCTAAGCAGAAATTAAAAGGGCACTAGGCAAGGACCATGCAACTCAGGTGCCACAGAGAGGGCTTTTCCTAGGGCAGATGAGCTCTGTGCCAAGTTTACTGAAATAAATTCCCCCTCTTAACAGGATGACTCAGATATTCCTTTTTGGTTCTTTCGTTTATGAATAGTATCTAAGTTAATTTACCAAAGAAAGTCACAGGGGTGGGAGGAGTTGTCGGCTCACACCTGTAATCTCAGAACTTTGGGAGGCCAAGGTGGGAGGATCGCTTAAGGCTCAGAGTTCAAGACCAACTTGGGCAACATAGTGAGATCCCCATCTCTACAAAAAAAAAAAAAGAAAGAAAAGAAAGAGAGACAGAAGAAAGAAAGAAAGAAAGAAAGAAAGAAAGAAAGAAAGAAAGAAAGAGGGAGAGAAAGAAAGAAAGAAAGAGAGAAAGAAAGAAAGAAAAAGAAAGAAAGAGAAAGAAAGAAAGAAAGAGAAAGAAAGAAAAGAGTCATCGACATGCTTCTGAAAAAGCCACCATGAATTGCTTATGGATTATTGATTTCCATAAAACCACTATTTCAATTTCTACCAGCCCTCGTCAAATTCAACAGACTTTAGTAACTTCTACAGACATGACTATTGTGTATTTCAGCCATATTCCAAGTTTGAAACAAGCTCTTCCTTGGCCTCTTCGAATCCCATGTGCAACTAACTTTGCTGCAGAAATTTCTTGACACATTTAAATTTGGGCTTCAAAGAAAATTTTTTTAAAAAGGGAAGATTTGGTGCGAGAAAACCATGCATTTAATAGTCCACTTTTATGGGTGGAATAGGGCTAAGTTCTCTTTAAAAAAAAAAAGGGGTAAGCACTTGGGCACTTCAAACCTCATCAACCACATTTGATCCTAGATATTATCTAGGCTTATCTTGAATGGGAAAATGCTAAGAGCTCAAGTGCTGTAAGACTCAGAGAGCATTTTCACTCATCAGGAGGCTGATTAAGCTTATTATTTGCTGTCCAAAAAGCTTCAGGTGCTTATTGACCTGAACTAAACTTGAAAACAGTAAAGGGAGAAAAGGAATGTGCTCCTAATTGAAAGCCCCAAGAAAACCGGGTCACCAAAGCTGAGGTGGACACGTCTCCTTAGTACAAATCGGGAAGCTGTGTTTTTCGGCCAAGATTCTACAGCTTGGGAAGGATCATTTCCCATCTTCCCGTGAGACCAGCGATACCCAACACATTTACAGAAGCTCCGTCATGTTTTCACACCTGGTCCCGTGTCCATATTTCCTTGCATCCAAACAAGAAGTGAGTTTTCGACATATCTTTTCACTCAAATATTTGAACTCTCCAGAGAACCATTCAGCAGTCTAGTTCTAGAGTTGCTGAGTTTCGAAGCTCAGGTTTCTTCAGTACCCATGGAGGATCCTTAAACATGCCAAGAAAAACAGCACAGCAGCTGCATCTTTGGGAGTGAGGTGCAAGCTTCCAAATATTATTTTAAAATCACCACTTATGGAAAGATAGAGAACTGTATGCCATCTTAGTATTTTTCAGTAGGGCTAGTTGGTTAAATACCATCCTCACCCCGTCACTTTTTTGCTCTATTGGCCATGGTTTTCCCTAATTTAATAAACCTCTCACATTTTCTTTTCCATAAACTACTTTAATTTTCCTACAGAAGTGACTGTAGGAAAATTAAATCCTGTATTTACCAAAAGAATCTTGACGAAATGATTACTTAAAAGTCACTTCTATGATAAGATACTCTGTTATTTTTCTTACTTTATTTAAAGCTGGAGAATGATGGTGGGTATTATAATTCACTCAGTGTTGTGATTGGACAGAGAGGCTGCTTTAGTTTAACAAAGGTCTCAGACCACTCTCATGGGGAATGTTGATAATACAGAAAGTTATGCATATGGAGTTGGGGAGTATGTGGGAAATCTTTATAGCTCTGTACAATTTTGCTGTGAACCTAAAGCTGCTAAAAAATTCTTTATAAAAAATGTAAAATTAATTTAAAAAAATAGGACATGTCCTGAATGGTCTGAGGCTGGTGTAAATTATCATTGTTCAGTCTTGCTAATATCTATTCCTGGGAAAGTAAAAGTGGGAAAAATAATGGATGGTGGAGGGATATTTAAAGAATAGGTATACCTTCATTTATTCTATGAAGTATCTGATAAATCAAAATGTATTTTCTTTATTTTATTCCAAAGGGCAAGTTTTCTTATCTCTTCCATGAATTCAGCATCATTCAACCCATGAGAAGGTAGGAGATGACATGTGGAATTTGAGCAGCCAAGATAAACAATCGTCTATTAAACCAAAACATTGTATGCCACTGGCACGACTCCTCAACTTGCTGGGAGGTTTGCTAAGGGATGGTGGGAATGGAGAGTTAAATCCACCAAGGATTTCTCACTTGAGATTTTCCCAATGTTTCTTTTCTATCCACCAATTACAATGCAGGAGTTTTCAGCCCAGGACAGCATCTTCACCTAAATTATTCCCTTATTTAATAGTACTCACAGGCCGCGTGATTCGCTGTGTACTCTTCCTAGCTTGGTCTTGCAGTTTTGGCTCTTGGTAGGAAGGAAGTTGCCAAACAATTGCCCTGTTGCATGTATCACTTCCAAACTCTTCACTCTTGCTGTTGTGGGGTTGTGTCTTTGTATTTTTTCCACATTTGTTCTCTGCTCTTTCTCAATAGAGCTGGAATCTCCTTTGTAAAACCAGAGGTTTCCATTGCATGGCAGTCTTTTTTAGGGCATTTATATCTCCATAGAATATACTTACAAAAATTAACTGGAGAATCCCAAAGTCAAGGGAAACTTCCGGAAGAGCAGAGATTTCAGTTGCAACCAGAATCTCAATTATCTCTGCACGATGATTACACAGTACTCAGAAAGGCGAGAAGAGACAGGAACGGAAACTCAAGCTTGCTTCACAAATTTGAGTCCTTGTATCTAAAGGCCCGAGGGAAGATGGCCAATAATTCACATTCTAGGCAAACAAAGCCTCTTGCCTCATTCCATTGCACAACTCCAAGTTAAGAAGGGGAGAAAGGTCATCTTTACTTCTCTCCATGTGCACCATCCAGAGCAGATGTGAGGTCTCTGCTGATCGCCAGTCAGCCTTGCTGCCAACTTTTCTACAACCCCAGGTCAAAGAACACAATGGAGCCTCACCCCTCTCTTTATGATATACTAATTTTCCCTTCACTACCTGCTTGTGGAATTGTTGGAAACATCCTGGGATGCAATCGTTTGGTCTTATTTCCCTTGTTATTTCACCCCCACACAAAATCCTTTTCTCTGAGGAGCTCAGGACCCCATGCCACAATTAAAGGACTTAATCTGACGCTCAATTATGCCTTGCTGGGTCAGTGATCTGTGAGCCGAATTAATGAGACCTGCTGATGACCCGACAAGGAGAAAGCCAACCAGGGGCAATTGGAAACAGAGAGAAGTGAAGGAAATGCGGGAATTCTAAGATGGGTTTGTGAGAGACTGACTCGCAGGGAACCAAGGGTCTCTGGGAGGTCAAGGTCAGTCAGGAGGCCTATTAAAAAGTTACAGGGGGAGAGAAACCCAGAAAGTTTCAGCAAAGCCACTATCAGGGTGTCACTGAGAGGGAGGAGAAAGGATTTTCTACTGCTGAACTATTCAGAGCCGGGCTGAGATATACAGAACATACCCAGGCTCCGACTCTTCACCAATGCTTCCTTGTTTGAATTTTCTTTTTTCTTTTTTCTTTTTTTTTGATATGGAGTCTCACTGTGTCTCCAAGGCTGGAATGCTGTGGCACGATCTCAGCTCACTGCAACCTCTGCCTCCTGGGTTCAAGTGATTCTCCTGCCTCAGCCTCCAGAGTAGCTGAGACTACAGGTGCGTGCCACCAGGCCCGGCTAATTTTTTGTATTTTTAGTAGAGACAGGATTTTGCCATGTTGGCCAGGCTGGTCTCAAACTCCTGACCTCAGGTAATCTGCCCGTCTCGGACTCCCAAAGTGCTGGGATTACAGGCTTGAGCCACCGCGCCTGGCCCCTTGTTTGAACTTTTTAGATTCATAGTGAACAGACAAGCTCAATGATGATTATGATAGTCATATCAGCTGATACTGTTATTGTGTGTTAATAACAACAATAGTAAAATATTTAACATTATTATGACGGCATATAGTAAAATACTTAACATTATTTAATTAACATAATTAAAATATTTAGCAATATGAACATTATTATTATATTAAATAGTAAAATATTTAACATAATTAAACACTGTGGTGCACTGAACATAGACCATCGGCCTTGCACCATACCAATTGCTTCAAAGCTGATGGTAAATGATTTCAAAAAGTTGAAGATCAAAGGATAAGAGAGGACACACGGTAAACGAGAAGTTTCAGAAGATGCAAGACAGGGGGGACTAGACATTGGAAATCTATGTGCCTTCAGGAAGAAATGACGATGAAAAGGCCTTTTAGTATTTCACAGACTCTGGACCCAGGGTAGGCTCAAGAACTGGCCAAAAAGCTATCTCTAAAGGCTGGAAATTCCATTTATGGATTGGTTAGAACCCCTCTTCCCCTTCCTCCCACTCAGTACTATTTTATTTTTTAAATTATGTACAAATATTGATTTGATAGAAACAGACTGTCTAGCACTATACTATGCATTAGGCATTCTTTTAATAACTTTACATAAATTATTGCTTTTAATTCTCACATAATTATTGTATGAGGTATGTGCCTTATTTTCCTCACTGAAGAAATGCTGATTGTTTGAGATGATGGATATGCTAATTACCCTGATCTGATCACTATGCATATATGCATCAAAATATCACTATGTATCTCATAAAGATGTATGATTTTTATGTGTGAATTAAAAAAATAAAGTATAAAAAAGAATGGAGAAGAAGAAAAAAGTTATAAGGCAGATAACTTATAAAACCTCAGACACTGACAAGTTAAAAAACTTGCTCAAGATTACATATCTAATAGGTATCATTAAAGCTAGGGATACAAAGCTAGGAAGTTGACTCCAGAGACTATGTTGTTAATAAATACAGTTTGCTACTTCACATGTCATGTTTATGCAATGGTTAGATGGCTTGAAATTATATGCTTTAGTATATCAGTATTTCATAAAAGCATTTTTCTCATAGATGCAATAAAAGTATTTAATAACAAAAGTTAAAGAACTTAGGAACAGAACTGATGGGAATATAGTTTGTTGTTGTTGTTGTTGTTTGTTCATTTTGTTTGTTTTGAGAGACAGAGTCTCGCACTTGTTGCCCAGACTGGAATGCAATGGCCAGATCTTGGCTCACTGCAACCTCCGCCTCCCGGGTTCAAGCGATTCTCCTGCCTCAGCCTCCCAGCAGCTGGCATTACGGATGCCTGCCATCACGCCCAGCTAATTTTTGTATTTTTAGTAGAGACAGAGTTTTTCTATGTTGGCCAGGCTGGTCTCAAACTCCTGACCTCAGGAGATCTGCCCGCCTCAGCCTCCCAAAGTGCTAGGATTACAGGCATGAGCCACTGTGCCCAGCCGGGAATACAGTTTCAAAGGGGCTAGATATAAGTCAAGTCAAAAATATAGATCACTGCAAATTGGCCCAATATCACTGGACCCAGGGGTAGTAGCTTGGACCTCTACTTAGATCTCATAACTCAAAATGAAGTTCTATGTCACTAAACCACCCATCTGGAGACTAGGCATGACCTGCCAAGCAGGGCACTGAAAATAAGCAGTCTTGTGACTTTGGGATCTGTGCTGCTGGGCCTATCTAGGAAAATAATGTGACTTCTTTGAAGTCAGGAACATGAAATTGCCATAAAAATCATCCTGTGACTTTCCGAATGATTTTAAATAATTAGGAATAAAATAAATGTAAAGTATTATACAGATTCTAAGTGTATCTTAAATGCAGATTCAGAAATAATACCTTGTTGTTCTTTTATATAAACATAAATATTATTTTGGGGATGATGACTCATAAAGTTGAAACGTTTGATTTCGGCCACATTTACTTAATTTGCTTTTAGAGCTGAAACAGAAAAATGGAAGATTCTTGACTTGATGTTGCAGTGCCCAGGTTATCTCTTCAGGATCAAACCTGATTTCATTATTGCATTTTTCGGGCTTGAAGGCTAAGGAATTACTCAGTATAAATTTTTTAATCCCTGGACCCCAAGCAGGCCTAGACTCGCCTCCTGCCTTTGATGACTTCCATTCGTCTTCCTCAACATGATGGAAATTTAACCAACCAGAATCATGTTGTAGAAACCAGATTATAAAAGTTTTTATACTGTTGGTGTCTTTGACTCTATAAAGATTGGCTTTCATGCCCAGTTTGGATTTGGCATTGGACTAGGAAGGACTGAACTCTAGATCCAGAGAAATCCTCCTGACTTCTCAACCACAAATTCATGTCAACTGAAATCTTAGAAGTGGCCACAGTCTGGTTTTGATACCTGCCAACATTTTCTTCAAGCAAGCCCTTAACCATGTTCATAACTCCCTTTCAAAACTACCCAGTCCTTGTAAGTCAATGAGACTAAATAACATCAGCTGCTGGCTTCAAGTCATTTCTCTGATGGTTGTATTAATATTTCTGTGTTCCCACCTCCTTTCCTGGGAAGCATCAACTCGCATGACTGGAGCTATTAGTTCCACCCAAGATTTTAGTCTAAGGCAAGCTATAGTCAGATGATGTGGAAGACAGATGTTTCTGAATCCGTATTCACAAGCTTCAGACTATATCAAACACCGAAGGAAAGACTTATTATTCTACCTCACTTACACATTCAGAATTTGGGTTCAGTTAAAGAGCGAGACACAGACAAGCCACCTGCCCATGGATAACAGAATACTCTGGCTTCCTTATCTCCCCTGCATTTCTCTGCTTCTGTTTATTGCTCCATTTTTCTTTCCGTCTCCTGGGAAGAATAGCTCAAGATGGTGATACTCTTATTTTGTTAAGTTTTCTCTGTTTTAGCAGAGCTCAGTTAAGGAGCTCAGCTCTTAGGTTTTTTATTTTAAATTGCTTTACCTTTGATCTGAATCTTGGCTTTATTTAACAGATTTAAACTACAACATTAGAATAATAACTCAATTCATATGGGAGGATTTTTTTGCCTCTAAAACAAGAATCCAATGGAAAGACACTGCTGTACACTCCCTAGTATGATTTGTTGTATGAAAGCTCTCTTTCGCCAACATTAATGTCTGCATTTCAAAATGACCTTTATTAGGTGTTTTCAAGCTGTGAGTCCTCTTTCCAACCTATTAGCCTAGCTTTAAGAGAAAATACTTTTGAGTAGGGGAAACCAAAGCTCCCAGACTCTCCATCTTTTGATTTGGGGTTCAAATAGTTAGGATTGAATCCAAAGTAGAAAACAAAGTTTTAGCTTAGCCATTCTTTCTTCTTTCTTTCTTTCTTTTCTTTTTTTGAAATGGAGTTTTGCTCTTGTTGCCCAGGCTGGAGTGCAGTGGTGTGATCTCAGCTCACTGCAACCTCCGCCTCCTGGGTTCAAGCTATTCTCCTGCCTCAGCCTCCCGGAGTAGCTGGGATTATAGGTGCCCACCACCATGCCCGGCTAATTTTTTGTATTTTTAGTAGAGATGGGGTTTCACCATGTTGGCCAGGCTGGTCTCGAATTCCTCACCTTGGGTGCTGGGATTACAGGTGTAAGCCACTGCACCCAGCCAAGCTTAGCCATTCTTTAATTACTTTCCCCCTCACCCTTAGAAACCCCAGAAATAGAGCTACAAGAAGCTGTGTAAGGATTGGAGTGACCTGTTGGCCAATATCTGTAGTTACATTTAACTTGACATTCTCCGGGCTGGGTGATTCTTTCAATAAAAGTCCCTGTTTGAAAACCTGGTGGAAGAAGGGGATGTCTTTAATTTGTCCCCCAGCACAGTTTATTTTATATGTGGTTACTGGTAAAGGTATTAACTGTTGTTATCAAGGAGTTGGTTTTCTCTTGCTTATCTACTTCCTCTGCTTCAGGAAACCTCACTTCTTATTAGTGAAAGTGTACTCACTTAAACAGAGGCTTGGGGAGAAATTTGTGGTTTTCAAAGATCTATCTCTTGACCTTACTGCTAAATGTTTTTACTAAATCTTCCTACTGACATCTCTTCCTGATTTCCAGTTTCACTAGTCAAGCTAGCATCAGTGCACCTTAGGGGGAGGGGTGGGGCTGCCTGGAACATGAAGATGAAAGATTACCTTTCCTCTGTTATGTATCCCTTCTTTATTGTTGCACCCAGTCCACTCAGATTCTTACATTACAACATTAGGACTCCCTAATGAAGCCAGGAAGGAGATTTGTAATCTGAGGATATGGTCATATGACAGGGTGGACAGTGTGCATACCATCCTACCATGTGTCTCAGGGGCATGGGTCCAGCCCCATCATCAGAGGGAGAGGGCGCAAACAAACCATGATAGTGGTTGACAAGCAAATGCGGCTAAAATGAGCATCAAAAGCAGTGTTGGTGGAGAAAGAAGTAATACAAGGCAGCCTGCCAGAGGGGTGGTCGAAAGGGCTTAGGGCTGCATCCTTTCTCCTTTCATGAATTTGTGTACGTTTCTGCTAATTCAAGTGAAAGAGCAAGGGTATACCAGCTGGTTGTAAACAACATGTATATTTCCACCTCATCAACATGTATATTTCCACCTCATTTGCTTTCCCCATGGGAAGGCATATAGAGAAAGGGGAAGGGGGCAAGGTGGTAAATAATAGAACAAGAGCGAAGGAACTGATTCTTGGTTTTTATTTTATTTTATTTTATTTTATTTTAATTTTATATTTTATTTAATTTTTGAGACAGGGTCTCCCTCCCAGGCTGGAGTGCAGTGGTGTGATCACGGCTCACTCTAGCCTCCACCTCCTGGGCTCAAGCGATCCTCCCACCTCTGTCTTCCAAAGTGCTGGGATTATAAGCATGAGCCACCATGCCAGTCCCCCTGACTGTTTAAAACCCCTGGAGAAGGACTTGGTTCTGGTGTGGCTCCCCTGTATTCTCACGGCTATCTCCACAGCCCCCATGATAGCAGTTCCTTCCAGCTGCCATCTCCCATTCATCCAACAACATTGTCCTTAGAGGAAGGCCAAGCTCCTCTCCACTGTGCACAGGCCCTCATGACGTGGCTGCCCTTCTCTCCACAGCTGACTGTCCCCACACTGTTCTCTCAGGCACAGTCACATCCAACTGTCCTCCAGTTCTTCCTCACCTCCAGGCTTGTCCTCACCTCCAGGCTCCTATACATCCTTGATATTTCTTCTCCTCCCACAGCCCAGATCAGACCACCACTTCTGTTTTGCCTGGGGAAACTCATAAATGTGCAGTCCTCTCTTAGAGATTCTAATTTCAAAAGATCCAGAGAGAGATCCTGGAATATGTAGTTTCAAAGGCTTCCCTGGAAATTCTGAAAAAGCAGCTGAGCTTAGGAAAGATGTGTAGATATCCCTTCTCTGAGAACCTACCTTGGTCTGCCCCTCCCTCCAAGTCTGAGTTAAGTTCCCCTCCAAACTGCACTACACAAGTCTTTAATTGCAGGTCTCCTGAGTAGATATCCACTCCCGGAGAACAGAGACTCTGTCTGGCTTAGAAGTGGTTCGGGAAATATTCATTGAGTTACATTGAATTGAAACTGGTGAATGTTTCCTATCTTTTTCTCCCTCTCCTGCTCTAAAACAAGAACAAATTTTCTTTTGGCTAGTTCTTATTTGCTTTTAGAAGAACAGGATTTAAAACAAATAAGACACTAGAAAAATGACAAAGCTGTTCCTCCAAAATTCTTACGGAAATGGGTAATGTTGGTCTTTAGTTGGTGCTCAAATGTGAATGATACCAGGACCACACTTTCTTAAACTTTTGTGGGTTCTTCGGTAAATATTTACTGCAGTGAAATCTCTGCTTCTCATTTTAACCATCTTTTATATCAAGATGTGAAAGGCATCATGTTTTCTCAGTAAGAGGACTCACATGCTTGGTTTGTTTCCCTGTCTTCCCCCAGTGGTTTTTTTTTTTCTTTTCTTTTCTCTCTGTCTCTTACACACAAACACAATTTTCCGATAGATTCTGTTAGGACCAAGAAACAATAGCTGATCATTGTGGGATCCTCAGACCTGTGAGATGATGTAATCTTCCTTTGCTCCTACCTGTCCTGTACTTGGCACAGCCTTGCTTCTAGAAGTTTCCTCTAGTAAATTCATTTCATGGATGCTGAGAGAACCATCGCCTGTTATTGACTCTTGCTTCTCAGTAAGTATAAAAGAAACAACTTTATACTATTAGCTGTTATTTTTGTTGATGCAGATGCTATTATCTGATTTAAACATCGAAGGGATGATTTTATTTTGTTTGTGCCCTGGAGGCTAAAAAAAAAAAGAAAAAAACCCACAATAAGCCAGCATCATTTTGAAAAGGAAAGCATCCAATAATTAAATATACTTTCCCAGAGATGAGGAGCAGATGTTCTGTCTCTTTCATGGAGTGGGAGGGTGTGGAGACTTGAGGGAGCTGTACCCGGAGCACGTTTCATAGTCTTGAAAAGTCAGGGGGTTCAGGAAACTCCCTTAACATGGGAGGTCTGGTTGGGATAAACTAACAGCAACCCAAAAGGGAATTTACCACATTTTTGGCAATTGTATCATTTTAAATATTTTCTCCAAACTCCCAAGATGTAAAAGATCGTTATCACCACAAATTAATAGTTTTTGAAATTGGAGGACAAAAATCTTTTTTTCTTGGCTAAGACAATTTTACTAAGCAAATCCTTACAGCAATTTCTGAAACAGCCTACAATGCATAAGAAAAGTCAGGCCGGATGAAAAGCAAAGCGAAGTTTGGAGGAAAAATCATTCACAATGGTAGATAGAAAGAAGGAAAATTCTTTTTTATTCTATTTCATGTGAAGTGATTCTAAGACCATTAGAATTGCCTGAGAAGTCTTTTCAAACTCTCCTCCTGGTCATCCCTCTCCATCTTTTCACCCTCCTTCCCATACTCTACCAAAAGACCTGAGCTTCCAAGAGTGGGCAGATGTTATCTGAAAAGACTCCTTTTTGATTCCATTATGCTCTCTCCACCCCATCCAGACACTCCCTTTCTCAATTTTAGAACTAGTGCTATAAAATAGAAACTCTTTTTTTTTTTTTTTTAAGAGATGAGGTCTTGCTCTGTTACCCAGGCTGGAGTGCAGTGGTGCAATCATAGCTCACTGCAGCCTCAAACTTCTGGGCTCAAGCAATCCTCCTGCCTCAGCCTCCTGAATAGCTGGGACTACAGGTGCATGCTACTACACCCAGTTAGTTTTTAAATTGCGTATAGTTAGGGGTCTCACTATGTTGTACAGTCTAGTCTCAAACTCCTGGGCTCAAGCGATCCTCCTCCCTTGGTTTCCTTGGGATTACAGGCATGAGCAACCATGCCCACCCAAATATAAGCTTTTGAAGGAAGCACAGCTTCTTATGGCTCTTTTAGGGAAGAAGACTTGATTTCCCAGATATGTGGTCCTAGAGCCACCCTCTGAACTTGCTCCATAACCTTCCATCAGCCTCTGAAAGTGAAGACAACTGCTCTTTGCCTCCTAAGACATTTGCTTTGGAGGATCAGCTGCTTGTTTTGCATGCTGTGTTCATTATTAAATTCTTTCTCTATCTTTTATAAAGTTCTACTTTTCTGATCTCTCTTTCAATGAACTTGAAATATCTGTGTATCTGAAATCTTCTGGGACTGAAATAAAACTTCAAAGTTATACAATTTTTAGAGCTGGAAGGAACATGGGAGATTATCTCCCTCAGTTTTGTAGGAATTCATTTTATAGTATCCTAGTTAGTTGCTGCTTGTATATTTTCAAAAATTAGGCACCAGTTACCTCATATGAAAGTACTTTATTTTTGGAGAGTGTGCTATTGAGCCAAATGAAATACGTTTCTCTTTTTAAGGTCTCCCAGTTATACCGGTCTTGGAGTAGATACCATGCCTTCCCTCGGGAACTTCTCATGAGTTCCAAATCACACTGTCAATTTGCTTAGGAATGGAATGCATTCATATTTAGCAATCACTGACTTAATGCCCTCTGCTGAATTTGATTTTTCAGGAAACCTACAGTTCTCCTCGTAATGGAGCAGTCTTCACAGCACTGTTCGTGTGACCCTCCTATGACAGTCATGGCAGGAAAGGAAAGCAGAAAGCTTCTGCAGTACTCAGCTGGGTCAAGGTAGAACTTCAAAGACCAAGCAGAAAGCTTCTGCAGTACTCAGCTGGGTCAAGGTAGAACTTCAAAGACCAAGCAGAAAGCTTCTGCAGTACTCAGCTGGGTCAAGGTAGAACTTCAAAGACCAAGCAGAAAGCTTCTGCAGTACTCAGCTGGGTCAAAGACCAGCTGCACTGGAGAAGATGGCCCTGTTCACCCTGTGGAACAGCCTGGAGGTCATGGCTACAAACCTACCTTCTCGTAGCAGAGACATGACACTAGGTCAGACGGCTAGTTCTGCGAGAAATAAAAATGACAGTTGGACATTTGGTATCCTATAGAACGAGTATCTGTTTACTGAATTTTTACGCTATCATCTGGTGGTTTTGGCATTACTGGGATGCAATTTTAGTTTTTTTGTGTGCAGAGAATAGCCACTTGTTTGGGTTTCTGAGGTCATTTCTCACATTTCTGCTCCAGAAATGAGTGCATTCCATAAATATATTTTTACTGCAAAGTCTAATTTGCTTGCTTTCTTAATGTGAGCCCATCTCCTTTCTAAAATCCTGGTTTTCTCAAAAATGCTAGTTAGTTGCTGTCTTCTTACTAATGTTGACAACATCTTATCATCAAATACTTACTTTGTATTCTGTCCAGCCCTGTCCCTGGCATATAATAAATATTTTAGAGGCTCTTTCTACTGCAGTTTCTTCCAAAATTCCATTTATTTGAGGTTGATGAGCTTCCTTTTTCTTTTTGTTTTTTGGTTTGTTTGTTTTTTGTAGAGACATGGTCTCGCTTTGTCACCCAGGCTGGAGTGCAGTGGTGTGATCATAGCTCACTGTAGCCTCAAACTCCTGGGCACAAGCGACCCTCCAGCCTCAGCCTCCCAAGTAGCTGGGACTACAGGTCCACTGCCACACCCAGATAATCTTTAAAATTTTTTTAGAGATGGAGTCTTGTTATGTTGCCCAGGCTAGTCTTGAACTCCTGGTCTCAGGTGATTCTCCCACCTTGGCCTCCTGAGTAGCTGGGATTACAGATGAGAGCCACTACACCCGGCTTGAGGAGCTTCATGATAAAAAGATGCCATGGAGTGGCTCCTGTGCCTGTGTCCCAGGAGCCACTGCGTGGCCTGGCTTCAAGATCAGGCCAGAAAAACTGGTTTATTCTTGCAGTGGCTCACATATTCTCCATGGAACCAACTCAGTCAGCTCTTGTAGGTTGAACCGTCTTGCCCAAAAGATACGTTGAAGTTTTAACCTCAGTGTCTGTGAACGTGACCTTCATTGGAAGTACAGTCTTTGCAGATGTAATGTAGCTAAGATGAGGTTATGCTGGGGAGGACACCCAAATAACTGGTGCCCTTATACGAAGAGGAAAAGAGAAACGCAGACATGCATGGAGAGAAGGCCATGTGAAGGCAGAGGCGGAATGAGAGTCATTAATATAAGCTAGGGGCACCTAGGATTGCTGGACACCGCCAGAAGCTGGAGGGGAAAGGAAGGATTCTCCCCTAGAGCATTCAGAGGGAGCACAGCATGGCAGACACTTTAATTTTGGACTTCTGGCCTCCAGAACTGTGAGTACATTTCTGTTGTTTTAAGTCACCAAGTTGTGGTACTTTGTTATGGTGGTCCTGGAAAAGTAGCACAGTGTTCAAAAAGGGCT
Organism: Homo sapiens; assembly: GCF_000001405.40. NCBI lineage: Eukaryota > Metazoa > Chordata > Mammalia > Primates > Hominidae > Homo > Homo sapiens. The sequence continues at coordinate 33,865,904 of NC_000010.11, read as the reverse complement.
ATTAGTTCTCTTGGACTAAAGAGGAAGTGATTTGAAACTCCTATTTGCCTACAACCTTGTGTTAGAGACAGACCCTGGGAGGAACTGTCAAAATATCCCAGTCCTGTGGCTCTGAGCTAGTCACTCACCCTGTGAGCCCCAAGTGCGTTGACTCACAAAACAGGTGTCCACTGAGTATGCCTGAGTGCTGAGATTGAGTCCCAGACCCTACTGGGTTTTATAGTAGGAGACACAGACAATAAACAGGGAAAAGAAAGGAAGGAAGGAAAGAGAAAAGAGAAGGAAGGAAAGAAAGGAAAGAAGAAAGAGAGAGAGAGAGTCATTGCAGATAGTGTTCTGTATCAGGGAGAAAATAAAGTGAATAGGGGATGAAAAATAACAAAGCGTTGCCAGGTATAGTGGCTCACGCCTGTAATCTCAACACTTTGGGAGGCTGAGGCAGGCGGATTGGGTAGGCCGATGCGGGTGGTTAGGAGTTTGAGACCAGCTTGGCCAACATGGTGAAACCCTGTCTCTACTAAATATATAAAAATTAACCAAGCGTGGTGGTGCATGCCTGTAATCCCAGCTACTCAGGAGGCTGAGGCAGGAGGTTGCAGTGAGCTGAGATCACACCACTGCACTCCAGCCTGGGCGACAGAGCAAGATTCTGTCTCAAAAAACAAAGAAACAAACTAAAAAAAAAACAAAGTGGGAAAAGATCAGGTGATTTGTAAAGGACTCTCTGAGAAAGCACTAAAAATTTGGTGAAGGAGTGAGCCATGCAAAGTTCTAGTGGGAAAGCATGCTAGGGTAGAGGTGACATCACATTGTAAAGGCCTTGGGTTGGGAAGTTACTTGGTGTGAGCCAAGAGTAGAAAGAAGACTGGCTGGAATGAAATGAGAAAATGGGAGGAGTTCAGAGAGGTGGGCCCTGAGGCTCAGATTACCAAGGCCTTGTTGGTTAAACTAAAGAGTTCAGGTCTTTAAAAGTCTGATGGGAAGCCCTTGATAAGTGGTGTGTGTGTGTGTGTGTGTGTGTGTGTGTGTGTGTGTGTGTGTGAATTTAAGATTCAGATCTGTCAAATGCAGAATCAATTGCTTGCATATTTTTATAAAGAGTTCAAACCTTCTTTTGTAGGAGGGTAAATACATTTCAGTGTTTTTTTTTTCTTTTTTACAAATATACTGGAGAATCGTGGAATACTGCCAGCATTGGACACCAACCCGGGCCACAGGTCTGCACGCTCCTTTGCAACTGGTCCTGTAATGGCAGAACCTTTCCCCTTGCCTTTATTTTTTTTAATATGACCCTGCATTGTCTTCAAAAATTCTTTTTAAATGTTATATTTTCTCCGGTATGACTTTTGTTGTCAAATGACCACTGCCGCACATACCTTCTTTCGATCTCTGGTTTGCCTTTCTTGACTGTGACCATCACCACATTACTCACACTAGCAGTGGGAAGTCTGTCCAGCTGTGAGCCCCTTCGTGACAATGATCTACAGATTTTTGACTCCTGTGTGGTCAGCAAAGATGATCACAGCTCCTATCAGAAGACCTAGGCCAATCCAGAGTTTTGCACTGGAGGACTCACCGTGTCCTCGCTTTGATGTCTTGAGTGCTGGAAAGAGACAGAAAAGGAGTTCAGGCCAGGTGCAGTGGCTCACACTGGTAATCCCAGCACTTTGGGAGGCCGAGGTGGGGGCAGATCACTTGAGGCCAGGAGATTGAGACCAGCCTGGCCAACATGGTGAAACCTCATCGCCACTAAAAATACAGAAATTAGCCAGGCATGGTGGTGCGCACCTGTAATCCCAGCTACTCAGGAGGCTGAGGCAGGAGAATTGCTTGAACCTGGGAGGCAGAGGTTGCAGTGAGCCGAGATGGTGCCACTGCACTCCAGCCTGGGCGACAGAGTGAGACTCGGTCTTGGAGAAAAAAAAAAAAAAAAAAGGAGAAAGGAGTTCAATGTTTTAAGACAAAGGCATGAAAATCCAAAATATAATTCCAGACTTTTAGGATGATTAGCAGACAGGCCGTCCCTTGACTTTTCCCTAAAGGAGAGAACCCTCAGCAATGAGGCTGACTTCTCCTCTTTGGGATGAGTTCCTTCCTGTAAGGAGAGCTCGGGTAGTAGGACTCCAGGTCTCTCCCTACTCCTGTATTGGCTATGAGAAGAGTCTGAGATACTCAAAAGTGGCATCGTGAAAAAGCCCTAAGTATTCAATATTTATTGAATGTCTGCTCTGTGCCAGACACGATGCTTGCTGCCAAGAGTGCAATAGTTAAAATCAGACATAGTCCCTGCCCTCAAGGAATGCACAGTGTCAGACAAGTCCCCAGGAGGTGTGAATGGTAGACAAGAGACAGACATGGTTTCAGTGAATGTTTTGGGAAGCTTGAAAAATGGGCACCTTGCCAGCAGGGAGGCATTGCTTTTCCTAAACAGAAATGTCTTCAGAACAACATGGCATCTTCCAATCCACTCTACAGATTGTCTCCAAAGAGAGGCCTTTGACATGGAGTGAAAAGCTCCGTTATTTAGGTAGGAAAGAGAGACCAGTTATCTAGGGTATATTCTAGTGTCCTTTGATGCCTTTGTTTTGGAAATGAGCAGATTTCCGTCAATCTTTTGAACTTCTGGGTTTAAACGAAATATGATTTGCTTTTGCTGTGCAAATGATTGTACTGCTCTATAATCATTGCAGGTAGAATGGTGAGAAAAGTACTCTATTCCCCATTATCATGTAAATCCTATATTTGAATATTTCAATGTCACTGGTTCCCACCCAGCCCCCCACCCACTTTAAATTTCTTTTCTTTCAGGCCTGCGGGAGACAGTAAGTTCTGATATCACCAATTGAACCTTTTTCGGGAACTTTAGGTTAATAAATCGAAAGTTTGCAGAAAGCTGCCTTTTGAGATTTGATTCTTATGTGTGTGTGCTGATGGAAGGCAAGAAACCTAAGCCAGCGGCTGGTGCTGCTGACAGGGCGGCCCCAGCCGAGGGACACGTGGGAGAAACCAAGGCAGCAGCGCTGGTGATCAGAGACAGCCCACTTCCCTGAGTCGGTTTGTGTTTCAAATTGCCTGTTATGAATTCAGAGATGGTTCCACCAAGGCAGATTGCGGGACGGAGAATGAATAACTGCTGTTCTCAACAGAAATCATTCCTGGAAGTGGGGGCAGATGAATGGCTAGGTGGAGAAATGGATGACTAAGTGTGTGTTTCCTAAATGGACAGGCTGCCCTACATCTCTGTTAATGTCTGATGGGCTGGTTATCTTGTTTGGATTTATGAGAGAGTAAGTTCAGGTAGGGAGCGGATAAAGAATGAGAGCTGGTTTCAAAAACAAAAGGCATAGACTTTTAAAGTGACCTTTTTTTTTTTCTTTGCAGAGGTCCACAACCCAGATCTGATGTCAAAAGCATTGGGTAGCTTTTGCAAAACATTTTGCCGATATGGAAACCAGCAGGAGTCCACGCTGGCTCCAGCATGACCGATAGCTCCATCAGTGTTATTTGATGAGCAGAATGTAGGTGACGTGTTGGCCTATGGGGCTGTGTTATGTGTTATGGGGCTATGATAGTCTGCATAAACCTAAGAATTTCTTAAAAGTCTGTTAGATATTCAAGGTTAGCATATCGGCCGTAAGGCTAGGTTAAACAATAGTGGTGAGCAGCTCCTGCCTGTCAGTTTAAAAAAAACAAGGCGTATTTCCTGTCCATGCGCTTGATAATTTTCTTGTCTGCATTTTTGTCTCTCCAGAACCCAGTATAAAAGAACAACCACCAGGTAAAAGAAAAAAAAAATTGCTGGTTATTGGGGCAAAAGGAAAGAAGAGAGGGTGACAAGTTTCACTCTGACTCTTGCTGCTTCCATCTGAAAGAGGTGCATCAGCACTCCCCCTTCCTTTACTGGCCAGAGCCACACCCCACTTTAGGAGGGCAAGCAATTGCAATCTTACAGTCCTTAGAAGAAAAATCCAGATAGCACTAATGACTTTCACAGGTATAAATAATGCAGATCGGCAACTCTGGACAGCCAGTGGAGGTGATGGCAAAACTCCAGACAGCCTTTTCTAATTTCTCCTAAGTGAGTGAGTGAGTGGTGCCTGTGTGTACACGCAAGTAAAGAGCTAAGGTTGAAACAGGTAACTCCAAGGACAGCAAAAAAGCAATGCCCTTCTCCATCCCCATCCCTCCAATAAACCTCTTATGTATCCAGGTACTTAACCACAATAGAACTGTTTAATTTATGTTCTAAGAACCCCACTGTCAGCCTGAAAATGAGCTGTGGACAGCTTCTGGATATCACAGCAGAGCTTTTCTAAGTTAGAGAGATGGCAAGCAGAATTGAACTGTCTTATTCCAGGAGGCGGGAAGGCAGCTGTCCGCTTAGGACACCAGCAGGAAGCATGGTGGCGTGGTGAGAAACGGAAGGGTTTTCTGGTAGGAAAGCAATTCCCACCCTCTGGGCCTCTAATATTATGTAATGATTTTATCTGTTGTGGAAGGACTTCAGGGAAATGAGTATATTTCTTCGCTCTTCACCCAGAGGGTAATCCTTAAGAAGAGAGTGATCATTTTTAATACATCTTCCCAGATCTACCAATCTTTTGCATGATGATTGCTTTATTGAGATTGCAAACTGTTCTTGCATCAGGGCAGACACGTCAGCTGCTGCCTCCCATGCAGCCAGGAAGAAATTGACAGTCTGCACTTCCTCGGGTTAGCTTCCCATTAATTAAGGCTTCACACAGAACTGACCTCTTCCTTTGGTTATTCACATGGATTTTTGTGAATCATGCTGTTTACAAATAAGGCTAAATCTAAATGCCATGCTTACATCTGACTGTCCAAATCCAGGCCTATTTTTAATTGCTGGCTGCAGTGAAAGAGAGAATTCGTGGGCAGAGACGGCAAGAGTAATGAAATGGAAGAGGTCTACAATTCAGTTTCCTATAAAATAACTTCAAGAGCTATATCAACTTCCCTTGGCTAACTGAAGGTTCTGGAATTCAAATGTCTGAAATGGATTAACTATGAATTTGCCTGTGTTCCTAGCCATTTCCTCAAATTCAAGCTTTTACTTTCAGAATGTCAACAAGAGCAGCTTATCTTGTGCAAAATCTGAGATTCCTTACTTAGGTTGATGAAGATGGGGAAAAATAAAGAAGCAGCATAAAACTAAAAAATCATTTTGAAACATCAGAATCTTTTTTTTGTCATCTGTCAGTCAGACGTTTTTATGACCCATGAACAAAAACTACTTGAGTGCACGTATCATTTTACCCACACAATTCTTTGGTTAAAAAGGGAATATTGGCCGGGCACAGTGGCTCACACCTGTAATCCCAGCACTTTGGGAGGCCGAGGCAGGTGGATCACGAGGTCAAGAGATCGAGACCATCCTGGCCAACATGGTGAAACCATGTCTCTACTAAAAGTACAAAAATTAGCTGGGCGTGGTGGCACACGCCGGTAGTCCCAGCTACTTGGGAGGCTGAAGCAGGGGAATTGTTTGAACCCGGGAGGCAGAGGTTGCAGTGAGTCGAGATTGTGCCACTGCACTCCAGCCTGGGTGATAGAGCGAGACTCCATCTAAAAAAAAAAAAAAAAGGAATATATTTGCAAAGATGGCTTATATCAAATTTTAATGGTTGCTCATTCAACATGTTTCAGTGTGATGAATGTCAATTTCAAATATACGTGAATCAACCCCAACTGATGTCCTGCTAATTTGAAAAATGTTTGAATAACCTAAGCTGTTCACACTAATGAAAAGTTCAAGACAATTTTACGTGGTTACATTCACAAATTTTTCAGCAAATTTGAAATCACAGTTATGTGGCATTTGTTCTGCATGGTGAACCCACGTAAATATCCAAATATAGAAAGGATTGCAGCTGTATTTTGACTTTCATCATTGCATCCCTGCTACATAGTGGGGTATGCAACCCCCACTAGGTATGCTTGAACCAGGTGTGCTCCGCCTAGTTCAAGCGGTTGTTCAACAAACATTTGTTGACTCACTGGCTGGCAGATTGGAAAGGATGACTTTCCAACCACCAGGAAGACATTCGGGATGCTCTTGGGTAGGCCAACAGAGCAGCTGACTTAGGAATAAACTACCCAGCAACTGGTGACTCTAGGATGGAAGGGGAAAAAAAATGAGAGAATCAGATAAAAGGGGAAAAAAATCAAGGAAAGGAAAGAATGAAATATCTTAGAGGGAAGCAGAATGTGTATCTCTACAGCCTCAGATGGCCTTGGGTGTCACCCTGCCAAGTGCTGCCCACCAGCCTAGCCTTGGAGTTAGAGCCCTGGCACCTCCAACGCTCTGAGCCCTGGACTGGTGCATCAGAGTTCTCCACACTCTGCTTTCCTGTTTCTCATTAACTTGCCACAATTAAGGCAGATTTCGACATCAGCATCGCTAACAGTGTTTGTGAAATTCATCAGTTAAATGGGGTCATTTTTGAGAGTGTAAGCTGGTGGAGGACATCAAGTACAAACTAGGATTTCCCAGGAATACTGGGAAATAGAGTAACCCTATGAATAGTCCATTCTGTCAGCAGGTAATTTGGCTTGAAATATACATAATGCCAATATATGCATGCATAGGGCCAATAGATGTGTGGCATTATATACTATTAAAAATTTTAGATGGTTAAATTTTTAATTTTTTACTTCCTTACTTGAGATCCTGTATATGTACTGTAGAGAGATTTCTTTCTTAACACCCCAGAGTTTAAAACACTGTCTCCCTTTTCTGTTCTCTTTCCTTTTTTCTCTTTCACTTTGCATTAGAGATATTATGTACCCATTTTTCCTCCCCACTAGATTTTATATATTGTTTGAGGGTAAAACCCACCTCTTTTAAACAAATCTTTAAATCTGTTAGCAGTACTAATGAGAGTGTGATTTTAATAAACATGAAACACAAAAAGACAAATCTAAGAAAGCAGTGATTTGGAAAGAAGAAATCTTGTTTACATTGACCATAAGGGGGAAGAAAGGCATTTTGAAATGATTTCTTTTTTGATGAACCTTTGAAAACCAATTTTTATTAAATGAGTTTACATAGAAATTTTAGTTCTGTTGCCAGTTATCTCAAGGGTCTTTTATCTATGCTTAATGTCACTGGCTATATCCTGCCATCGATCTCAGGGAAAAACTCCGTTTGGCAGTCAATGGGGAGTTCTATGTAAAAATCAATGGCAGGATATGGCCTGTAAGAATAGTGGTTACTGTAAGCTTTCAGCTGTGAGGCCACCATAATGTGACTTCAGGGCACCCCTTTAGACCATGTTGAAAAACAACAATAAAAAAAATCGTCATTCTTTAGAAGGGGGAGAAAATGGGAGGAAGGAAATAGCATATGTTTGTACGGGATAATCTATCATGTTCCCACAGTTTAGCAACAGCCTTGCATTGTGTTTTCAGGAGTCTCAAAGAAAAATTCGCGGAAAAAACAAATGCCTGGAAAAAAGTCCCTGAATGCAAGATAAGTGTATATTACCATACAGAATAACATAAATCAGCTCATTTAAGTGGAACCAACTGCTCCTTCCTCATTTATACAGTAGCCTGTGGCTCACATTTATATATTCTGGTTGCAAGGGTGAAACCAGCATATCAAGAAGGCAAAATGCCAAGAGGCCAATCATTCTTAATATTAAAGACCTTGGGTTTTCTAGGGAGTAAAAATATCTGAAAAACATATCCTAAAATAATTCTAAATTCTGAAATAATTCTAAATTGTAGAATAATTCTAAATTCCAGAATACTTTGAGGAACAACATGAACTGTATAGAGCAAGGGTGTTCAATCTTTTGGCTTCTCTGGGCTGCATTAGAAAAAGAAGAATTGTATTGGGCCAGACATAAGATACACTAATACTAATGATAGCTGATGAGCTAAAAAACAATTGCAAAGGGCTGGACGCAGTGGCTCACGCCTGCAATCCCAGCACTTTGGGAGGCTGAGGCAGGTGAATCACCTGAGATCAGGAGTTTGAGACAAGCCTGACCAAGATGGTGAAACCCCGTCTCTACGAAAAATGCAAAAATTGGCTGGGTGTGGTGGCACACACTTGTAGAGCTACCTGGGTGGCTGAGGCAGAAGAATCACCTGAACCTGGGAGGTGCAGGTTGCGGTGAGTCAAGATCGCACCACTGCACTCCAGCCTGGGTGACAGAGCAAGACTCCATTTCAAAAACAAACAAACAACAAAACAGAGAACAAAAACAAAAATTGCAAAGAAATCGCATAATGTTTTAAGAAAGTTTACTAATTCATGTTGGGCTGCATTCAAAGCCATCTTAGGGCCGTGGGTTGGACAAGCTTGGTATAGAGTGAGATATTGCAAACTTTCCATTTCTGTTTGACTATTTTGATAAAAATTGTCTCCCTAAATGCATACACTCTTGTACAGGGTGTATTGTACACCCTGTTATTACTGGCCACAGTGAGATGTTTCAGCTTGACCCACATAGGAGCTACTCAGATGATGCTCTCATAGTACTTCTGGACATAAAGATGTGGGTGTCATCAGGCAATGGTTTCACAGTGTCCTGTCACTCTCAGGGGCAGGCAGTCAGCATGGCCATTGCATTGCCAGCCCCACACGTGCCAGGAAGAACAGGTCCCGATAACACTAGGCCTTAAGGGACTTGGAGAGATGGAGCCTCCACCCTCACATGCTTGGATTCAATTCTCCAGGTCAGGCAGCTATCCCCTGCACCCACCCCCAGCCCCTGATGCATTATAAACAATGGCCTCAATTACCTTTTCATGTTTCATATATAATTATATTCTATTGTGTCCAGGTAAAAGAGACCTTCTGGTTCTCTTTAGGTAACTTGGTCATTCCTATAATTCAAGGCCTAAATTTGAGGCCCAATATGATGTGAATGTTGACATCTCAGAAAACCAGGAGGGTCTCAAATGGTTCTGGCCAAATAAATCTCCTTGTCAGGGGGCCATGTACAGTTCCTGTTTATCCCTGAGTAGTGGGTTTCAGTTCTCTGCTAACCTGAGACATTAGCCAGACAAGCCGATCCCATCCTCTCAGCAGAAACAGGGGTCACCCCACCCTCTTGCTACCACAAAGCCTGCCTCTCACAGACCCCTGCTTCTTCAAGGGTCCCCAGGGCAACCTCCCTGTGCTGCTGTTGGCATGCTGCATCCTTCTCGCCAGGCTGTGCTTATATGTGACTAAGAAACTGGTGTCAGTCTCACCTCAGCAGTGTCAGGTGGCATGTGTTTGGCCATAACTGTAACCTTAATGCCGGAATACCCCCTCACCAATGGGGTGAAGAGGAGGTGATGAAAACGACTCCCTAAAAGGTAGGTTGAATTGAGAAGTGGTACCGTATACCTTGAGACATCATTATCTTAATTAAAATGTAAATAGTAGAGCATGAACATTTTTAAAGAAGAAGCTAATATTACTCTGAGTTGTGTTTGAAAAGGACACATGAGGCCAGGTGCAGTGGCTCATGCCTATAATCCCAGCACTTTGGGAGACCGAGGTGGGTGGATGATCACTTGAGGTCAGGGGTTCGAGATCAGCCTGGTCAACATGGTGAAACCTATCTCTAGTAAAAATACAAAAATTAACTGGGCGTGGTGGCACACACCTGTAATCCCAGCTACTGGATCCTCAGCTAATCCAGCTGAGTCAGGAGAATCACTTGAACCCTGGAGGTGGAGGTTGCAGTGAGCTGAGATCACGCCACTGCACTCCAGCCTGGGCAACAGAGCGATACTCTGTCTCAAAAATAAATAAATAAATAAATAAATAATTAAATAAATAAAAAGGAGATGTGTTTTGAAGATCTCAAATGGAAAATGCAGAGGACTATGGCTTGAGTTACAGGGCCTGTGAGAAAAATGGTAGAAAGATGTTGGAATTAAAGGAATCACAAAATGAAAGCCCGGTAAGGATAATGCAGGAGGTGACAAAAATCTCAAAAGGAGAGCAGAATAAATAAAAGTTGGAGTAACCGTGTTGGCAGGGTGGAGGAAACAGGGGTTGGAGAATTCTGCCTGAATGGAGAGATTTTGTCAGGAGCCAGATAAAATCTCCAGGACTTAGAGTATATTAGACAAGTGGCATTGGGTGGTAAATGGCTTAGTAATTTTTCCACTATCACACTGAATCCATGAAACTGTGTTAAATATCTCTCAATCATATATAGTTTGCCTTCTGCCCCCAACTCATATCTTTGGTAAGGAGTATTACAATGGTCAGATGGGCCACAAAAAACTGTTATAGAAGCCAAAAGGAGATTGGGTGGAACCCAAAGTAAATATAAACCCTTTATACCTCTTAGGTGAGAATAGAAGATAAGAACCCAAATGCGAGTCAGTAGTGGACAGTAAGAAGGACAAAATTCTTCCCCATTTTGTTCCATTCTTTCTCCTGAATACCTCGCTCATCTGCTCTGCAACAATTTGAATGTTTGTTATGTTCCAGACACTATAGTAGGCACTGAAATTGCACAGAAGAAAGGCCACCCCCACCATGAAGGCTGACAAGGTTGCAAGAAGACCATGCTGAAAATATCCCTTGTGAAATAAAGGGAGCACCAAGAGGAGGCAACTAAGCCAGCCTTTATAAGAGAGGGTACCAGGGAAGGGTTCCAGGAGAGGGGATGCTTAAAGAGAAATTTTGCAGGTGAAAAGGATTTAGCCTGGTAGAGAAATGCCATATCTTTTGGTGAGGGGTGAATTCTTTTCAGTTTTATTAAAAGATATATATATAATTGACAAATACAAGATGAATATATTCATGACATACAATATGATGTGTGGATATATGGATACATTATAAATGATAGAATCAATCTAACCAACATTTATTTTTATCATTTTATCTCACATATTTATCATTTTTTAATGTGGTGAGAGTATTTAAGGTCTTCTTTCTTAGCAATTTTCAAATATATAATATAATTAACTTTAGTCACCATGTTGTACGATACATCTCCAGAACTCATTCATCCTGTCTAACTGATACTCTATACCCACTGACCAGCATCTCCCGACTCCCTTCCCCACCCTAGCTCCTGGCAACTACTGTTCTCTGTTTCTCTTCATTTTTTTTTGGAAATAATTTTTAGAAGATTGGTATTAATTTAAAAAATGTTTGGTAGAATTCCTGGGCTTTCTTTGATGGGAGATTTTTTAAATTATGGATTCAATCTCCTTGCTTGCTAATGATTTGTTCAGATTTTCTATTTCTTCATGATTCAGTCTTGGTAGGTTGTATGTTGCTAGGAATTTATCCGTTTCTTCTAGGTTATCCAATTTATTGGTATGTAATTGTTCATAGTAGACTCTTATCATCCTTTGTATTACTCTGGTATCAGATGTAGTGTCTTTTCTTTCATTTATAATTTTATTTATTTGAGTATTCTCTCTTTCTTAGTCTAGCTTAAGGGTGTCAATTTTGTTTACTTTTCCAAAAAACAAATTCTTAGTATTCTTGATCTTTTATTTTGTTTTTTCTAGCCTCTATTTTATTTATGTCTGCTCTGTATTATTTCCTTTCTTCTTTGGGCTTAGTTTGTTCTTTTTTTTAAAGTTCCTTGAGGTGTAATTTTAGGTAGTTTATTTGAGATCTTTTCTCTTTTTTAGTGTTGGCCTTTATTGCTATAAACTTTTCTCTTAGAAGAGCTTTTGCTCCATCCCATAAATGTTGGTGTATTGTGTTTCCATATTGGTATATCTCAATATATTTTTTAAAATTTCCCTTTAGATTTATTCTTTTTCCTACTGGTTGTTCAGGAACATATTTTTAAATTTTCATGAATTTGTGAATGTTCCAGTTTTCTCCCTGTTATTGATTTCTAGTTTCATATTAGTGTGGTCAGAAAAGATACTTAATATAATTTTAATCTTCTGAAATTTGCTAAGACTTGTTTTGCAGCTGTCTTAGTCCATTTTGTGCTGCTGTGACAGAATACCTGAGACAAGGTAATTTATAATGGAAATAAATTTATTGGCTCATGATACTGGAGGCTAGGAAGTCCAAGATAGAGGTACTAGCATCTGGTGAAGGCCTTTTTGTCATCCTGTGGTGGAAGGCAGAAGGGCAAGAGAGGGTGAGAGAGAGAGTAAATGGGGACCAAATGCTCCCTTTTATAAAGAACCCACTCCTCAGTGGGTGCAGCGCACTGAGCGTGAGCCAAAGCAGGGTGAGGCATCGCCTCACCCGGTAAGCACAAGGGGTCAGGGAATTCCCTTTCCTAGTCAAAGAAAGGGGTGACAGACTGCACCTGGAAAATTGGGTCACTCCCACCCTAATACTGCAGTTTTCCAACGGTCTTAGCAAATGGCGCACCAGGAGATTATATCCCGTGCATGGCTTGGAGGGTCCTGTGCTCACGGAGCCTCACTCATTGCTAGCACAGCAGGCTGAGATCAAACTGCAAGGCAGCAGTGAGGCTGGGGGAGGGGTGCCTGCCATTGCCGAGGCTTGAGTAGGTAAACAAAGCAGCAGGGAAGCTCAAACTGGGTGGAGCCCACCGCAGCTCAAGGAGGCCTGCCTGTCTCTGTAGACTCCACCTCTGGGGGCAGGGCAAAGCCAAACAAAAGGCAGCAGAATCCTCTGCAGACTTAAATGTCCCTGTCTGACAGCTTTGAAAAGAGTAGTGCTTCTCCCAGCACGCAGCTGGAGATCTGAGAATGGACAGACTGCCTCCTCAAGTGGGTCCCTGACCCCCGAGTAGCCTAACTGGGAGGCACCCCCCAGTAGGGGGAGACTGACACCTCACACGGCCTGGTACTCCTCTGAGACAAAACTTCCAGAGGAACGATCAGGGAGCAACATTTGCTGTTCACCAATATCCGCTGTTCTGCAGCCTCCACTGCTGATACCTAGGCAAAAAGGGTCTGGAATGGACCTCAGGCAAACTCCAACAGACCTGCAGCTGAGGGTCCTGACTGTTAGAAGGAAAACTAACAAACAGAAAGGACATCCACACCAAAACCCCACCTATGTGTCACCATCATCAAAGACCAAAGGTAGATGAAACCACAAAGATGGGGAAAAAACAGAGCAGAAAAACTGGAAACTCTAAAAATCAGAGCGCCTCTCCTCCTCCAAAGGAACGCAGCTCCTCACCAGCAACAGAACAAAGCTGGACGGAGAATGACTTTGACGAGTTGAGAGAAGAAGTCTTCAGATGATCAAACTACTCTGAGCTAAAGGAGGAAGTTTGAACCCATGGCAAAGAAGTTAAAAACCTTGAAAAAGGATTAGATGAATGGCTAACTAGAATAACCAATGCAGAGAAGTCCTTAAAGGACATGATGGAGCTGAAAACCAAGGCATGAGAACTACGTGACGAATGCACAAGCCTCAGTAGCTGATTCAATCATCTGGAAGAAAGGATATCAGTGATGGTAGATCAAATGAATGAAATGAAGCGAGAAGTTTAGAGAAAAAAGAATAAAAAGAAATGAACAAAGCCTCCAAGAAGTATGGGACTACATGAAAAGACCAAATCTACATCTGATTGGTGTACCTGAAAGTGACGGGGAGAATGGAACCAAGTTGGAAAACACTCTGCAGGATATTATCCAGGAGAACTTCCCCAATTTAGCAAGGCAGGCCAACATTCAAATTTAGGAAATGCAGAGAACGCCACAAAGATACTCCTCGAGAACAGCAACTCCAAGACACATAATTGTTAGATTCACCAAAGTTGAAATGAAGGAAAAAATGTTAAGGGCAGCCAGAGAGAAAGGTGGGGTTACCCACAAAGGGAAGCTCATCAGACTAACAGCTGATCTCTTGGCAGAAACTCTATAAGCCAGAAGAGAGTGGGGGCCAATCTTCAACATTCTTAAAGAAAAGAATTTTCAACCCAGAATTTCATATCCAGCCAAACTAAGCTTCATAAGTGAAGGAGAAATAAAATCCTTTACGGACAAGCAAATGCTGAGAGATTTTGTCACCAGCAGGCCTGCCCTAAAAGAGCTCCTGAAGGAAGCACTAAACATGGAAAGGAACAACTGGTACCAGCCACTACAAATCATGCCAAATCGTAAAGATTGTCAAGGCTAGGAAGAAACTGCACCAACTAATGAGCAAAATAACCAGCTAACATCATAATGACAGGATCAAATTCACACATAACAATATTACTGTATTCAGGAGACCCATTTCACGTGCAGAGACACACATAGGCTCAAAATAAAGGGATGGAGGAAGATCTACCAAGCAAATGGAAAACAAAAAAAGGCAGGGGTTGCAATCCTAGTCTCTGATAAAACAGACTTTAAACCAACAAAGATCAAAAGGGACAAAGAAGGCCATTGCATAATGGTAAAGGGATTAATTCAACAAGAAGCGCTAACTATCCTAAATATATATGCACCCAATACAGGAGCACCCAGATTCATAAAGCAAGTCCTTAGAGACCTAGAAAGAGACTTAGACTCCCACACAATAATAATGGGAGACTTTAACACCCCACTGTCAACATCAGACAGATCGACAAGACAGAAAGTTAACAATGATATCCAGGAATTCAACTCAGCTCTGCACCAAGCGGATCTAATAGACATCTACAGAACTCTCCACCCCAAATCAAAAATTATACATTCTTTTCAGTACCACACCACACCTATTCCAAAATTGACCACATAGTTGGAAGTAAAGCACTCCTCAGCAAATGTAAAAGCACAGAAATTATAACAAACTGTCTCTCAGACCACAGTGTAATCAAACTAGAACTCAGGATTAAGAAACTCACTCAAAACCGCTCAACTGCATGGAAACTGAACAACCTGCTCCTGAATGACTACTGGGTACATAACGAAATGAAGGCGGAAATAAAGATGTTCTTTGAAACCAATGAGAACAAAGACACAACATGCCAGAATCTCTGGGACACATTCAAAGCAGTGTGTAGAGGGAAATTTATAGCACTAATGCCCACAAGAGAAAGCAGGAAAGATCTAAAATTGACACCCTAACATCACAATTAAAAGAACTGGAGAAGCAAGAGCAAACACATTCAAAAGCTAGCAGAAGGCAAGAAATAACTAAGATCAGAGCATAACTGAAGGAAATAGAGACACAAAAAACCCTTCAAAAAATCAATGAATCCAGGAGCTGGTTTTTTGAAAAGATCAACAAAATCGATAGACCACTAGCAAGACTAATAAAGGAGAAAAGAGAGAAGAATCAAACAGACGCAATAAAAAATTATAAAGGGGATATCACCACCAATCCCACAGAAATACAAACTACCATCAGAGAATACTATAAACACAGCTACGCAAATAAACTAGAAAACCTAGAAGGAATGGATAGATTCCTTGACACATACACCCTCCCAAGACTAAACCAGGAAGAAGTTGAATCCCTGAATAGACCAATAACAGCCTCTGAAATTGAGGCAATAATTAACAGCTTACCAACCAAACAAAGTCCAGGGCCAGATGGATTCACAGCCAAATTCTACCAGAGGTACAAGGAGGAGCTGGTACCATTCCTTCTGAAACTATTCCAATCAATAGAAAAAGAGGGAATCCTCCCTAACTCATTTTATGAGGCCAGCATCATCCTGATACCAAAGCCAGGCAGAGACACAACAAAAAAAGAGAATTTTAGACCAATATCCCTGATGAACATTGATGTAAAAATCCTCAATAAGATACTGGCAAACCGAATACAGCTGCACATCAAAAAGCTTATCCACCGTGATCAAGTGGGCTTCATCCCTGGGATGCAAGGCTGGTTCAACATACGCAAATCAATAAATGTAATCCAGCATATAAACAGAGTCAACAACAAAAACCATATGATTATCTCAATAGATACAGAAAAGGCCTTTGACAAAATTCAACAGCCCTTCATGCTAAAAACTCTCAATAAATTAGGTATTGATGGGACGTATCTCAAATAATAAGAGCTATCTATGACAAACCCACAGCCAATATCATACTGAATGGGCAAAAACTGGAAGCATTCCCTTTGAACACTGGCACAAGACAGGAATGCCCTCTCTCACCACTCCTATTCAACATAGTGTTGGAAGTTCTGGCCAGGGCAATTAGGCAGGAGAAGGAAATAAAGGGTATTCAATTAGGAAAAGAGGAAGTCAAATTGTCCCTGTTTGCAGATGACATGATTGTATATCTAGAAAACCCCATCATCTCAGCCCAAAATCTCCTTAAGCTGATAGGCAACTCCAGCAAAGTCTCAGGATACAAAATCAATGTGCAAAAATCACAAGCATTCTTATACACCAATAACAGACAGAGAGCCAAATCATGAGTGAACTCCCATTCACAGTTGCTTCAAAGAGAATAAAATACCTAGGAATCCAACTTACAAGGGACGTGAAGGACCTCTTCAAGGAGAACTACAAACCACTGCTCAATGAAATTAAAGAGGATACAAACTAATGGAAGAACATTCCATGCTCATGGGTAGGAAGAATCAATATCGTGAAAATGGCCATACTGCCCATAGTAATTTATAGATTCAATGCCATCCCCATCAAGCTACCAATGACTTTCTTCACAGAATTGGAGAAAACTACTTTAAAGTTCATATGGAACCAAAAAAGAGCCTGCATTGGCAAGTCAATCCTAAGCCAAAAGAACAAAGCTGGAGACATCACACTACCTGACTTCCAACTATACTACAAGGCTATAGTAACCAAAAGAGCATGGTACTGGTATCAAAACAGAGATATAGACCAATGGGACAGAACAGAGCCCTCAGAAAAAATGCTGCATATCTACAACTCCCTGATCTTTGACAAACCTGACAAAAACAAGAAATAGGGAAGAGATTCCCTATTTAATAAATGGTGCTGGGAAAACTGGCTAGCCATATGTAGAAAGCTGAAACTGGATCCCTTCCTTACACCTTATACAAAAATTAATTCAAGATGGATTAAAGACTTAAATGTTAGACCTAAAACCACAAAAACCCTAGAAGAAAAACTAGGCAATACCATTCAGGACATAGGCATGGGCAAGGACTTCATGTCTAAAACACCAAAAGCAATGGCAACAAAAGGCAAAATTGACAAATGGGATCTAATTAAACTAAAGAGCTTCTGCACAGCAAAAGAAACTACCATCAGAGTGAACTGACAACCTACAGAATGGGAGAAAATTTTTGCCATCTACTCATCTGACAAAGGGCTAATATCCAGAATCTACAATGAACTCCAACAAATTTACAAGAAAAAACAAACAACCCCATCAAAAAGTGGGTGAAGGATATGAACAGACACTTCTCAAAAGAAGACATTTATGTAGCCAAAAGACACATGAAAAAATGCTTATCATCACTGGCCATCAGAGAAATGCAAATCAAAACCACAATGAGATACCATCTCACACCAGTTAGAATGGCGATCATTAAAAAGTCAGGAAATGGCTGGGCGCGGTGGCTCATGCCTGTAATCCCAGCACTTTGGGAGGCTGAGGCGGGCAGATCATGAGGTCAGGAGATGGAGACCATCCTGGCTAACATGGTGAAACCCCGTCTCTACTAAAAATACAAAAAATCAGCTGGGCAAGGTGGCAGGCACCTGTAGTATCAGCTACGCAGGAGGCTGAGGCAGGAGAATGGCGTGAACCCCAGGGGGCAGAGCCTGCTGTGAGCCAAGATCACACCACTGCACTCCAGCCTGGATGACAGTGAGACTCTGTCTCAAAAAAAGAAAAAAAAATTCAGGAAACAACAGGTGCTGGAGAGGATGTGGAGAAATAGGAACACTTTTACACTGTTGGTGGGACTGTCAACTAGTTCAACCATTGTGGAAGTCAGTGTGGCGATTCCTCAGGGATCTAGAACTAGAAATACCATTTGACCCAGCCATCCCATTACTGGGTATATACCCAAAGGATTATAAGTCATGCTGCTATAAAGACACATGCACAAGTATGTTTATTGCAGCACTATTCACAATAGCAAAGACTTGGAACCAACCCAAATGTCCAACAATGATAGACTGGATTAAGAAAATGTGGCACATATACAACATGGAATACTATGCAGCGATAAAAAATGATGAGTTCATGTCCTCTGTAGGGACATGGATGAAGCTGGAAACCATCATTCTCAGCAAAGTACCCCAAGGATAGAAAACCAAACACCGCATGTTCTCACTCATAGGTGGGAATTGAACAATGAGAACACATGGACACAGGAAGAGGAACATCACACACTGGGGCCTGTTGTGGGGTGGGGGGAGGGGGGAAAGATAGCATTAGGAGATATACCTAATGTTAAATGACGAGTTAATGGGTACAGCACACCAACATGGCACATGTGGCACATGTATACATATGTAACTAACCTGCACGTTGTACACATGTACCCTAAAACTTAAAGTATAATAAATAAGTAAATAAATAAATAAAATAAAAGAACCCACTCCCGTGATAAGGACATTAATCCATTCACTCTGCTTTCATGGCCTAAATACTTTTCATTAGGCTCTGCCTCCCAACACTATTGCATTGGGGGTTGAGTTTCCAATGCATGCTTTCTGGGGGACACATTCAAACCATTGCAGTGGCCTAACATATGATCTATCTTGGAGAATGTTTCATGTGCACTTAAGAAGAATTAGCATTCTGCTGCTGTTGGGCAAGAAGCATCATATGGAAGAGCCATTTAAGAGATCAGAGAAGTAGAATTTGGTGACCAGGAGTATATGAGAGTAAAGAAGAGGGAGGAGTTTGCATTACTTCAGAAGATAAACTTCTAATAAAGCCTTGAGGATGTAAGTAAGCGTGGTGTATCTAAGCAGGTATAAGTGGTTTTGAGGTTTGGGGAACTTCGTTTTTGAAAAAGGAAGTGACAAGAAAGAAGGCCACGGAGATGGGCAGGAGTCAAATGATGAAAAGCCTTGAATGCCAATCTACAAAAGCAATGGAGAGTCACTGGAATATGCTAAGGACAAGGCACACATTCTGATTTCTGTTACTTATGCTATTGTTCTTTTGGAGATGAAGGGACAGTTCCAAGGAGTAGTCAAGATAAATCATTGGAAGAGATTAGTTAAATTAAATATTATAATTGATTCAATGGGAGGATGTAAAAGCAAGGATTTTGAAAGACTGACTTCTGGCTTGGGTAACCGGGAGGGAGGATTATTAGTACAGCGGGTGCCCTGGGGAGGCGGGAGAGAATGTTATCCCAAAGCTCACTGGAGGAATTAGCTTGTGAAAGGAAGACTTTAAAGAAGGAAGTAAGAAGAGTGCATATGGTGACAGATACATTCTCAGGAGATAACAAATTTAAGTATTTGTGTCTGGGAGCCTCTCTTTTCTGTCACTGGGAAGGTTGAGCCAATGGTTGGGAGTGCCATTGGGAAAGCTGTGGGCAGATAGCAATGGAGATGCTGTAAGTGTGGAGAGGAACCAATCCCCTTGGCTTTACTAACAGACCACAGGATGGGGAGGGGAGGAGGCAAATGGTTAAGCTGATCCAGGGTGGGGCTGGTGGAGAAGGGGTATACTGACTTTCTCAGGAAGGCACCCCTTTCTTTCCCTCATGGCAACTGGTCCACTGTGATTGATGTTCTAATCTTTTCCTCTACTAGATGGTATAATCCCTGAAAGTGGGCACAGTAATATTTCACCTCCACATCTGTCCTCTCTGCTGCTTTGCCTAGTGTTAGCTAATCCTTAAAGTTTCATTGAATGATTGACTACATTATGATGGGAGAATTTAGAGAAATAATAGGAATATTAGGAGGTGGATTAGCACTAAAGCAGTTCTGTGTGATTACTAAAAAAGATGGGGTTTGATCATGACAATGGACTTCTGAAATAGAGTAGAGGTTGAATTTGGGTAACTACAATGTGGCTTGTGTCAGTTGTTCTCCTCTTACCATCTCATAAGGCACTAAACAGACTTGGGATGGAGAGGCAGAATGTGAAGCAGATTCCCTCAGTTCTTGGTATAATCAAGTTAGAGTCAGTTCAGCTCACATTTATTGAACATTTATTATCTAATAATATACACTTACTATATCAAAGCACAGGGCTGTGCTGTGCATTTTAGCATCTGCCAGGAGAATTACAATGTAAGGCATGGTTCTTGTTGTCAGTGTTAACTTACAATCTCTCTAAGAAGCCAAACATGCCCTTCCTATGAGTAAAGGAGTGATTTACACTCTCAGTGATATGGTTTGGCTGTGTCCCCACCCAAATCTTATCTTGAGTTGTAACTTCTAGAATTCCCACATATTGCGGGAGGAACCCAGTGGGAGGTGATTGAATTATGGAGGTGAGTCTTTCCTGTGCTGTTCTCATGATAGTGAATGAGTCTCACAAGATCTGATGGTTTTAAAAACAGGAGTTTCCCTGAACAAGCTCTCTCTTTGCCTGCTGCCATCCACATAAGATGTGACTTGCTCCTCCTTACCTTCCACCATAATTGTGAGGCCTCCCCAGCCACATGGAACTGTAAGTTCATTAAACCCCCTTTTCTTCCCAGTCTCAGGTAGGTCTTTATCAGCAGTGTGAAAATCGACTAATACAGTAAATTGGTACCAGTAGAGTGGGGCGTTGCTGAAAAGATACCCAAAAATGTGGAAGCAACTTTGAAACTACTGGGTAAGAGGCAGAGGATGGAACAGTTTGGAGGGCTCAGAAGAAGACAGGAAAATGTGGGAAAGTTTGGAACTTCCTAGAGACTTGTTGAATGTCTTTGACCAAAATGCTGATAATGATATGGGCAATGAAATCCAGGCTGAGGTGGTCTCAGATGGAGATGAGGAACTTGTTGGGA
Source organism: Homo sapiens (assembly GCF_000001405.40). Classification (NCBI taxonomy): domain Eukaryota; kingdom Metazoa; phylum Chordata; class Mammalia; order Primates; family Hominidae; genus Homo; species Homo sapiens. The sequence continues at coordinate 33,845,131 of NC_000010.11, read as the reverse complement.
ACTGGAGCAAAGGTGACTCTTGTTATCTTTTAGCAAAGAGACTGACAGCATTTTGCCCCTGCCTAGAGATTTGTGGAACTTTGAACTTAAGGGACATGATTTAGCGTATCTGGTGGAAGAAATTTCTAAGCAGCAAAGCATTCAAGAGGTGACTTGGGTGCTATTAAAGACATTCAGTTTTAAAAGGGAAGCAGAGCGTAAAAGTTTGGAAAATTTGCAGCCTGACAATGCAATAGAAAAGAAAATCACATTTTTTTCTGAGGAGAAATTCAAGATGGCTGCAGAAACTTGCATTAAGTACTGAGGAGCCGAATGTTAATCCCCAAGACAATGGGGAAAATGTCTCCAGGGCATGTCAGAAACCTTTGTGGCGGTCCCTCCCATCACAGCCCAGAGCTTTAGGTGGAAAAATTGGTTTCGTGGGCCAGACCCAGGGTCCCTGCGCTATGTGTAGTCCAGGGACTTGGTGCCCTGTGTCCAAGCCACTCCAGCCATGACTAAAAGGAGCCAAGGCACAGCTCAGGCCATGGCTTCAGAAGGTGAAAGCCCAAAGCCTTGGCAGCTTCCATGTGGTGTTGAGCCTTCTGGTGCACAGAGGTCAAGAATTGAGGTTTGGGAACCTCTGCCTAGATTTCAGAGAATATATGGAAATGCCTGGACGTCCAGGTAGAAGTTTGCTGCAGGGGTGAGGCTGTCATGGAGAACCTCTGCTAGGGCTGTGTGGAGGGAAATGTGGGGTTGGAGCCCCCACACAGAGTCTCTACTGGGGCACTATCTAGTGGAGCTGTGAGAAGAGGGCCACCGTCCTCCAGACCCCAGAATGGTAGATCTACCAACAGCTTGCACCATGAGCCTGGAAAAGCCATAGACACTCAATGCCAGCCCATGAAGGTAGCCAGGAGGAAGGCTGTACCCTGCAAAGCCACAGGAGCAGAGCTGCCCAAGACCATAGGAACCCACCTCTCATAACAGTGACTGGGATGTGAAACATGGAGTCAAGGGAGATCATTTTAGAGCTTCAAGATTTGACTGCTCTGCTGTATTTTGGACTTGCATGGGGCATGTAGCCATTTGTTTTGGTCAATTTCTTTCATTTGGAATGGCTGTATTTACCCAATGCCTGTACCCCCATTGTATCTAGGAAGCAACTAACTTGCTTTTGATTTTACAGGCTTATAGGTGGAAGGGACCTACATTGTCTCAGATGAGATGTTGGACTGTGGACTTTTGAGTTAATGCTGAAATGAGTTAAGACTTTGGGGGACTATTGGGAAGGCATGATTGGTTTTGAAATGTGAGGACATAAGATTTGGGAGGAGCCAGTGGTGGGAAAATATGGTTCAGCTGTGTCCCCACCCAAATCTCATCTTGAATTGTAATGCCTATGTTTCCCATGTGCTGCAGGAGGAACTTGGTGGGAGGTGATTGAATTATGGAGGTGAGTATTTCCTGTGCTGTTCTCATGACAATGAATGAGTCTCATGAGATCTGATGGTTTTAGAAATGGGAGTTTCCCTGCACAAGCTCTCTGCCTCTGCCATCCATGTAAAACGTGACTTGCTCCTCCTTGCCTTCTGCCATGATTGTGAGGCCTCCCCAGCCACGTGGAACTGTAAGTCCATTAAACCTCCTTTTCTTCTCAGTCTCAGATATGTCTTTATCAGCAGCATGAAAACTGACTAGTACATTCGGCATCTAAAGCCAGCATGGCAGCCATCAGATCATTTTCCCCAGTTGGTTGGGTACTGACTGGATCAACCTCCTTCAGGTGTGGTCACACTTCCAGCAAGGAATGTGTACCAGAGAATTTGAACTGCAGACCTAGGATGTTGGTGTTTTAATTTTATTTACAAGACAAATAATGAAGATAAACTCTAACAGTGAGCTTTATTTAATTATATACTCTTAGTATCAGGAACAAAAAGCCACGTGGAGAAATAACACAAATTAAAGGTGAGATAAAATGTTAAGAAAACGGGAGAATGTGGTGATAACAGGCATGATAATCTTTGTTGCCAAGCAGGTAGGACTCAGAGTCTCCTACTTGTGGTCTATGCCTTCCAAGCCTCAGTTTCTCCAACTGTGAGGCAAACACACTACTGCCTTCTTCCCAGGCTTGTGGTAAGGACCAAAAAGGGTCAGCTTGTGCCTGGAGTGTAGTGAAAAGTATTCAACAAAGGCAGCTACAAATACACAAGACTGGATAGTGTTTGGTGGAATTGCACTTAGTTTGCCCTTGTGTATAAATACATACTCAGAATATATATATATATATATATATATATAGAGAGAGAGAGAGAGAGAGAGAGAGAGAGTTTTTTTTTTTTTTTTTTTAAGACAGAATCTTGCTGTGTTGCCCACACTGGAGTGCAGTGGTGCAATCTCGGCTCACTGCAACCTCTGCCTCCCAGGTTCAAGTGATTCTCGTGCCTCAGCCTCTCGAGTAGCTGAGTTTACAGGTGTGCACCACCATGCCTAGCTAATTTTTGTATTTTTAGTAGAGACGGAGTTTCACCATGTTGGCCAGGCTGGTCTTGAACTCCTGACCTCAAGCAATCTGCCTGCCTTGGCCTCCCAAAGTGCTGGGATTACAGGCATAAGCCACCATGCCTAGCCCATACTTTTGTATTTTAACTTGAGAAAACACACGATTTGCAAAGTCCTGCTTAGATTATAAACCAAAATTTAATGCTTGTATAATTCGTAAATTCACCTTACCACTTATTTTTTATTGTTAATAAAATATAGTGATGACAATAAAGATCTAATGATGGATGGTACACACCCAACCCAAACTAGGGGGCAGGCCCTCATTCCACACCGTTCTATTTCATGTGTTTAAAGCATTCAGCATATAGGAATTGCTCAAGGGATTGTAGCTGTTACAGTTGTAGCTGCTATTTAGAATTTGATGATTTCCTTTTATGACTGTAATATATAAATGATGTGAAGAAATAAAGCCTTAGTCCTGTTGTGACATAAAATGTGTTTTTTCTTTTCTCACTTAAAGACTAACTGAATTTTTGTTCTGGGAGAATTTGACCAGAGTGTTATGGTAATAACTTCAGTCCTTTAGGAAGCTTGCTTCTGAAATTGTGTTGGTGTCAAGCACATAGACAAATGCAAATGGATTTTGCAGATTAATTTTGTTATAATAAAGAGTGCTCTCATCTAGTTAAAATGATTATGTTTTCACGCTGGTACTTTAAGATGCAATTGCTGATTCAATTTTATGCCTAGTATATTGTTTGTTATTTTAGTTTACTACTTAAATTAATGGTGCTGTGTTTACATAAGCTCATGACTCCTCCCCTTCAAACACTGTTTTTGTAAGGCATTACGCTAGAGGTTTTCTAGAGCAAATTATAACCTAGGGCTTTCTTTATGATGTTGCCATCTCAAACCCTTTGGGGAAGTAGGGGGGCATATGTAAATACATAAATACATGCTGTTAAATATCCAAATAAAAGTAAAATGTTCAGTTTTAAAATGGGTATTTTCTGCATGTTCTCCCTTATAAGTGGGAGCTAAACTTGGGTACACAGACACAAAGATGGGAACAATTGATACTGGGGATTCCAAAAGTGGAAGGGAGGAGGGGGAAAGGGTTGAAAAACTACCTATTGGGTTCTACATTCCCTACTTGGGAGACAGGATCATTAGAAACCCAAATCTCAGCATCACACAATATACCCAAGTAACAAACCTGTACATGTGCCCCCTGAATCTAAATAAAATAATATTTGGGCAAGGTGGCTCACACCAATAATCCCAGCAGTTTAGGAGGCTGAGATGGGAGGATCTCTTGAGACCAGGAATTCAAGACAAGCCTTGGCAACATGATGAAACCCTATCTCTACCAAACATGCAAAAATTAGCTGAGTGTGGTGGTTCACACCTGTGGTCCTAGCTACTTGGGAGGCTGAGGTAAGAAGATGGCTTGAGGCCAGGCATGGTGGCTCACTTCTGTAATCCCAGCACTTTGGGAGGCCAAGGTGGGTGGATCACCCGAGGTCAGGAGTTTGAGACCAGCTAGGCCAACGTGGCAAAACCCCATCTCTACTAAAAACACAAAAATTAGCTGGGCTTGGTGGTGGATGCCTGTAATCCCAGCTACTCGGGAGGCTGAGGCAGGAGAATCACTTGAAACCAGGAGGCAGAGGTTGCAGTGAGCCGAGATCGTGCCATTGCACTCCAGCCTGGGCGACAAGAGCAAAACTCCGTCTCAAAACAAACAAACAAACAAACAAAATATATATATATATACACACACACACACATATATACACACACACACATATACATATATATACACATATACATATATATACATATATACACATATATACATATATACACAGATATATACATATATACATATATACACATATATACATGTATATACATATATACATATATGTGTTTGTATGTGTGTGTGTGTGTGTGTGTGTGTGTGTGTATATATATATATATATAGCTTGAGTTCAGGAGTTCAAGACTAGCCTGGGCAACAAAGTGAGACTCTATCTCTACAAAAAAAAAAAAAAAAAAAAGTAATCAGGCATGGTGGTGCATACCTGTAGTCCCAGCAACTCAGGAGGGTGAGGCAGGAAGATCACTTGGGCCCAGCAAATTGAGGCTGCAGTGAGCCATGATCCTGCCACTGCACTCCAGCCTGGGCAAGAGAGCAAAACCCTGTGTCAAAAAATAAATTACATTACATTATAAAAAAAATAAAAATAGGCCAGGCGTGATGGCTCATGACTGTAATCTCAGCACTTTGGGAGATTGAGGCAGGTGGATCACTTGAGGCCAGGAGTTCAAGACCAGTCTGGCCAACACAGTGAAACCCTGTCTCTACCAAAAAATACAAAAATTAGCCAGGTGACATGGTGTGTGCCTGTAGTTCCAGTTACTTGGGAGGCTGAGGCAGGAAAATTGCTTGAACCTGGGAGGCAGAGGTTGCAGTGAGCCGAGATCACACCACTGCACTACAGCCTGGGTGACAAAGTGAGAACCTGTCTCAAAAAATAAATAAAATAAAATAAAATAAAAGTAAAAATAAATGAGTATTTTATCTATATGATACTGATATGGTTTGGCTGTGTCCCCACCCAACTCTCACCTTGAATTGTAATAATCCCCATGTGTCAAGGGTGGGGGCAGGTAGAGATAATTGAATCATGGGGGCAGTTTCCCCCATCATAAATAAGTGTCACGAGATCTGATGGTTTTATAAAGGGGAGTTCCCCTGCACAAGCTCTCTTGCCTGCTGCCATGTAAGATGTGACTTTGCTCCTCATTAGCCTTCCACCACGATTATGAGGCCTCCCCAGCCATGTGGACCTGTGAGTCCATTAAACCTCTTTCCTTTACAAATTACTCAGTCTCAGGTATATCTTTATTAGCAGCATGAGAACAGACTAATACAGATGCCAAAACACCCAGATTTTTGTCTGTCTTTGAATATGGGGGGCGTTTAGAGTCACATAGATGGAGTCTGAGCTGACTGAGTAGCTGAGTATTTTCTTTATCTGAATTTGGAAAATGAGCCAAACTTATGTTTTGCAAGCAGCAGCCTTGAATATGAACATAGCTGTGCCCTGTTGGTTTTTCTGCCCAGTGATTGTTCTCCATAATTTGTCATTCAAGGAAATTGACTCTCTTGCCTTCCAGAGACTGTGAGGACTTCCTGGAGGCACAGGGATTCTCATTTGTCTCTTGTGGACAGTTTGGTGGTAGGCAAAACCACTGGAGACTTTTCTCTCACAACAGGTGTAGGCAAATGTCACCTGCGTTTCAAACCAGAATACTTAAACACACACACACACACACACACAAACACACACACACACACAGATTCAGAATCTCTGATTTCTTTAAGAATGGGAGAGAAATTTGGGGTAACTGATGAAATCAAAAGATGGTTCTAAATGTTCAGGATGGTTATTAACAATAATAGCTGCCATCTATTGAGTGTTTTCTGGGACTAGATTTTCATATGCGAAATGACAACAAATGAATCACATTTTATAAATGATAAAACTGAGACTCAAAGACATTAAATAACTTGTCTAGGATCACACAGCAAAAGAATGGCAGAGTCAAAGATATACACTAGGATCTGTCAGATTACAAGTCCACTTGAGTTACTATTATTTACTACTGTATTCTAATGGAATCCTGACACATTTGCAAATATGAACTGTAGTCCTCCCGGAGGTGAATTTACATGTGGTAGTTTACAGTGTTTCCTTTGTAACCCTCTCTGCTTTGCTAACAAAAAGCAGGGGAAGTTTCTCCCTTCTCCTGTGAGGGTTTCCAATGCGTTCACTGAAGGAATGTATCCCACCTGCCTGAGAATCACTTCCATCAGAAGGTTTTGTTGACCTTTGTTCTCTTCCAATTACCAAAAAATAATTGCTCCAAAATATCAAATTATTTTATAGCCCTTTGAAATTACATGTAACTCCCCATCCTACCTAGTATTCTGATAAAGCTCTCCTGAATTAAGGGATCTTATCCCTACAAACCCACAATTTATTCTGCTCAAGATACATTGGTTTACATTAACATGATATATGTTATGATTTCTTAACAAAAATTTTTTTTCAGAGACAAGGTCTTGCTCTGTCACCCAGGCTGGAGTGTAGTAGCACAATCTTGGCTCACTGCAACCTCCAACTCCTGGGCTCAAGTGATCCTCCCATCTCAGCCTCCTAAGTAGCTGGGACTACTGCCATGTGCCACCACATCCTGCTATTTTTTTGTTTTGTTTTGTTTGTAGGGATGGTGGTTTCACCTGTGTTGCCCAGGCTTGTCTTGAACTTCTGGTCTCAAGTGATCCACCCACCTTGGCCTCCCAAAGTTCTGAAATTATAGGCATGAACCACTGCACTGGACCTATTATTGATAAAAAATTTTCTTCTTCCTCACACTAGCATTGCTTAGAGAGGATTTCGAATCTGAACCTTGAAAGCCAGCCAGCTAAATTTTAAAGTGATAAAGGAAATGGAGATTCATGAGTTTGCATCTAGCGTCACTATCAGAAAAGCAAAGCATGTGTTCTCTTTATGGTGAATTTAAGGCTGGCCCTGCTTGGAGGTATCTGTACTCTGCAGTTTGAGGGACCACCCAGAGGTCGCATGGGACAGAGTTGCTGTACAGCTCTAGGGGGCACCACTCCCATCTATGTTCCCTTGACCACTTCACGGGACTTGTGACAGGGGTGTGGCTCGTTCACTCAGCTGCCACCACACTCAAAACCCTTGTGGGAGGGGGAACATGCAGATGAGCAAGTGCCACGGCTGGGGCCAGTGCTTTGGGGCTCCGGCCCCACAGCAGCATCTATGTGTATGTTACAATCAATGCTTTTTTTAGCAGTTGGCATCAGTGGATGGCTAAGTGTTAACCAGCTCAGTGGAGAGTCAGGGTGACAGCCTTTTACACCCTGCCCTCTTGGTACCTGGGTTCTTGTTTGGCATCCAGGAAAAATCAGGACACACGAATGGTTTGAAAGGTGATGAATGCGGGATTTTATTAAGCAGTGGAAGTGGCTCTCAGCAGAAGGGGAGCCAGAAAGGGGATAGTGTGGGAAGAAGGTGATCTTTCCCTGAAGCCTGGACATCTCCGGTGGGCTGCTCTCTGAAGTTGTGCTGGCTGAAGTTAAGCCTCATCAAGCCATAGTCTCCAATGTTCAGTTGCTTCTTCTCCTCTTGATGTTCAACTGCTTCTCTCTCAGCCAGCTGAGGTCTGGGGTTTATATGGGCACAGGATGAAGGGGTGGAGCAGGCCAAAAAAGAAACATTTGGGTTGGAAAACAGGGATGACTGTTCTCATTTAGGGCTTTGATTTCCAGGCTTGAGGGTGAGGACTTTCCCAGGGAACCACCCTCTTCTACCCAGTATTTCCCTGCCTCCTGTCCGTATCAGAAGGAGGACGAAGAACATGTTCACTTGCCAGAATAAAACTTCCTTTCTTCAGAATTCGGACTGGCTCCCTGTGAGTCAGCCACACCCTGCTTGTGCTCCTTGGCTCCATTAGAAGGACTGCACCTCGTTAGAGCTCTTTCGATGGCATGCTGATATGGAGAGGCAAGAATTTCCAAAAACTGGAAAGAGAAACACTCCTGGGCTTTAAATGTCTATGAAGTGGAAATTATTAAAATCTTTCTGGGGTACCTAATATGAGACAGGTTGGGGAGATGTAACTAAAAATGACAGAGTCTTAGTATCTTTGGGAGACCTTTACAGGTCCTAGACAGCTTCCATCAATGACTGGGCAGTCTATTCTCTTTTTTTTTTTTGAGACGGAGTTTCACTCTTGTTGCCCAGGCTGTAGTGCAATGGCGTGATCTGGGCTCACTGCAACCTCCATCTCCTGGGTTCAAGCAATTCTGCTTCAGCCTCCCGAGTAGCTGGGATTACAGGCATGCACCACCATGCCCGGCTAATTTTGTATTTTTCAGTACAGACAGGGTTTCTCCATGTTGGCCAGGCTGGTCTCGAACTCCTGACCTCAAGTGATCTGCCTGCCTTAGCCTCCCAAAGTGCTGGGATTACAGGTGGAAGCCACAGTGCCCGGCCCAGTCCATTCTCTTAATCATCACCATCCATAAGTCTCGAGGACTGGCTTGGGGTTGACCTTCTTTGTAACTCACACTGAGGCAGCCAGGCAGCTTTATGCTCTCCTGTGGGGCACGGCCTCTCCTTAGTGGAACTGTTCTGGGGTTCACCAGAGACTGTAATTGCAAAGAACTGGCTGGTCCACAAGAAACCCAGGTTGAGGGTAGACACAGGCCTGTCTCTGTGCTGAGGCTCCTGGCCGGTATATACTATATTAGGGGAACAGATTCTTTATCTAGATTATTTTATCTCCTCTGGCATTTTATACGACCAGGAATGTTTGTCGTTTTATGTTTGTTTGTTTGTTTGAGAAGGAACTATTGATTATAATGTTCTGGCTAAAGGCAGACAGATGTAAAGGATATATAAACCAAAGCAAGAGCAGGAGTTCAGTGTGCTGACTGGTGAGAACAAAGACCACCTACCCCCATGCAGTCTGTGGTCCACATTAGCTTGAGTTTAATATTCATTCCATTGTTTTCATTAGCATAACTTTACTATTTCAATAGACTCTTATCCCGGCAAGTAACTTGTTTGTTCACTATGGGAACGATGGACAGGAACTATCAGCTCTTCAATAGAAGCATGAACAGTTTTCATATTGAGACTGTTTAACCCCTTTGCCTAAAATTCCTCCTCTTTTTGTTTCCACCAATCCTAAACTACTGCATCATGATCATTACTCAATTCTAACTAAGCCTCCCCTGTTACTGTCCCTCATTGAAAGACCCACCTTAAGCCCAAATGGATGCACTGTGTGAAGTCTTTTATTCTGAACTTCCTTTGTCTCTCTAAAAGTAGAACCTCCCCAAAAGACTTCAGCTGCCATAAATCCCCTCCGTAGGAGTTTCACAACCAGAGGACAGTGACACCTGTCAGTGGACACTAGAAGTTTGCACTGGGATAAAACATTGTCACAAAATGATCAATCTTTTCTCCTAAGGGCCCATGTATCTTTCCTAAAAGTCACTTGTTTTCCCATACGTGCCCCTTCTTCCCTTCCCCTTCCCCTATTAAGATTGTAAAGGCTGGGCGCGGTGGCTCATGCCTGTAATCCCAGCACTTTGGGAGGCCGAGGCCGGTGGATCACGAGGTCAGGAGATCGAGATCATCCTGGCTAACATGGTGAAACCCTGTCTCTACCAAAAATACAAAAAATTAGCCAGGTGTGGTGGCAGACACCTGTAGTCCCAGCTACTCGGGAGGCTGAGGCAGGAGAATGACGTGATCCCAAGAGGCAGAGCTTGCAGTGAGCCGAGATCACGCCACTGCACTCCAGCCTGGGTGACAGAGTGAGACTCCATCTCAAAAAAAAAAAAAAAAAAGGATTGTATATAAGCCCCCAGTGCTAACCACATTTTTGAGTCACAATTTTCTGTGAACTCTTGCATATGTAGATGAATAAAAATCTGTCTTTTTCTGGTTTTTGTTAGCTTATTTTATTTATTTATTTATTTATTTTTTAGATGGAGTTTTGACTTGTTGCCCAGGAAGGTGCCATCTTGGCTCACCACAACCTCTGCTTCCCAGGTCCAAGCAATTCTCCTGCCTCAGCCTCCCAAGTAGCTGGGATTACAGGCATGTGCCACCATGCCTGACTAATATTGTATTTTTAGTAGAGATGGGGTTTCTCCATGTTGGTCAGTCTGGTCTCAAACTCCCGACCTCAGGGAATCCGCCCACCTCGGCCTCCCAGAGTGCATTTATTTATTTATCTTTTTTTTTTTTTTTGAGACGAGCCTTGGTCTGTTGCCCAGTCTGAGGTGCAGTGGTGCAATCTTGGCTGACTGCAACCTCTGCTTCCCAGGTTCAAGTGATTCTCGTGCCTCAGCCTCCTGAGTAGCTGGGACTACAGGCATGCGCCACCATGCCTGGCTAATTTTTGTATTTTTAGTAGAGATGGGGTTTCACCATGTTGGCCAGGCTGGTCTTGAACTCCTGACCTCAAGCAATCCCCCCGACTTGGCCTCCCAAAGTGCTGGGATGACAAGTGTGAGCCACTGTGCCTGGCCTGGTTTTTGTTAGTTTAATTTGCAGGTCCCCAAACATGAACCTAAGAGAATGGAGGAAAAGTTTTTCCTCCCTGAGAAACCAAACTTCAAAATCTTGGGAAAATCCAAATGTGCCCTTCCCAATCCAAGACGCCACCAAAAGTCTGTGAAGATAGTGTCCCTACCTCACTGTGGGAGCAATAAAAATGTCTTAGCAACATGGTGCTGGTGATATGTGGAGAGCCAGCACCTGACACTGCATTTCAAAAAGTGATAAGAAACCTCTTATATAATCAAAGGCTTCCACTCAGTTGGAATAGTACCGTCCTACTGGAAATCACAGAAAAACTCCCTGTGATCAACAGACCATTCTGGAAAATACTTGAAACAGATTTCTTCCCGAAGTAAAGGAGGTTAATTTGTGATAACTGAAAACTAATGGAAGTTGAGGGTATTGATGGAAAGCCATAGAATTCATTAGATCCCAAATAGAGATGGAGTTACTGTGCTTTGATTTGTAAGGCACTAAATGCCCTGTAAGATATTAATTCTACTATTAAACAATTAGTTTGAAGACTGAATATAGCTCATCCCTCACAAACTTGGATCACAACAGATTGGCTGAATTGCATTCATGAAACACTTGTGGGTTTAGCAGAGTTCATTAAATAATTTGCCATAGCTCCACTGGCTGCTCCATCTGCTCCTCTGAATACTAATCGTGTGGCAGATAATGAAGGAAAGACCTGTGCATAATGACAGGACTCTGCCCCTGTCCTCTTCCCAGGGGCTTACCAGCGCCCAGCAACAGTGGAAGAGCAAACCTTTAGGAAGAGATGGACATCTTGGCTTCCTGGATACTAGCGACAAGCCGGGACAATCTGCTTCAAAAATTCAGCGACAATCATTTGTAGAACATTTTTCTGCCTTTTACATTGAGTTAAAATGATAGCCTGGACTCTGTTCTTCCCCATAATAATAAGGCTGTTATTTCAATGTGCAGCCAAGAAGGTCAGCCTAGTTTCAGAGCTGCTGATTGGTACTTCTACCAGAGGCACAGTACAATTTAAATAATTATTATTTTGCCATTGTAATGAAAATTGGTTACCTAGAAGAAAACAAAGACTGATTTTTCAACTCGGAAAGATATTACAAGGGATTACAACAGAAAACATGCAAAGAACACAGTTGACAACGGTCCTAGATTTAGCAGGATGATATAAAGCAATTAATAAAATTGATCATAAGAATTAAGCTGATTAATAAGAAAAATATAAAGAAATTGATATTATGCTTTGGCATGGCATGATTAGATTATATTATTTGGAAGAGTCAAGCCCACTCCACTGAAATTATTTTACCCAAATGATTTTTAAATCTTCCAGGTATTTATTTATTTATTTATTTATTTTGAGATGGAGTCTCACTCTGTTGCCCAGGCTGGAGTGCAGTGGCGTGATCTCGGGTCACTGCAAGCTCTGCCTCCCGGGTTTACGCCATTCTCCTGCCTCAACTTCCCGAGTAGCTGGGACTACAGGCACCCGCCACCACGCCCGGCTAATTTTTTGTATTTTTAGTAGGGACGGGGTTTCACCGTGTTAGCCAGGATGGTCTCGAACTCCTGACCTCGTGATCCACCTGCCTTGGCCTCCCAAAGTGCTGGGATTACAGACATGAGCCACTGCGCCCGGCCTCTTCCAGGTATTGTAAATGGCAAAAGTTTTAGTAACTTCATTCACAGATATAATAAAGACAATACAAACAATGTTAAGGGTAGTTATGTAGCAAGAAATGATATAACACAGATAAAGAAAATGAAATTATGGCCTTGTGAGATTCGATCTCAGGTACCTTAGAGAATTGGCACTAGGACTGGTTATCAGGCCTGAGAAAGGATGAAATTGCTCTTAAGGGGTTGTACTGCACAGAAACCAAAATGACATCAAGCTTCAATAATTCAATTATAGGGAAGGCTGAATATGATGGGTTTGTTTCCAGTAGAGCACAAGAGAGTTCTGGTTGGTGTCTTAATTGCTGTTTTAAGATAATGAAGAGAATTTTTAAAAATTCAAACGGCCTTTTCATATTTGTCCAAAAAACACAAAGTAAGAGGAGATGACATGGCAAAGTCCAACGTATTTGACAGTTGACACAAAGGACGCTTTGTTTGAGAAAACATCAGAAGGGAGGCTATTAAGAGCTGGAATAATACCAAGGGAACTAACAAGAAAAAAGAAAAAGAAACAGAAAGAGAAAGCATGAGAAACAAATAGGCAGAAATAAACAGAGACTAGATAGTGCCAAGGTGTGTGTGCCTGACACAATAGTTCTTTTCTTTTCCTAGGACATTTGAGATTCTAAAGAAGAGAATGACTCCATCCTGCTCACACCACAGCCAAGTCAAAAATGTGACTTTCAGGAAGGATGGGCAATGACAGAAATCTCTTGTGAATGAGGATAATGGGCAGTCAATTTCACTCCTGCTGAAATTCCCAAGATCCATAGTAAGGTCTGTTTCTGAGCAGGAAAACCTAAGCCTCCTGTGTGCAATGCTAATGTTAATGATTCCCTCCCACCCTACCCTTCTACTGTTTCAGAAAACTGAAGGCAGAAAAGCAAGTCTTCAAGGCATGTTTCCCAAAAGCCATATTGGTAGAAGGCTTAGGCATTGTCTCCCAATTAAATACATCTGGACTGACTTGATTTTAGATTGAATTTGACTAAATTGTTTAAATGTCAAGCAGATACAGCTCTACTGTGTCCTTGGAAACACAGCATCTTCTAAGCTGCCGCTCCATCCTCTGCCTGCAAGAGAGGGGGGTTGGTGGGGGTGAGGGGAGCCCATTCTAATCGACAGCTACTCCTTGAGCTCAAGCCATGCATTTGGTTCCATGGCACAGAACATTATAAAGGCATGATGCCTATTTTCAAGAAGTTTATAACAGTGTGGAAACATTTATTTTCCTTCACATGTTATATTAAGAACTCCTTAATGGCAAATGGCCGTGCTGTACTCATCTTTGGTCAGCCCACTTCCAGACTGAGCATTAAAATGTTTGAGAAAGGAACAACAGCAAAGTGTTCATTATAAGAAGCAAAAAGATCCAAGCCAAAATAATGAGGAAGCCAGAAGACAAAACTCAGGACAAACTAGAGTGATAAGGAAATGATTTTTTGAACTTGAATAAATGAAGAGGCATAGTTTGGGGGGTTTAAACCCCTTGTGGGTGGGAGAAGTGTGTAACTGTTTTCTTAGAGTTTATAAATTGATTCCAAACAAAATACCCCAGACTTCCAAATGTTACCTATTAGAATTTAGGAGTGACAGCATCGTGCAGTATAATTCTGTAGCCTGCAAATGCTTGTTCCCCCACAGTCACCAATACAGCCTGTTGAAAAGACAAAGCTGTGTTTTGTGTTTATCACAGTAAGGAAGGACACCGATAAGGGAGCTCTGGTTGTGCCCTGGAGCAGGAAAGGCAAAGTTAGGTCTTATTGAGGTTTCAGGTGCGGTTTAAGGTAGGTCTTTCAAAGCAGGGGCTAGATTAGAATTGAGTAAGGATCAGGATACAATAGTCTAGAATTGGTGGAAATAGCCCCCAGAGGTTTTGAAGTGAAGAATCTGAATGTTGCCCAATGTCTCCCAGTGTAATGCCTACGTGACATAGCTGAATGTCTACATCTCCCTAACTCTGGAACAGGAAGGCCTATGGACAGAAGTTCCTCCTCAGAGAAAGAATCAGCTAAAGCCATTTAGAACCAAGGTGGCTGACTGAACAACCTCAAATAGACCTCGGACTTCATTATAATCTAATTTCCATGCTAAATGACATTCCCACCAGTGCCATGACAGTTGACAATCACCATGACAGTAACAGGAAGAAACCATAAAGGGACAAAAAGAATGCGGTACTCTGGTTCTGAGAAGTTCACTGCCCATTCCCAGAAAGGACACAAATATTTCTCCTCTCATTTTTAATGCCCAACCCCTTCATTAGAGAAAACTGTACATATTTTCCTTGTATTTTTTAGCATTTCTTTTTTTTTAAATTTTACTTTAAGTTCCAGATACATGTACTGAATGTGCAGGTTTGTAACATAGGTATACATGTGCTATGGTGGTTTGCTGCACGTATCAACCCGTCATCTAGGTTTTAAGCCCACATGCATTAAGTATTTGTCCTAATGCTCTCCTTCCCCTTTCCCCTGACCCCCCGACAGGCCCTGGTGTGTGATGTTCCCCTCCCTGTGTCCATGTGTTCTCATTGTTCAACTGCCACTTATGAGTGAGAACATGCGGTGTTTGTTTCCCTGTTCCTGTGTTAGTTTGCTGAGAATGATGGTTTCCAGCTTCATCCATGTCCCTGCAAAGGACATGAACTCATTCTTTTTTATGGCTGCATAGTATTCCATGGTGTATATGTACCACATTTTCTTTATCCGGTCTATCATTGATGGGTATTTGGGTTGGTTCTAAGTCTTTGCTATTGTAAATAGTGCTGCAATAAACATACGTGTGCATGTGTCTTTATAGTAGAATGATTTATAGTCCTTTGTGTATATACTCAGTAATTGGATTGCTGGGTCAAATGGTATTTCTGGAAAACTGTGTATTTTAACCCCTTGCCTCTCACAGAACGGGAAGTTGATATGAGCCGTGCTCCTGCTTCTCCATTCCTTGGCCATTGAATGAAGTCTCCATGGCCTGATGCTCACTTTTGGTTCTATGGATCAACTCTGTGGCACCAGACAGGAAAGAATTCCATCTTTTGGGAAAAGCCAACTCAGCTGTAGCATGAAGAGTCTCAGGATATAAAAGGCAGGTTGCTGCTTCCTATTGAAGGGTTGATGGATGTTTCAGAAAGTTCAGCTAATGAACAATCACGTTATTTGCCTGGGCAAGAGTTTCTAGGAATAGTAAAATTATGCTTATGAAGACAGTGGAATTGCAAGGTCATGTTTACATAGACAGTAAACTGGGTGGATGGGCAGGTAGTTTTGGTCATCAGTGCCCAAACTGGGTAGAGAAATATGGTTTGGAGTCTCAAGTTGCCTCAGGGAATAGCACTAAAGGAGATGCCAGGGATTCCGGTGAATATTCTCTCAGGACCATGGAATGATCTGACCTGCCAGCCCATACATACACAGTCTCTCCATCGCCTCACCCCCCCGGCACTATTTTAACACTACTTCATCCTGAAATACACTATTAAAATAATTATAGTTGTGGTCGGGCGCAGTGGCTTACGTCTGTAATCCCAGCACTTTGGGAGGCCGAGGCGGGCGGATCACGAAGTCATGAGATCGATACCAGCCTGGCTAACACAATGAAACCCCATCTCTACTAAAAATACAAAAAACAATTAGCCAGGTGTGGTGGTGGGTGCTTGTCGTCCCAGCTACTCAGGAGGCTGAGGCAGGTGAATGGCGTGACCCCGGGAGGTAGAGCTTGCAGTGAGCCGAGATCACGCCACTGCACTCCAGCCTGGGTGACAGAGCAAGACTCCGTCTCAAAACAAAAACAAAAACAAAAACAAACATAGTTGCTACTTGTGATGTACCCATCATGTGCTAGCCCCTTGATTTATTGATTCCTTTCGTTCTTCCAAGAACATGGCACAGTTGAGAAAACAGGCTCACTGTGGCCTTTGCTACCACACTCAGCTCAGATGCTGAGAAACGGAAATCACACGTGCCTGTCTGCATTAGTATGACTTTGCTATTCCACTGTCTTCATTAGCATACTTGGCTTTTCCAGAGAGTCTCTTGCAAGGCAGATGGTTAGTGTGTTCATTACAGGAATTTACCAAAAGACCTATCAACTCTTCAATGAAAAAGTATTGACAGACAGTTTGTGAAACTGCCCCCACAGGGTTGACAAGAATTGCATTCCGGGTTCTGGACAGAAACATAGTTATAATTAAGCATTCGTCAGGCTGTGCTATAGCCCACTTCCTTGTTGCTAAAAGTCAGGTAGCACCAGATCCTGACTATTTGTATCCCCCTTGTTCGGGGGATAGAGGACCTCTGACTTTAGAATCATAAAGCTTTTGCTTAAGGATTGCATAAGATGTTTTTCAGACCCTACATTCCAGCTACCAGTTTGAACACCCCCACAGAGGAATGGGATCAGCCTGAGAACACAGCTTCTTCACATTAACATTCAAACTCTTCACTTCCAACCCCGTGCTGGCTGTTTCCACCAGTTCTAGACTATTACATCCTATCCCCCATGACTTCTTCACCCTGCACTCTCCAACTTGTCAACAATCTCCACACCTCAGCCCACTCCGAAACCCTTTAAAAACTATAGCCCCAAGCTCCTTGGAGAGATGGATTTGAGATTTCCTCCCATCTCCTCATTTGGTGATGCTATGATTAAATTTCTTTCTTTGCTGCAACCTGGTGTCTTGGCATATTGATTTGCTCTGAGCATGAGGCAAAGGGCCTATTAGAGTTACATTTGTGTTCTAAAATTCTTGGAATCCTTGGTCTTAAAATTCTCATCTCTCTCTTTCTACAATCCCTAGACTGTTGTATTATGATCCTTACGCAATCTAAATCAACTTTGAAAAACCTGCTTGAAGTCAAACTTCAAATTCTCAATAAGAACCAACTTTGCCTCTTCCCTCTAAGACCCTATCTGAACTCTGTGGCGGTAGTCTTCTTCACTGTGGTAAGCAATAAACTTGGCTTTGTCTTACCAAGAGGTCAGGTTACACAACACAAGAGATATCCACAAATACATGACAGATAAGTGTTGGAGCTGGGATTCAACACCAGCTTTACTTGATTCTAGCACCTTCTTTTTCTAATTTTAAGTTCCGGGATACACGTGCAGAATGTGCAGGTTCATTACATAGGTAAACGTGTGCCATGGTGGTTTGCTGCACCTATCAACCCATCACCTAGGTAGTAAGCCACACATGCATTAGCTATTAGTCCTGATGCTCTCCATCCCCCTGCCCCACCAACAGGCCCCGATATGTGATGTTCCCCTCCCTGTGTCCATGTGTTCTCATCGTTCATCTCCCACTTACCAGTGAGAACATGTGGTGTTTGGTTTTTCTGTCCCTGTGTTAGTTTGCTGAGAATGATGGCTTCCAGTTTCATCCATGTCCCTGCAGAGGACATGATCTCATTCCTTTTTATGGCTGCCTAGTATTCCATGGTGTATATGTGCCACATTTTCTTTATCTAGTCTATCATTGATGGGCATTTTGGTTGGTTCCAAGTCTTTGCTATTGTGAATGGTGTTGCAATAAACATATGAGTGTGTGTGTCTTTATAATAGAATGATTTATATTCCTTTGGGTATATACCCAGAAATGGGGTTGCTGGGTCAAATGGTATTTCTGGTTCTAGATCCTTGAGGAATCTCCATGCTGTCTTCCATGGTGGTTGAACTAATCTACATTCCCACCAACAGTGTAAAAGCATTCCTATTTCTCCACAGCCTTCTAACACCTTTTTTCTTAAAACTACCTACAGTGTTTCTCCTAGGGGGTGTTGGGACTAAGAATTCTCAGAGAGATGTGAACAAAAATAAAACTTTGTGACCAAAAAGCAAACATGAAATCCCCGGAGTCAAACCAACACCTGAAAGTTATTCCACCCAGGCAATTTTCTGTTGCATTAGATACAAGTCTATGTGATTATGTAACAGAAAATTGACTCTGCAAAATAACTATAATTGTACCATCTGACAAGTAAACTACATGAGAAAATAGTGAATTCCTTTTAAATGAATACCTTGTAAAGGCATAGAGGGAAGAACTAGATACGTATAGGTCCTACTTCTATTTTTTGCTGACAAACACCCTTTGTCAATATTCTCTTACCAGCTATTCATTTTAGAAGGCGTCAATGTTCTTTTTGTTTGTATCCTGTTTGCTGTCTGGTACAATTACAGAGTAAATTAAGTTGGGTACCACAATATTATTATGTTATCCACTCTACTGTAAGCCGTACTTAGGTTTGTAAGACATTTCTATTGTAACCCCAAGTTTCACTCAATTGGAACTTTCCAAAACATTATTGTCTGGAGTTAAACTTTTCTTTGCTTCTTCTGAGGCCACTTTTTTTTTCTTTTTGGAACATAAGAAAAAGATTGCCTGCAGCTGCTTCTGAGTTATTGGTGAATTAAGTCAAAAAGGCTATTTCCATTGTAAAATACTTTATTTTATGATCTCTGCAGAACTCAATGAATAAAAGTTATCCCAACAGAAACCCTCAAAACACTGACTTATGTAAAAGGCAAATTTATGACTACATTCTGATAGTTTTGGTTTCTAGGTGAAGAAAACAAAACAACCCTATTTCATTAAGATAATAAAGCAAATGACAAATTCGGTAAACTCAAATGCTTAGCTTTTGTAAAAAAAAAAAAGGGGGGGCAACGTTCTTTACTTATTGGCAAATATTTACTAAATGCCTACTTTATGCCAAACACTATGTTTCTACTTCGTTTAACCTGTCCAATACTCCCAGTGGGGTAGGTATTGTTTTGCAGATGAAGCATAAAGAACACAAATTAGAAAAGCTAGATAAAATTAACATTTTTAGTAAATTAATATAAATTAACGTTATACATTCAATGAACATTTGTTAAGCACGTACTATGTCCCATTAAGACTTCAAAGATGAGGAAGACACACATGCTTCCTGCCCTCATACACATTATAAGCATTTCAACTGAAGAGGGCCAAGTATCTCTAAACTGAAGAATGCATGTTCTACCTAATTCTATGCTTGCTTCTGTGAAAGATACAATCTTATTGGGGAAGGTCAGGGGATAGGACCTCTTACACAATTTAGTGACAACTAACATTGCCAAGGGAATGGTAATTATAATCTACACGAAAATTCAGATTATACATATCTTGAAATATCAGTATTGGAAAGACACGATTATAATAAAACTGTGGCTGACCTCAGAATCATGATGTTGGTTTTAGAGCTAGAAGTAAATAATTGCAGAAGTAAATAATCTAGTTTTGTCATCTTCAAAGTCTACTTCTAGGTGCTCTACACGATGGCGAGGAACTTAGATGGGGAAAAGACAGCAGGAACAAAATGTAAGAAGGCTCTGTCCTCTGTCTCAGTAAGAACAATCCTGTTATGTTTTATATATCACTTTATAATATTATTGGAAGAAAGAATTTTGCTGTGAAAAGGGGGGATGACATTTCAAAATCACTTATCTAGTCTAAATCCTTCCTATCCAAACTTTTATATCCACTGTATAATTTCTCTCTGTATTTGGTGAAATAAAAAAATGAGAATAATTAGATTAAGGAACGATCAAGACAAGAATTTCAGATGTGATCAGAATTAATGCAGATTGTCATCTTACAGATCTTACCCAAGAATTAATTTCGATGTTGAAGAAGCCAAGAGGATCATACAGTTCAAGAGGCATGGGTTTATTCAATTCATTAACAAGGGATTTCAAACCGGAGATGGAGCTAGACGATAAAACATCCCTTAGGGGAAGACCATGGAAGAAAGAAACTACTTACTACAAAAAAGGGCCTCCCACACATGTAAGTCAGTGGACCCAGGATAATCATTTATCTTGTTCAAAAGCATCAAAGGAAACCAACCAGATCACCTTTCTTCATTTTCCAGAGACAATTGTCCACCATGTGAATGGAAGCCATTCTGAGTCAGAAGACCCCCTACTGTCAGATAAAAAGATGTTATCAAATCCATGGAAAGAATATCCTGGACCAAAGGGCAATTTATCAAGATTAGGAAAGTTCTTTAATCATCTAAGCACAGATGTCTAGGAGAAACCGCATTCTTCATGAGACAGTGTGCCTTCTGAATAGCCAGGCAACAATTACTTCCTATAGCACTTTGCAGCTTTGGAAATAACTGTCAACCCTTTATCAATGTACACAGCATCTGAACCCACATCCATGCCTATGACAAGTGGGAACCAATCATGCTAGGTTGTAGGTCATATGCTCCGTAGCAGAACTGGACTGTCCAACGGTCAGACATAGGAGACAAAACACCTCGGGGCAAGACCAGGTCATCTTCATCATTCTCTTTGTCCCTGGTGCCTAAAATTATGCCTAGTACTGCTACCCTAATTTAGTGGTGATTTGCAAAGTTGTTTTTATCCAAGAATATGATCTAGGTTGCATATGGTTTGATATATTGTACTTGGGTTTGATAAAACAATGCTAAAACAAGTTCAGCAACACGTAAGATATTTGGCCTCAGAGTAAGCCACATATGTGATTGGATTAGAAATGTACTAAGAGGACCCCTTTATTAAAAATGTGTCTTCCATCTTCTGTGGTATCATCTGAAAGCTCATTAAGCAGAGCGGTGGAGTGGAATAAGCATTGGATTTGGCTTCCAACTTACTTAACCCCAAACCCCAGATTAGCCAGGAACTTGTGTGACCTTGAACAAATTCCTTACCTCTCTGAACCTTAATTCAAATATTTGAAGACAATTCCTATTTAGTAGAGCTATTAAGAAGTTTAAGCAAGGTGGTATGTGAAGGGCCTGACCCATGAGAGCAGCTCAATACATATTCTTACTGCTGTTATTAATTTATTCATTGTGATAAGATGACAATTGGATCCACAGAGACCTCTATTAAAGGGTCTAAGAGAGGCCAATGCTTGAGCCTCAGTTAACACCTTTGCCAGGTGGAAGGTGTCAGCATCATGGAACCAAGAGTCGGGACCAAGAGCCAAACAAGGCATTTTTGTTTGCCGATTCTGGATTTCTCCTATTATTCTCTTCCACTTCGCAGGAATCAGCCCCTTCTCTAAATGCATTGACTTCCTTTCAGGCAGCAAGGATTACAGAAGCTGCTGCCCGTGGCTATCAGAGGGCACTTCTATAACCATAACAGATCCCTTGCCCAGATCACACACGCACAGCAACTCAATATGCCTGAGACGCCAGGTTGCAGCAAAGAAAGAGGTTTCATATTAGGGCTGCTAGAGGAGATGGGAGAGACCTCAAATCCATTTCCCCCAGGAATTTGGGGCCATGGTTTTTAAGGATTTTGGAGTGGGCCAAAGTGTGGAGATTGTTGATTAGTCAAAGAGTGCAGAGT
The DNA here is from genome assembly GCF_000001405.40 of Homo sapiens. Classification (NCBI taxonomy): domain Eukaryota; kingdom Metazoa; phylum Chordata; class Mammalia; order Primates; family Hominidae; genus Homo; species Homo sapiens. The sequence continues at coordinate 33,823,430 of NC_000010.11, read as the reverse complement.
GAAGTCATGGGACAGGGAGATGAAGAAACTGTGTTCTTGGCCAGACGCGATGGCTCGCACTTATAATCCTAACACTTTGGGAGGCTGAGGCGGGCGGATCACCTGAGGTTGGGAGTTTGAGACCAGCCTGGTCAACATGGTGAAACCCCGTCTCTACTAAAAATACAAAAATTAGCTGGGCGTGGTGATGCACGCTGGTAATCCCAGCTACTCGGGAGGCTGAGACAGGAAAATCACTTGAACCTGGGAGATGGAGGTTGCAGTGAACTGAGATCACGCCACTGCACTACAGCCTGGGCAACAAAGCAAGACTGTCTCAAAAACAACAAACAAACAACAACAAAAAAAACCTGTGTTCTCATGCTGATCCCATTCTCGTGTGGGAGTCTTCAAACTGGTTGGTGTCAGCTGTTTCACCGGAATTCCTGTTCTGAAAAACATCTTAAGCAATTCTTGAACAAAGGCCTTATGATTCTAACCTCAGAAACTCCATCTATAAGAACAATGGAGATGTGAGTGGTCAGTATCTAGTGCTATGTGACTTTTGGTTACAAGGAAGTGGGTCAAAGTGCAGCCTGATTAATGCTTAATTATAACTATATTTCTGTCCAGAATTCTTGTTAACCTTGTGAGGACAGCATGGCTTCTGCTTAGCATGTGCCTGTGAAAATGTGACCACTAGTTCAGCTTGAGTCTCTGGGGTTGCAGTTCTAGTTTATGGGGATATTTTAAATGTGAGTGGACCCCCTAGGCAAGACATTCTTCTTTAATTTCAGTATTTATAAAACCTATGGAAACTTTTATCAATCTCATGGTTTTTCTAGGGGGAACGAAAGCATATGAAGTCTTTGTTAATAAAATGAAATAAATAAAAATAAGGTTGTCAGATGTTTTCATGGCACTAATCACAGAAATAGTCCGTTTTTCTCTTTATTCCTGTAATATTATCAAAACTTCCTCTTTTGTAAGATTGGGATATGAACTCTTTAAACCACCTTAGGAGTCATGCCAGCTTTTTAAGACTGTAAACATGTCACAAGAGCACATTTTCCAATAATGTTTCTTTGTGGAAAGACCATAGTTGATAGGACTCCTAAACATAGAGATCAGAATGCTTCCATATTTTTCGTGTGATGTAGATGGATTATCTAATCATCAATGTCAACTCAGGAATCTTCTACTAATAATTAAAAACAGAAGAGAGAATCAAATGTCACAAAACAGTGATTTTACTTTCATGTTTTGTGTCAGAAAAGAATTTCTATAACAAAATAGGTACCAATTTTCATGCATGGACTGTGCGTAAAGAATTTTGATGCTATTTTGAGAAATCTTTAAGTATGGTCTAATCATTAAACTTAAGGAGAAGGTGAAATCTTACCTCATTTTACAATTCTAGATATAATGATAGCCTTCTGTTATGCAAAAAACAAAAAGAAAGATAGGGTAATAAAGTGAAAATATTTTGAATAGCTATTAGAGAATGGGATTTGAGGAACTGTGTCTAATTAACATCTCAGATAAGCCATATCTTATCTGAATTTTTGAATTTATAAGTGACATTGATAACATTTCATAGACATGACATACAAAAAATAGCCTCTCATTGTAAATGAAGATTTGAATAAGGCAAAACTAGAAAATTTTCAGTTGCTTGTTTGATTTCTATAGGTGAACTTTAATAATGTATTGTGTACTCTGTGAAAATATGAATAAATTTATTGATATCTTTATAAGGAATATCTTTATTTTAATGGTTTGTTTTTCAAATGAAATTTTCAAATGAAATTGATGAATAAGAATGATTGTGATTGAGACTGGAAGTTAAAAATGATCATGTAGTTCTCTATATTCAGTTTCATCATTATATTGTACAAATGTTTATTATTTCATTATGAGCAGACCAGGGATAATGGAGTATCATTTTATGGAGCGGTTTTTAACTTACATTTAATTTCAGATATGATCTTTTCTACAAAGCTATTCTTTGAGCAGGTGTTCATTTAAGTGGGCTTTATTGTGTGTGTGTGTGTGTGTGCGTGTGTGTTTGTCTATGTGTTTTTGCATAAAATTAAACAGCCAAAGCAATACAAAGCAATAGACACTAAAAATGTTTGGCCTTAACATCTTAACTATTTTAATTATACCTTTTAAATAGGTTTAAATGCAGTTAACTCACATTTAACCAAAACACATCTTTCAAGAATAAACACAAACCCAAACTCCAAAAGTCCCAACACCAACTGCTACTAGAAATTAAAATCCTCCCAAAGCACAAATGAATATGCATATGAATAAAGAAACATTCTCATTATTTAAGGTGGTGGTGGTGGTTTGGGGGTGGACTATTTCTTTTAACAGTAATGCCTAACTATTGTCTTCTGGTTGGTTTATTGACATTGATTATTTCCCTATGTTTACACCTTTAAGGAGATTGCATGTTTTCGTCTTTAAGTCAAAATTATATATTTACATAGGCTAACAGCCGTGCATCTTGAACCACGTCACAATGATGTCCTTAAAACATTCACAGTAAAGTAAGAATTCAGGATGTTTGATTAATCCTCATGGGCTTTTGTAACCCCTTTTCTCTCCTGCATCAGCTCCCAGAGCCTGCAAATCTTTTGACTAATCCATTCACTAGGCTGTCTTAAATAGGAAACTTGGGTCTCAGTGAGGTCTGATTATCCTAGAAGGTAATTGGGCATTCGCCTCTTGACCTGAAATAAACTTGCTTTTTCCAGTGTGTGACCTTACGGCTCTTCCATCTTGGCTGGAGGCCTCCTAGGAATTCACTTGGTCTGTTTTTGAGAAATGATCCTACTTAAGGGTTGATCTCTATCTAGAACTGGTCAGAGAACCAGAGGGTCTCTTTCAATATCATTTGTTACATCACGCTAATTTGCCTGAATCTCTATGATGAACTTGAAGAGCAAGCTGGCAGCTGCAAGACATTTGGAGCCCTGTGCCAGGCCCTGCAAAGCCTCTCTGAAGGCATGTTCTGCAGCCAGGTGCAGTGGCTCACACCTGTAATCCCAGCACTTTGGGAGGCCGAGGCAGGCAGATCATGAGGTCAGGAGTTCAAGACCAGCCTGGCCAACATGGTGAAACCCCCGTCTCTACTAAAAAAGAAATATTAGCTGGGTGTGGTGGTGGGCACCTGTAATCCCAGCTACTCGGGGGGCTGAGGTAGGAGGATAGTTTGAACCCAAGAGGCGGAGGTTGCAGTGAGCCGAGATTGAGCCATTGCCCTCCAGCCTGGGCGGCAGGGTAAGACTCCATCTCAAAAAAACAAAAAACAAACCCCCACCCCCGGCAAAAAAAAGAGAGAGAGTTAGAACCAGGCCCTTATAGAAATCACAATGTCGGCCAGGCGCGGTGGCTCACGCCTGTAATCCCAGCACTTTGGGAGGCCAAGGCGGGCAGATCACCAGGTCAGGAGATGGAGACCAGCCTGGCTAACACAGTGAAACCCCGTCTCTACTAAAGATACAAAAAATTAGCCAGGCATGGTTGTCGGCGCCTGTAGTCCCAGCTTCTCAGGAGGCTGAGGCAGGAGAACGGCGTGAACCTTGGAAGCGGAGCTTGGAGTGAGCTGAGATCACACCACTGCACTCCAGCCTGGGGACAGTGCGAGTCTCTGTCTCAAAATAAATAAATAAATAAATAAATCACAATGTCACCAAAGTTGCAAAAGTGGGCACATCTCATGTGTACTGAGAAGAAATTACTAGGATCCACCTCATATGGTTTCAGTCTAAGATTTTGTACTTTGTGTGAAAAAAAAAAGAACCTAGAGGAGGCTCTTGTGAGCTTTTAGGAAGGAAGTTGCAGGAGTATCTGGGTGGTTGCTGCTGATTTTGGTTCTCATTGTTTTCAGGCAGGTGCTTGGCCCCTTCTTGCCAGGCAGCCTGGTGTTTTGTCTTATTTTTTTACTGGGAAACACATTTTAACATCTGCAAGTCATTTGTAACCAAGTGATCAGCATCAGGTTTTCATGTATCTTCTGCCATTCTTTTACCCATGACAAACACATTGATTTACCATGACGAACTTTCAAAAACTTTCTCCCTTTGGCAGTGACTTGCAGCAGGTCTCACTAATAAAAATGCATTCTTGATGCTCTCAGCCTGAGTGAGAGAAAGAAAGTTCTTTTCCATTTTGCTGTTCCTTCTCCCAAAGAGTTATTTTAACAGGAATAGCCACACAAATTTGCCTAATTTAAGAAGTCATTTTTTTTACCCTTCTTTTGTTTAAGGTTTATTATAGTCATATTTATATTTTTCAGAATTTTGTAGTTAAAAACCAACCAGAAAAAATCCCATAAAAAAGATTTCTTAAAATATTTAAAAAAAAACACACTTAAAAAATTTTTTTTTTCTCTGAGGCAAGATCTTGCTGTATCCCCCAGGCTGGAGTGCACTGGCACACTCACTGTAGACTCGAACCTCCTGGGCTCAAGGGATTCTCCCCACTCAGCCTCCTGAGTAGCTAGGACTACAGGTGTGCACCACCATGCCTGGATCATTTATTTTTATTTTTTGTGGCAACAAGATCTTGCTGTGTTGCCCAGGCTAGTCTTGAACTCCTGGCCTCAAGCAATCCTCTTGCCTCAACATCTCAAAGTACTGGGATTGTAGGCGTGAACCACCATGCTTGGTTTTTGCTTCCCTCTAATAATTTACAAAATCGCTCCCTTCCTCTGTTGTGTGTCTAACCTACTTGGTGGTTTGCACTGACAATAAACTAACCACATCAGGTAAAAAATGGTAGAAACGAGTTGCCTCTTTCAAGCCTGCCCACTGGGAAACACAAATGAAAGCTGAAGATCTCACAATGCAGTGAGACAGTTTTCTTTTATGCAACACTTTTTATACAACACATTTGTTTCCCAAATGTGTCATGGTTTTTATTGTAGTTATATATAGTTCAATGTAGTTACAGAATTAAAGGTCACAGCAGAGGAGAAAAAAAGGAAGTGGAAAATAGATATCAGAGAAGGACAACACTGATGTAAATAATTACAGAGGAAGCAGAGTAAAAAGGACAAGAAAAGAAAATTGAGACTTGTGGGGAGTAGCCTAAAAAGGTTCACATGTTAGAGGTGATATGTCTTTTTATACAGGGTCTTGGGAAGGTCAAGCATTAAGAGGTGAAAATACAAAAAGAGAGATAGAGAGAACACTTAAATCAGAGGGAAAGATAGCCCAAATAAATCAACAGATAATGTCTGGAACAATGAGAAATACTCATCAGACTGAGTGTGATGGGAAGAGGGGCCTCAATGCTGGGGGGATGGTGAGACATCCTTAGGGAGATACGTGAACCATGTCGTTCAAGGCCAGTGGGAACAGGGAATTGATGGTGACATGGGTGTTCCTTAGGCAAGGACAGAAGCCCAGAAGTACAAGTTCTTGGTTAGTTCAATTTATATATTTAGAGGGCTCCCCCAGTTTGCCCAACTACACTTAATTTTTTTGCTTCATTTCTTTCACTGTCTGCAGGTCCTTTACTCTGGTTCATGTGCTTAGCTTTATCTCCCTTTTCAATTTGGCTTTAGATGGAGAAAGAAAGGGGAAGTAAAGACAGTACAAAGTGGGTTCACAAACCAGTGAAGAGTACAGATAATTACACTTTGAAGCCCTCCGCAAGATAGAACATACTTAGGCTTAACAGCTAGCTGGCTTAATCTCATGAATGCCTGACCATGCCATAACTGAATTTGCCTTGCCTTGAAAGCAACGCGATTAATATCTCCCTTCAATTTTCCTGGTCATCTTAACTACAAATAAACACAGTTATACTGCTGATATTAACTTTAGAGGTCTTTCTTTGGTGGTTATAAGCATACAATTTACAAGTGCCCTGAACTAAATGGGACCTTTTCAGATATTTATGATGAGAAATTTTTGTTTTTAATTACTGAAAGCATATGATAGCACAGTATATAATAATGCATATGCAAAGCCCAAAATGCATGAGTTAAATTACAAAAATCTTCCTTCTCTCTTTCTGTGTGTATACATCTATATAAAACATTCATATATATATATATATGTATACATACATATATATATATATATGTATACATACACATATATATATATAAAATTAAACCAAACTGATTTCTTTTCCCAAGTCCTTTGGATCAGATCAATAGCATTATAAGGAATTCTGGCCAAGAAATAGTTGGTCACAGCATTTTTGTTAATAATGCCAAATGTTCTTGCCCAAGGGAGAGAAGAATGATTTCCAGACATAAACCCTTCTACAGTATATATAGTGAGGCTATAATGGTTCCTTTTGTGTCTTGTTACCAAAAGCAAGAAGGAACCTCATTTCATCCATGTTGACAAAATAGAGGTGCTGCCTCTTTCATGTTTTTGAAGCAATCAATTTCAGGTGGTCAGTGCTAGTTCAATGGGTGTAGAAAAATCATATACAGGAGCCATGCTTTCTAATAGTCACACCTACTATTGAAAAATATATGGGCTCTGAAGTTTTTAGAACTGGATGATGTATAACAGACATTAATTGCTTCTCTATAGTTTCTAAAAGAAAGAAAGGGTGAGGATTAGGATTTGTGAGCTACAAATTAGAAGGAACCCATTTGGAGTCTTCTATCTAAACCTGGTATAATTAGTGCAACATTTTTCTATGGATCAGATTTTGGTAGCATTAACTTATAAGTCAAGAATTATTCTGACCATCTCTAATGTCTCAGTTCATTTCCAGTGTCTCTGTTTTGTGATACAGGAAAGAGAGCAGGTGGTGGTATTCCACTTTTAGTGTGTGAAAATTTCTGCAACCAAACCAGTCAAGTATTTGCCTTCTGTCAATTCCGTCAAAAGACTGTTGACAACATTTCATTCTTACCTGCACCAGGATTTACTCATCTTCGCTTATGATTCTGGTGAAACCAAAACCTGGATTGGGTTGCCCAGGTATATCAGAGGCCCAAGTTAAATTCTAATTCCTGCCTACTGAATATTGATTTAATCATTAGGCATGAATTTACCTTTGCCAAGGCACAGGAGACAGTGAAACTTCTCTCCAACTTCAGGTTGCCAGCACCTGATTCTGAAATAAAGATTGCAGAAAATGATGTGGAACACTCCTTTGTAGTAAAGGGCAGTGATAAGGTGTGTCAAGGCTGTCTTAGGCAACCCTTGCCTGTGGGATAGGGAAGAACAGATGCCTTTGAGGCAGGAGAATAGGGCCTAGAGGCAGGGAACTGAAGGCCGATTGACTTCCTAGAACTAAATCAAAAGGAAAACCCCAACTTTCCACATCTAAGTAAAAAAAAGACCAGAGACTTTTGCAAACCCCCGACCTTTTTCTGCAAGGCAGATGGAAAATTGAAAGTACCTCTGATTGGTTGCTTTCCATAGCCAATCAGATTGCATAGGATGTAACCTTTGTAACTTTACTTCAGCCTCTGATTGGTTGCTTCCCCCAACCAATCAGATTGACTGTGGGCCACTACTTCGTCTGCATAGGGTGTACACCAAGTGGCCAATGGGAAACCTCTAGAGGGTATTTAAATCCCAGAAAATACTGGCACTGGGCCCTTGAGACCCTGTGATTGGCTTCCTTCCAACATATGGAGTGTACTTTCGTGTTCAATAAATCTCTGCTTTTGCGGCTTCATTCTTTCTTTGTTTTGTGCTTATCCAATTCTTTGTTCAAAATGCTAAGATCCTGGACACCCTCCACCGATAACTCTTTTGGATGGCTTTCTACCTACTTCTCCCCTTCCCAATTCCTCTCATTTCAAAACTTAGCAGGCCCTCAGATGTATGTGTTTTCATAACACCTTGTGTCACTTTTAGGTTTTCCATTTTTATCGCATGTAAAAAGTTAAATATGAGAAGAGGGCCTATCTGCCCGAGAAAGCTATAAGCTCATGGAGTAGGAAATGTGCTTTGTTCAATGCTGTTTTCTGTATGCAAAGCAGAGGATTCTGTACATGCTAAGCGCAAAAAAAGAAAAAGTTCCTCCGTTCACTGAGAATGGGGAAGACAGAGATTCTTAAGAACGAAAATAACATATGAGAGCACTTTTATCAAGGCATCATCCAAAGTTAAAACAAGGGGCAGACGACCAAAATCCCAGCATCTCTGTCTGTGTTTCTTCTAGACCAGTTATGGATTTTCTTTGCAACGTTACACATTTTCTCTGCATGTATGACTTTGTTTTTAGATTTTTATTTGATATAAGTTTTTTTGAGAAGGGGTCTCCCTTTGTCACCCAGGCTGCAGTACAGTGGCATGATCTTGTCTCACTGAAGCTCATGCAATCCTCCTGTCTCAGCCTCCTGAGTAGCTGGGACTACAGGTATGCACCACCATACCTAGCTAATATTTTAATTTTAATTTTAATTTTGTTCAGACGTAGTCTCACTGTGTTGCCCAGGCTGGTCTTAAAAACTCCTGATCTCAAGTGATCCTCCTGCTTCAGCCTTCCAAAGTGCTGGGATTACAGGCATTGAGCCACCATGCCTGGCCTATTTAATGTAATTTTAAACATAATGAAAAGTTGTAAATATGGTTCAGATAACTTTTGTATACACTTCTCCAAAAACATTACTTATTGCTTACATTTTAACCCAATTTGTTTAATCATTTACCACTATTCCCCTTCTATCTCTTTTAAGAGGTATTATTTGAGAGTGACATATAGTCACATTATGGTGACCCTAAATACATAAGGGTGTTTTTTTTAAAAAAAGGAAATTCTCTTACATTTGTACATCTCTGTATACAAAACAATGATGAAAACCAGAAAACTTGCTTGATGACTTGCAACATAGAGAATAAAATTTAAAAACCCAGGAAACAAAACATTGGCATAATAATACCATTTGATCCACAGTCCATATACGAATTGCATCAATTGGCCCAGTAATATCCTTTATAGGACTTTTTTTTTCCTAGCCCAGATCCAACCTTGGGTGATGAGATTCATTTAGTTGTTCTGTCTCTTTAGTTTTTTTCATCCAGAGCCCTTCCTTAGTCTGTATTTGTTTTTTGTGACTTTGCCATTTTTGAAGCGTACAGGCCAGTTGCTTTGTAAAATATCCCTGGATGTATGTTTATCTGATGTTTCCTTGTGAGGAGGTTCAAGCTGTGAATTTTTAGTGGTAAAACCATAGAAGTAATGCTGTATCTTTCTCAGCGCATTGTGCCATGGAGTAGGTGATGTCCCTTGTTCCATTATTGATGATGTTAACTCGAATTACTTGGTTGAGGTGATAGCTGCCAGGTTTCTCCTTGCATGCAGTTTTTCAGGGATCTTAATTAGATAATACACATTTTGAAGATATAGCTGAGGGAATCAATGATTATGAAGGACAGCTTGGAAGATAAGTAGGCCATTTCATCCTTTTAACTCTAAAATTGACTCTTGTTTTAAGCCAGACCATAAGATAATCCACGGACCTGGACCAAGATAGGCAGGCCATGTGTAGAATTGCTTTACCTGGCTGCATTTGGTTTTGTGTCATTGGCTCTATTGCATAATAAAGAATTTTTCTGGTCTTTGTCTAGGGTTCCTGGCATGGAGCTTCTAAAACCCTTGGAATTTACCAAGTGATAGGGAGTATTGTTGTTATTTGAATGCCTGAGATTATGCTAATGAGATGGCCCAGGAACTGGGTTGGTTACCAGAAAGACCAATCTTGTGATCAGAGGGTTGGGGCTTTGAGATAGCCTGACCTCCGGGGAGGAAGGAAGGCTGGAGATTGAGTTATCAATCATGCCTGTGCAATGAAACGCCAATAAAAACTCTGGACACCACTGGCAAAAGTCAGTAGAGCTTCCTGGTCAGTGAATAGATGAATGTGCCAAGAGAGTGACATGCTCTAATTCCACAGGGAGTGATATGGTTTGACTGTGTCCCCACCCAAATCTCATCTTGAATTGTAGCTCCTGTAATTCCTATGTGATGTGGGAGGGATCTGGTGGGAGGTAATTGAATCATGGGGCAGGTCTTTCTCATGCTGTTCTCATGATAGTGAATAAGTCTCACAAGATCTGATGGTTTTGTAGATGGGAGTTCCCCTGCACAAGCTCTCTTGCCTGCCAGTATGTAAGACGTGGTGTTGCTCCTCCTTTGCCTTCCACCATGATTGTGAGGCCTCCCCAGCCATGTGGAACTGTGAGTCCATTAAACTTCTTTCCTTTATAAATTACGCAGTCTCAGGTATCTCTTATTAGCAGCATGACAATAGGCTAATACAGGGAAAGAACATGGAAGCTCTGCATTCAAGACCCTTTCAGGCCTTGTCTGATGTGTCTCTTCATGTGGCTCATTCTGATTTGTACTTTTTTGCAATAAAACTGACCAAAAAAGTAGCACTTTCCTGAATTCTGTGAGTTGTTCCAGTGAATTATTAAGCCTGTGGGGCCATGGGAACTCCCTGGATTAGTTGCCAGTAGACAAAAGTTTGGGTGACCTGGGGACACTGCTTGTGGCTGGCATCTCAAGTAAGGGCAGTCTGTGTACCATGCCCTTTAACATGTGGATCTGCACTTAACTCCAAGTAGTTAGCGCCAGAATTAAATTGCAATAACAGCAATTGGTGTCAGAACAGGCTCTTACAGAGGAACATTACAAATAGTTTATAGGCTGGGTGGGGTGGCTCACGCCTGTAATCTCAGCTCTTTGGGAGGCTGAAGTACTTGAATCCAGGAGGCAGAGGTTGCAGTGAGTCAAGATCATGCCACTCCACTCCAGTCTGGGCAAAACAGCCAGACTCTGTCTCAAAACAAAAACAAACCCCCCCCAAAAAAGTAGTTTATAATAATATTTGAACTTGATAAAGTTTTGATTACAAATAATGTTCACATATATATGTGTATACATTATTTACATATATAAATGTGTAAGTATGGCCAAGTGCAGTGGCTCACACCTGTAATCCCAGCACTTTGGGAGGCAGAGTTGGCAGATCACTTGAGGCCAGGAGTTCGAGACCAGCCTGGCCAACATGGCAAAACCCTGTCTCTGCTAAAAATACAAAGAAATCTGCCAGGCATGGTGGCACATGCCTCTAATCCCAGCTACTTGGGAGGCTGAGACATAAGAATCACTTGAACCTGGGAGGCAGAGGTTTCAGTGAGGCGAGATTGCACCACTGCACTCCAGCCTGGCAACAGAGCAAGACTCCATCTCAAAAAATAAAAAAATTAAAAACTAAAAAATGTGTAAGTATGAATTATACATATAATCTGTCAATGAAACTTTAACTGAAAAAATATCATTACATAATAGTTTCACAATAGTTTCATTCTCTTTAATTCTCTAGCCCAAATACTGATCCAAAGCTACATTAGAAAATTCGGATCTTCCATTTTTACTTTTTAATGAGCTGCCAAATATTTACTTAAATAAAACTCACATTTGGTTTTGCCACTTTATTTGAGGAAAATGATGAGTGATTGGTAGGAATTGTTCTAAGTATGACTGGTATGTTCTAAGTATGATTGGTAGGAATTGTTCTAAGTTCGATATGGAAAGTTTATTCAACCATGATTTCCTTTGATCAGAGTCTATGTTAGATAATACTTTGTGTCCTACCAAATGAGAAAGCTTCTCACTGGAAGAATAAAGTAGACCCTTCCACACATGTATTGTTTTTCTTTTAGATCAATATGTGAGCATTTAAAAAAGTTGTTCACTGGGCGCAGTGGCTCACGCCTGTAATCCCAGCACTGTGGGAGACTGAGGCTGGCCGATCACTTGAGGTCAGGAGTTCAATACCAGCCTGGCCAAAATGGTGAAACCATGTCTACCAAAAGTACAAAATTTAGCTGGGCGTGGTGGCAGGTTCCTGTAGTCCCAGCTACTCAGGAGGCTGAGGCGGAAGAATCTCTTGAATCCAGGAGGCAGAGGTTGCAGTGAGCTGAGATTGCGCCACTGCACTCCAGCCTGGGCAACAGAGAGAGACTCTGTCTCAAAATAATAATAAGAAGAAGAAGAAATAAAAAAGTTATTTAAAGATTCATAGGGATGGAAAGAACTCCAGAGGTCTGAAGTTTGTTGCCATGTCTTTGGGAAAAGTTAGACTCAAATGAAGATGCTGTTTTACACTTAAAATAAAAAGCACAGTGAAATCTGGAATGATCCAATATCTCTCTTTTGCTTGGCTTTTGTTGCTGACATTGTAAACCAGAACTGGACTTCTGCTTCAGACTCTTCTCTGAAACATGAGGCAGTGAAGGCCGCCAAGGACAGCCAAGGTCAGGGGCACTGAGCTGGGGTTAGCTTTGGCCGCCTGCTATTCAGGAGGGAGACTTCTTTTGAAGATATCCTTTCTATAGGGAGGTTATTACTAAGACCATTCGTGGGGGTGGGGGGTGGGGTTCTTGAGCAAAGGCAATGTGGAACAATATTTGATTTTGTAACCTGAGTTCTGACTCCACTCCTGAACATTTTGGGCCTGGCTTGCTGACCTGGGTGTTTTTGGTGGACTGATGGAGTAATGAACTGGGAGCATTTTTGACCTGCTACCTGTGAACACTTATTGGAAGCCTGGAATAGAGGGTGATTTCTCCAGCTGTTTTGTGGATGGAAAGGAAGGAGAAAGTATTAAATACCTACTCTGTGCCGGAAACAGTTACCTCATTTAATTCGTAACCCAAGCTTGTGAAGTACATTTCTTCAATTTCTTTGTTAAACAAATATCTTGTGAGGCCCTACTGTGTACAAAGCATGGGTCAAAGTGCCGGGAACTCAGAGGTCCTTGTCTTTTTGGATTTTGTGGTCTTGTGTATTTCATCATTGATATTACCTTAATCAAGTTTTCATTAATTTGGAGCATTATATTTCTGCCATAAAATTAATATACAGGAAGGTATGGCTGGGTGCAGTGGCTCACACATGTAATTCCAGCACGTGGGAGGCTGAGGCGGGCGGATCACTTGGGGTCAGGAGTTTGGAACCAGCCTGGCCAACATGATGAAACCCCATCTCTAATAAAAATACAAAAATTAGCCGGGCATGGCAGCACCTTCCTGTAATTCCAGCTACTCGGGAGGCTGAGGCATGAGAATCACTTGAACCGGGAGGCGGAGTTTGCAGTGAGCTGAGAGCATGCCATTGCACTCTAGCTTGGGCGACAGAGAGAGCATGCCATTGCACTCCAGCTTGGGCGACAGAGTGAAACTGTGTCTCAAAAAAAAAATTAATATACAGGGAGGTAATAAATAAAATATGTAAGGGGTAAGGTGGAAAGATAAGGAGAAAATAATCTGTTTTCTCACGTTTTCATATGAAGCAAGGGAAGGTGGAAAAAAAGAGCTAAAACCAACTTCTCTGATGTTTGAATGGTCCATAGTGGGCCTTGCCATTACCTCTGTTACCTGATAACAGTTGGCCTCTGAAAGTAGTTGTTCATCATACTCCAGTGAACTTTATTTCAAGATCAGCCTGTCTATTTCACAGGACTGATCTCCTTCCAGACTTCAGATGGGAAATGTCAGCCCTCTTGTCAAGATCGCTAACGCTGAAATTCTTGGGATAGCGCAGATGCTCTAAGCAAACTGGAATTGACTGTGTGTCTGCACCACTGTCCCCAAGGCCACTGGGAAGAGGCAAAGACAGCTCTTCTCAACCACTTTTTATGGTAAAGTAGGCCAATAAAATGATGATATAAATCAGGAATCATTTCTTTGCTAAAGGGTTTAGTGGGCATATTTAATTTTTTTACTTTTTGAGACAGAGTCTTGCTTTGTTATCCAGGCTGTAGTGCGGTGGTGCAATTACAGCTCACTGCAGCCTCCGCCTTCTGAGCTCCCACCTCAGCCACCTGAGTAGCTGGGACCACAGGCGTGCACCACCATGCCTCGCTGATTTTTTTTTTTTTCAGAAGCGGTTTCACTGTGTATGCCCAGGCTGGCCTCAAAATCCTAAGCTCAAGCAATCCACTAGCCTCAGCCTCTCAAACTGCTGGGATTACAGGCGTGAGCCATCGCACCCAGTTAGTGGGCATATTTAAAATGGAAAGGAGCAGCTGGCCATGGTAGCTTATGCCTCTAATACCAGAGCTCTGGGAGGCCAAGGTGGGAAGATCACTTGAGGCCAGGAATACAAGACCAGCCGGGGCAACATAGAGAGACCCAGTCTCTACAAAAAATTTTAAATCCTGAATCAAAGACCAGAGGGGAAAATTCAAAAAATAAAAAATTATCTGGGCGTGGTGGTGTGCATCTGCAGTCTCATCTACTCGAGAGACTGAGGTGGGAAAATCACTCGAGCCCAGGAGGTCCAAGATGCAGTGAACTATGATGGCACCACTGCACTCCATCCTGGATGACAAAGTAAGACTGTTTCTAAAAGAAATAAAAAATAAATGAATGAAAAAGAAGCAAGAGTTCTAGTATTTATGGAGAAATTCAATCATCTGTTTTTCAATCTAAAAGCTTGAGAATGAAATTCCTGTAATCATAGGCATCAGGACTGACTTCTGGGCTTCGGAGATGCTGGTCTTCAGCTTCTTTATCAAACTGACATCAAATTGAGTAATACAACAAGGGCCACCTTTCCCCAGTGTGTGTGCATTAGGATGTCCTAAATATGACACTGTCCAAGGAGATTTTACAGCTCTCCCACATGTCACCACGTGGATGTCCTTCTCAGATACTTGACTCTGCCTGGATACGTTTCCGCAGAAGCCTGTCCTTCCGCCTGGCCCAATGTGGCAGCAAGAGAATGAGCATCACTTTCATGTTAAATGATCCTGCCTGAAAGTCATTATATCTGAATGTGTGGATGTGTCCTGTGATTTTGCGTGCCTGAATGCTCCTTAGCTGACTCATAAGAAATTTTCGAAGTTGTTTGCTGTGTCCCCCAAGTCTGGCTAGCATGCAGGGATGAATGCTTTGATCCGATGAGCAGGACCTACTGTAATTTGCCGGGTGCTAAAATTAAGCTTGGCAATAGCCTACGGGGTCAGAAAAATTTGTCCTGGTGACCTGGGGCTTCCAGAGACACACAGACAGGCAGGAAACAGGTGAAGCAGAACTGGGGAGGAGATGCCCTTCCAGAACTGATATGAAAAATGTCCAGGATGAGCTTGTGAAGGAATTGAAAAGGGGGATGGTGGTGATCTTAGCATGCAATGTTATGAAAAGGCTGGGAGAGGGAGGGAGCTGTTTTCTCAGGAGACTGAGACCTGAAGAGACTGCTGAAGAGACACTGTATTTGTCACAGCAAGAATAATCAGTATGTTGGCATTTGGACTCTGGTGACAGGGATGAAAATGAGATTCTGTGAAAGACACATCAGAGTCAATAGGCAGGAGCTTGGCTATGGCAGGAAGGATGAAACAACCAAATTGAGACAATTTTCTGAAGAAAGTGAAATTGCCAATAATTGCCTCAAACTGAGTATGTAGGGTAGGGGGGGATGTGGGGTGCTTAGCAGAAAGAAGGGGGAGCTCAGTCTCCATTGTGTTAACTTTGAGCAGCTGCTGAGGCCTCCTGGTGGGAACGCCAGGGAAACAGTTGGATAGATTACTGCCCAGAGGGAGACAATGGCTTTTGGATTTGTATGGCCGTCGGATCCAGCACACTGACTCTCTCTTTCTCTTTTATAACTTAACGTGGCTCCATGTGACCTTCTACCTCTGCATGCGTACTTCATGTGATCGAGACTGAGCCACGGGTGAGAAAGTTTGTAAGAGATCTGCACTCAGTGACACATTTCAGCAGAGCTCTATTCACTAAAAATAGGGGTGAGAACCATGCCTTGCTTAGGCCAGCTTGTATGTGACTTCCGGATTTCTATTTATCAACAGGCTTTGACTTGGTGCAGCTGCGACAAATTGCATGCATTATTATTTGTGTGTCAGCCAGCGAATGCCCATCTCACACGGGGCCACTGGTGAGTGTCAAGTCATGAGAATACCAATAATTCTTATATTTCCGAGGCAAGTGCCCTATAGAGAGGACTCTAAAAGCATCATATAATTGCCCACAGGATGCTCTAATGAGATAGGAAGGGAGAAAGAGCTGTTTCCCTGTATTATCTTTGGAAACTGGAGACATAGGTTAAGTGAATTGTCCAAGATCAAACAAGAATGACAACTGGACTCCTTCTCACCTCTCTCAAAAAGTGGATTTTCTCAACCCTGATCTTATTTCCTGTGAATAATGTGCATTGAAACCTGCATTCGGAGACCACCTGCTCAATCCAATCTCCAGGAGCTTCTAACAGGCATTAAATGGGAATAGAACCTCTTTCAAGGGCCAGAAAGATCACTTCTTAGAGGAAAATTAATCCTTAATAGGAAACACATCCTGAGGCTGCTGGGGGCCTGGGGAATACAAGGTCTCTGGGTGATGCTTGAATCAGTTTTCACACACAAACGCACATGTGCACACACACACACACACACTCCCCCTGCCTCAGATTGTTTAAAAGCTTATAGAGCTATAAGAGTTAGGAGTCACACATAGAGCCCCAGGATCTCATTTCATGTGCTACCTTAAAAGTCAGTGGGGAGTGAAATAGAAAAACTTTGCCATAGGACAAGACACAGCCATGTAGAGCCATGGGAAGGAAATGGAAAAGACCATAGCCAGACAGACATGTGAATGTGGAGTCTGAAGAGAAACAAAATGGCAAAGCGCCAACACTTTGGAGAATAAATGATGCCTTTTAGGCCCCAGAGCCTGGGACAGCATTAATGGTTTATGGAAACGCCACCGTGCCAGTAATGGATATTGTCAAAACTGGGTTTGATTTAGTGGTAGAACAGTTACTAAATGCTATGGTCATTTTTAGCATAAGCTTTAATATAGATAGATAGAGATAGCGATAATACATAGATATAGATATATACATAGATATAGAGATATACATAGATATGGATAGACATAGATATATAGATGGATATAGATAGATATAAATATATAGATAGATATAAATATATACATAGAGATAATACATAGGTGGATATATAGATAGATATATATAGATATAGATAGATAGATAGATAGATAGATAGATAGATAGATAGATAGATTCAAAGACAAGGTCATTATCCCAACACCTCTTTAGAAAACAGGACCATATGATTGTAAAGGGAGATAGTATTTTTATTATTTAAAATTCATTTTCAGATACTATTTAGGCCTGTGTCTTCAAATAGCTTCCTTTCATCTTCCCACACTCATATCCTATCATTATTCTATGTGAATGTGTTTTGAGATCCATATTGAGAGGCTACCTACGTGATCCAACTCCAAAAACCTCTCGTAGACATTAAGGAATCAAAATACTGCTTCTCTAAGGTGATGGTAAGCTCATTTTTATAGGAAAATAGAAGCTTACTAAATCTGCTGAAACAACTGGTATTTTCAGTCCTCATTTAGTTTCTAGGGAGAAGGTCATCTCTTGCTGACTATTGCAAAACTATGCCAGAGGTAACAGAAATGTTGTGTCTATTGAAATTTAGTTCCCAGAGAAGGGTCTTAAAACTATTCATTAGTTTTTGTCTTTATATTTTTTGTTGCTTTTTCTTATTTATTTAGGCTGTTTAGGAAAAAATAAAGCTTCCATCATGTATAAGCCCAGCATTTTAGAGGCCTTTGCTGTAAAATACCATACAAGTGGGCAATCTTCCAGAAATTTTCAACACCTTTTGTTGAAGAGTGGGCATGTAATCACACAGACGTGGGAGTGTTGGCATTGTCTTCTCATTTAATATCTCTGTGGAATAGATGTTCTCCTGTGGAATAGTAGGGCTGTGAGGTACCTAAGAGAGATGATGGCACCCAGGTGGGTGATACTTGTTCTGATGCGAAGACAGGAAGGACTTGGAGTTAGCTGCCTGGGTTTGACTCTCAGCTCCGCCTCTGCCTCCATGGGCAACCACAGGCAACCAAGTTAGTCTTTCTGCACCTGAGTTTCTTCATTCATAAGATGAGGATGGGCTGGGCATGGTGGCTCACGCCTGTAATCCCAGCACTTTGGGAGGCTGAGGCAGGCGGATCACCTGAGGTCAGGAGTTCAAGACCAGCCTGGCCAACATGACAAACCCCGTCTCTACTAAAAATACAAAAATTAGCTGGGTGCGGTGGCAGGCACCTGTAATCACAGCTACTTGGGAGGCTGAGGCAGGAGCATCTCTTGAACCCGGGAGGTAGAGGCTGCAGTGAGCCGAGATCATGCCACTGCACTTCAGCCTGGGCAATACAGCGAGACTCGGTCTCAATAAATAAATAAATAAATAAGATGATGATGATATTAGTGCCTGTCTCCCATTGGTGCTGAGAAGATTCAAAAAGCTAATGAGTGCACAGCATAGAACATTTGTGGCCGAGTTTTCTGCTATCACTGTCATCGCTATAATTTTTATTAGTGTTTCTCTTGGCTATCAATTTATATTTATGGCATCTCTTTTGGTAATTTTCTGGAGCTCTGAAGTCCCTCTCTGGTCTGTGGCTCTCTTTATTTTCCTTGGGAGTGTGTGTTGTACACAACATAACTGTTGCTATCGAAATAAAACGAACTTCAAAGGCTACAAACAGCTGCTCGTTTGTTTAATATATAGCATTGGCAATTCCAACAAATAGTTGGTCAAGGGTCCCTTGTCCGAGCCAAATTTTGCTCTTCAATATTATTAACGAGGATTTCACAGATAAACCGTGGTTAAGTCAAACTTTGATATTTGCATAAACACACTCAGCCGCAATCACACGTGGGAGGCTCCTTTTGAGAGCCTGCAAGTAAACGTTCTTCAGGGACTGGATTACAAGCCAGCAGAAGTCACAGCCCCACATGGGAGCTGCAGCGATCACATTTCTTTCTTTCTGGGGAAAGAACTAGCTATAGGTTGGTGCAAAAGTAATTGTGGTTTTTGCCTTTTTTTTTTTTTTTTTTTTTTTGAGACCGAGTCTCACTCTGTCGCCCAGGCTGGAGTGCAATGGCACAATCTTGGCTCACTACAATCTCCATCTCCTGTGGGATTACAGGGGCATGCCACCATATCCAGCTAATTTTTGTATTGTAGTGGAGACAGGGTTTCACCACGTTGGCCAGCCTGGTCTGAAGCTCCTGACCTCAGATGATCTGCCCGCTTCAGCCTCCCAAAGTGTTAGGATTACAGGCTGAGCCACTGTGACCAGCCGCCATAATTTTCAATGTAAAAACCTCAATTACTTTTGCAGCAACCTAGTATATAGAGACTGGATTACAAACACCAAATCCCTCCGTCAGAGCACTGGGGCAGAGCTTCCTCAGAGCCCACTTAGAAGTGGGCAGGTTTTCCCTCTCCTCGCAGGACCCCTGGCTCCAGGCTCCCCTCCTCTCATTCTGAGGACCCCTCAGGAAGCGCAAGGGCTCTGCATTTGTTCTGACTTCATTTTCCTATCAAAACCGACTAGCTTTCCAGCCTGCCCTTCTACACTCTGCTAGGAATAATCTGATAAACTGAATCTAGTTGCTTAGACTGTGTGTGTGTGTGTGTGTGTGTGCGCGCCCGCTCATGACGTGTGTGTATAAAACAGCATAAGTGCAGAAATCGTCTTGAAAAACACTAATGGTAGAGTCTGTTAAGCTCCCAGATTTAAGTCACATTTTAGCAAATGTCCATGATGACTTCAAATAAAAGAGAGAATAACGTGGAGAGGCCCAGTTTCAAGATCAGTAGGAGAGACTTGTTGGAGGAAGTGTTTCTACTATCTCTCAAGTCCTGTGACATCTCTATGGCAAGTTCAAATATTATGTTGGTCTTGAAAACAGCATTAGAGATCAAATGTTGCATACACCAAATCCAAAGGTCCTGGGTTGACTGAAGCTTTGTGGCCATTGATTATTTTGAAATGGTTTCCTGTTGGAAAAGACCATAAAAATGGCTGGGAGACAGTGTGAAGTAGTGCCAGAGTTTTGAGGCTAGACCAGGGTTTCCAGTCTTGGGCTGTGTGTTAATATCATTAAGGAATGTGGCATGTTTCCAACAGCAACAGTGACTGTGCTGTCCTGCCCCTCCGCAAGCATCCAACCTGGGAGAGTAGTTTGAAGAGATAACAAGCTTCCTTCCATCTCCTCCATCTCTAGTTAGGAATCACCTATCTGGCTGGGCGCAGTGGCTCACACCTGTAATCCCAGCACTCTGGGAGGCCGAGGTGGGTGGATCACTTGAGGTCAGGAGTTGGAGACCAGCCTGGCCAACATGGTGAAACCCCGTCTCCACTAAAAATACAAAAATTAGCCAGGTGTGGTGGTGCGTGCTTGTAATCCCAGCTACTGGGGAGGCTGAGGCAGGAGAATCGCTTGAACCCAGGAGGCAAAGGTTGCAGTGAGTCGAGATCGTGCCACTGCACTCCAGCCTGGGCAACAGAGTGAGACTCCATCTCAAAAAAACAAAACAAAACAAAAACAAAAACAAAAACAAACACAAAGAAGAATCACCTACCTAGTCCTACTGGTTCTAAGTCCTAGTTATGTGAATCATCAGCTAAGAGAGTTTGATAGGTTATTAAGCCTCTCTTAGCTTTCTCATCTGTAAAATAAGGACAATAATATCTAGCTCACAGTATGGTTAAGATTGAATGAGATAACAAGTCAATTGCCTTGCCCATTGTAGACAATCCCAAAATGTTAGTTTCATTACCCACTTAGTCAATTCCCTCGTGGCTGAAATGAGGCCTCCGGAGGTTAAGTGAGTTGTTCCAGATCAACACACATCAGATATTTCTACATATCAGTGGCCAGGATCTTACAAATTATAACTGATTGACAAAGTTCATCCTCAACAAAGCCCGTTGGCCATCGATGTCCTTTCCAGAAACACAGAGGACATGATTCACTCTGGGACAAGTTCTTCTCAGGTCTCAGGGTAGATGTGAGCTTTCAGGCCGTCAACTTCTAACAAATTATGTCCAACGCAAGTATGGTAATTTTGTGACAATCTTTACTCTGCTGGAAGTTGAGATGAGACGACCAAATATATAATTTTCGTGTTTCAATTTTTCTACACCACGTTATTATCTTTAAATAGAAAATGATGTACAAACAGAATGGTTAGGTGCTCTTCCCCCACTTCTTTCCTGTTAGGTCTCTTCAAGCCTCAGTCTTCAAGCTGTCTAGAAAGTGCTGCTTTCAAATATGAAGGGCAAAAGTTTCAATTGGCCTGCTTTCTCTGGCCTTCTGTTATTTCCAGGTGCTGATTCTCAGTGCAAAAACTCCAATTTACTCGTGTAATTACCCAATTTATATGCACAAAGGTGGGCTGCCACTCACAAAAATTAATGCAGCCCCAAATACTGCAGGTGAGGCCAGTTCTTATGTGATTCTTACTTAACTCATTCAGACCTGGCTAGGAATTTCACTGGCTAAATTATTTAAGTTATGCCACATATCTTAATTTTATGTTAGTTCCTTGATGTGGCCCTAATCTGATTTGTCCTCAGGTGAATCTAGATTTGACTTTACAGGCAGCGGTGAGCTTCAGTGACTTCTTCAGAAGGGTGATGTGATGCTGCTGGAATGTTTACACAATGAATGATTGACTGAGACACATGAGGAGGCCATCACCACTGAAGCAATGAGTACTGGCTGGAACATGGCCTGGAGATCTGGAAGGGGTGGTAGGTGGGTAAGAAAAGGACTTGTTTCTCAAGAAAGTTGGTCATACTCAGGTTGACTGAGATGATTCTAAGAGTCTCAAACTGCCTAAGAAAATAATACGGGTTGTCTTTGACTAGAGGGAGAAGTGATTTAAGCGTTCTTGTGTAAAGACATTAAGCTTGGTAAGGACATGGGCTTTGATGGAGGGGACCACACCTCATTCATTTCTATTATTATTATTATTATGAGACAGTGTCTCTCTCTGTTGCCCAGGCTGGAGTGCAGTGGTGCAGTCTCAGCTCACTGCAGCCTTGAATTTCTGGGCTCAGGCAATCCTCCCATCACAGCCTCCTGAGTAGCTGGGACCACAGGCACATGCCACCAGGCCCAGCTAATTTTCTGTATTCTTAGTAGAGATGAGGTCTTGCCATGTTGCTCAGGCTAGTCTTGAACTCCTGGGCTCACGTGATCAGCCTGCCTGCCTCTGCCTCCAAAAGTGCTGGGATTACAGGTGTGAGCCACTGTGCCTAGCATCCTGTAGTTTTTTTATACAGTATTTTGACCTGAGTGCATAGATGTTCAATCAGATATTTGGTGGATAATTGACTAAGTAACATGGGAACATCTGAACAATAGGATTAGAAGGCAAAGCAGGTCCAGGATGGCTGAGTCAGGTTTTGGTATTGAAGTTTTATATGACTGACAATTTTAACTATGTAAGATGGCCAGTGAGTAAAAGATATGTAAAAACAGCATGTTCCAAGGAATATTCTTCTCTGACAGATTTCTATCTGTCTGGGTTACTTGATCTGGTTGGTTGTCTCTGGGTGGCTGGCTTTTCCTTACCCTACCATTATGCTAACAGCAAGAGAAAGTGGAGTTCGGTGCCTCTAAACCTGGACTGGTATGGCTGTTAGGAGGCAGGAGGAAAATGATTTTACCTGCCATTGAAAATGGTAAAGTCATACTCATGAAGCCCCATTAAGGCAGGACCGTCCTTTGCCCTGAATGTGATTCTGCAGCCAGACTGTGCACGCAGGTACCCAGTGATGACAAGGGGACCCTGACAGCTAGGCAAATGACAATCAGGTGGATACCATAAGCCTGAAGTTACGCAATGTTCATATCTGCCCCGAGTTTACTTCTATTAAAAGCTGCTGCATACCCATAGTATGTGTCTATCTTTGTGCCTGGCAAGATTTTTTTAAGCTCTTAAAATGACTTGCCATTTAGGTAGGCAAGGCTCCAAATAATGAAACTGGAAACCAGAGGCTGGCTTCGTGTTTTGAGTGGCCTGCAAAGAGGAAATTTCCCCTTCTCTCCTCTCTCCTTTCTCTCATCTCTTTCTCATTTTTCCTTTTGGATTATCATCATGCAGTCTTCGTGTGCCGCTCATTTATTCAACAATCTGTATACATTTAACATCCAATGATTAATGATTTCCCTGACAAATTTAAGGAGACAATTGCACTAAAACTCCTCTGATATCTATAGCATATTTAAAAGTCTCATTTAGGCCGACTGTAGTGGCTCACGCCTGTAATCCTAGCACTTTGGGAGTGTGAGGTGTGAATCACTTGAGGCCAGGAGTTCGAGACCAGCCTGGTCAACATCGTGAAACCTCGTCTCCACTAAAAATACAAAAATTAGCCGGGTGTGGTGGTGGGTGCCTGTAATATCAACTACTCAGGAGGCTGAGACAGAAGAATCACTTGCACCTGAGAGGAGGAGGTTGCAGAGCCAAGGTTGTGCCACTACACTCCAGCCTGGGCTACAGACCAAGACTCTGTCTCAAAATAAATAAATAAATAAATAAATGTCTAATTTAACAGTAACATCCTTGGCTTTTGATGCTTTTTTATTGCCTTATTATTATTATTTTTTGCATCAACTCAGGATCAGCTGCAATCTTTTCTGCTTCTTCTCTGGTTCTCCATATCTGTGGGCTTCCCTGGCTCCTTTTGAAGGGAAGCATGGTAATGAGAGAGGGTAATGTACAAAGGTCAGAATGTGCCCTTTTTGCTCTGGCAAGCCAAAAATGTTAACGTGACTGGTGGTGCTAAAAAGCAAGCTCCCAAATTGGCCTGTTAATCTTCACTGGTCACGTTTGAGGAATTTTCTCTATCCCACTTTCCTGATAGGGAAAGTGAATTCCAAACCCGAGGCCAATACTTTCAAGGTTATGGGAAAAGTAAATACTTTAGTGTCTGCAAATAATCCTTTCTTGCTGCAAGAAAAATGTACCTATTAATAAAATAAAAATTGTTGTGCAAATATTTCTTTAAAGAGAGACAATAAAAATGTCAAAGTGTTTTATATAAAGGCCTCCAGCCCATTGTAAATGTCCTGAGTGACTACTAATGCTGTATTAACCCCAGAGAAAACTGCTTGTAGGACATGAGCTCAGGAGTTCTGGGCTCTGGGAAGCACGGTTTGAGCTGAGACCCTCTCAGCTTATATAAAAGATAAGTGGAAGGTGGCCTCCTTTCAGGAGGGACACATCTCTCCTTTGCTTCAAAGTGGTTTAATATGAAATATATTTGGCCTTTGCCCCTGGTTCCTGATACTGAGTTCCTAAACCCTGGTAATTTCCTGAGTGATAGGAATGTCTTTTGTTATTCATAATGAACCCCTTTTGATCACACCTAAGTTTATGTTAATGAGGTAACTTAGGGTGGGGTCCCTAAATAGCCTCAGGTTGGGGCTGAGGAAAGACCAAGCCATTAGAAAGATGGAATTTTCTGACCCACACACTAACTTCTGGAAGACTGGGGGAGCTTGGAGGCCAACTTCTATAAAAACTCTCCAACAAGATTTGATGAGCTTCTGGGTGGTTGAACATGTGGAGATGCTGGGAGTGTCAAAGGCTTTTGAGCCAGAGCAATTCCATCTTGAATAGGGGCTGGGTGAAATAAGGCTGAGACCTACTGGGCTGCATTCCCAGGAGGTTAGAGCATTCTAAGTCACAGGATAAGATAGATAGGTGGTTGTCAAAAGATACAGGTCTCAAAGACCTTGCTATAAAAAAGCATGTGGTAAAGAAGACGGCCAGAACCCACAAAAACCAAGATGGCAACAAGAATAACCTCTGGTCACTCTCACTGCTCAGTATATGCTAATTATAATGCATTAGCATGCTAAAACACTCCCATCAGCGCCCTGACAGTTTACAAATGCCATGGCAATGTCTAGAAGTTACCCTATATGGTCTAAAAAGGGGAGGAACCCTCAGTTACGGGAATTGCCCACCTCTTTCCCTGAAAACTCATGAATAATCCACCCTTTGCTTGGCATATAATCAAGAAATAACTATATAAGTATAATCAGCTGTGCAGTCCACGCCACTGCTCTACCTAAGGAGCAACCATTCTTTTATTCCTTTACTTTCTTAAAAAACTTACATTCACTTTACTCCGTGGACTTGTCCTGAATTCTTTCTTGCATGAGATCCAAGAACCCTCTCTTGGGGTCTGGATAGGGACCCCTTTCTGGTAATAGGAGGGTGGTATGCAGGAGAGGGCATGGAGGCTCTACAACCCCCATACCTTGCCCTCTCCATCTCTCCATCTGGATGTTCATCGCTGCCCTTTATAATAGACCAGTAAATGTAAGGGAACTGCTCCCTTGAGTTCTGTGAGCCATCATTGTGTTACTGAGCTGAACTGGAGTCTGCTCACCTGATGCGTAAAGTCAGACACTGAGAACCAGGTTTGCAGCTGGAGAAAACAATATTTATTGGAGGGCACCGTGCAAGGAGAATGGGCAGCTAATGCTTAAGACCCAAATTCCCCAATAACTTACAGGCAAGGGTTTTTATTGTTTATTTATTCGTTTGTTTGTTTTTTGAGATGGAGTTTTGTTCTTGTTGCCCAGGCTGGAGTACAATGGTGTGATCTCAGCTCACTGTAACTTCCGCCTCTTGGGTTCAAGCAGTTCTCCTGTCTCAGCCTCCCAAATAGCTGGGATTACAGGTGTGTGCCACCACTCCCGGCTAATTTTTTGTATTTTTAGTAGAGACAGGGTTTCACCATGTTGGTCAGGCTGGTCTCGAACTCCTGACTTCAGGTGATCTACCCACTTTGGCCTCCCAAACTGTTGGGATTACAGGAGTGAGACACTGCATCCGGCCAGGCAAGGGTTTTTTAAAGGCTGGGGTACATTTCAGGAAAACAAGTTGCAGGTCAAATCTTAAACCAACACATGGAGGTTAAGCCTTAGTCTGGCCTGTGGATGTGACTCCTTCCAGGCCCCTCAGGAAGAAATTTAGAGAAAAAAATGGCAGTCAGAGTTCAGTCCTCAGTTTTCCTGTAGCTGACAACCATGTGATGTCATGTGAGTTGCTTCCAAAAAGCAATGCAAGTACGTATGTCAAGATGTTACCCTTCCATCTCTATAGCGAGCCCAAACACCTTATGACTCTGGCTTGCTTGGGAGACTATTGCTACTATCTTCTTGCTGATCAGGCTGCTCATTTACATTTTTTTTTTTTTTGACACAGGGTCTTTTTCTGTTGCCCAGGCTAGAGTGCAGTGGTGCAATCATAGCTCACTGCAGCCTCCAGCTCCTGGGCTCAAGCAATCCTCCCCCCTCAGCCTCCTGAGTAGCTGGTAGCTGGGACTACAAGCGCATGCCATCATGCCTGGTTAATTTTTGTATTTTTCGTAGAGATGGGGTTTTACCATGTTGGCCAGGCTGATTGTAAACTCCTGGGTTCAAGTGATCCACCCACCTTGGCCTCCCAAATTGCTGAAATTATAGGTGTTAGCCACTGGGCCTAGGTGCCTGGAAATTCCCTTATAGAGACTCAAGACTTCTGGCAGGCCCCTAAGAGGGATCCCTGCTCTGTCTCGCTAGCAAAGTATCCAATCCAAAGGGGTGGAATCATGAGACCCTGATTTATAGCCAGTTAATCAAAAGCACAAGCTGCATCCTGTGATTCGCCATTGGTGTCTGAAGTGGGGGCAACCTTGTGGGGCTGAGCCCTCAATCTGTGGGTCTGATAGTAGCTCCAGGTAGTGTCAGACCCAGTGACAGAACTGAATTGAATTATAGGACACCCAGCTGGTGTCTGCTGGAGAATTGCTTGGTGTATTTGAAAAACAAAAACAAAAACCACACACACATATCTGGTTGCAGAAGTGTTCTATGTTGAGTGTGAAAGCAGAGAGAAAAAACAGTTTGATTTTTCCTTTACATAAAGGTTCTGAGTAAAGGAAGGAGTGGAATGAAACAGAAGGTTCTGGTATCACCTGGTGTAAATGAAATTCAGGGCAATCCATAACAAAGTCATCTTTTACAGCTCTAACAATCAGAAAGCTTAAATGTGTTTTATTTTTAGGTTTATAACTTATAACTGGGAAAAATGTTACATCTCAGATATCCACTCTTCACACTTCTTTTGTCTTCCCTTCCCTTCTCAGTGAGCACCAAGCCTCTCCCAAGTAAGGAAGATTTCAGGACCAAAACATGGTTCAAATCACAGACCAAGGACAAAGGCAATCCGACTCTGGTGGGGTGATGTGGATGAGGATGTCACTCAGAAAGCTGGCTGAGGCCAGGTGGGGATCACTTGAGCCCAGGAGTTTAAGACCAGCCTGGGTAACATAGCAAGACTTTGTTTCTATAAAAATTAAAAAAAAAAAATTAGCCAAAAGGCATGGTGGTGTGGACCTGTAGTCCCAGCTACTTGGGAGGCTAAAGTGAGAGGATCACTTGAGCCCAGGAGGTCAAGGCTGCAGTGAGTCGTGATCACATCACTGTATTCCAGCCTGGGTAACAGAATGATACCCCCATCTCTATAGGATACAAATAAAAAAAAATAGCAAGTCATGGTGGCACACACCTGGAGTCCCAGCTACTCGAGAGGCTGAGGCAGGAGGATCACTTGATCTCTGGAGTTTGAGGCTGCAGTGAGCCATGATTGCACCACTGCACTCCAGCCTGGGCCACAGAGCAAGAACTCATCTCAAAAAATAAAAATTAAAAAAAAAGTGGTCAGCATGAGGGGTCAGAAGCAGAAATACAAAGATACATTATCCTCAAGTCAAGGCAGAATGTGACAGTTGTCATAATTCATGCACAAAGAAAGCTGTGGGTCTTCAGAAGACAGTAAGGCCACATCCTGTGAGATTTTAAAAAAATGGTAAAAGAAAACCAATGGTTGTGGTTCAAAGTGCTCAAAAACCTAAGGTTAGATAGGAGTGTCAGATATTGAGCAAATGTGATCCTGTTGTTTTAATTTTGCATTTTTGTTTTGAGTATTGGTGGTGTGTTTGAGCCATTCCCTTAAAAAGTAAAGGATATGCATCCTTTTTATTTTATCAATAGATACAGCTTTCTTGTAGCAAGAAAGGATTATTTGCAGACACAAAAATATTTATTTTCTCTTCATTTTCAAAGTACTTGCCTCAGGCTTGGAATTCACTTTCCATCATGAAAGTGGAATAGAGAAAATCCCCCTTTATTCCTTTTGTTATTGCAAATTTGAACATAACTTTCATGTCTGTCATTATACTAGCCATTTTGAGCACTTATGTGTCAGACCCTGGGCTGGGGCCTTTAGTGACAGGATCCTACTTAATCTTCCCATTTTACAGATGAGGAAACAGAAGCTCAAATTGCTTAACTGGTCCAAGATCCCAAGAGACTTAAACCAGGGATGTCTGGTGTGGAGGCCCAAGCACCTTCAGTTTCACTTCACTGCTTGGGACTGGTACTCCCTCAGGTCACATTGGGACTATGCCCACATGAACCACCTTTGCAAGATTATGGTGGTAAGAGAAATCTGACATAGCTGACGCCATCTTGCTTCTGACCTCTAAGCTGTCCTTGATGATTCCTGCGCATAGGCCAAGCTAACTTTGGGAGAAGTTTAGTTTATAGTTTAACTTGAAGGCAAAGATGACCATAGTCTCTCCCTAAAATTAACGCCCTCCTTGTTTAGGGACTGAAAACCACCTTTGTGAGTCTAATAAGAGAGCATGAGAATAGGATTATGGGAAGGGCATGAACTCTGCTAAAATGTAAGTATAGTTTCTATAATCCCTTACTGCTCAGAAGTCCTGTAGCCAGGAGTCACAAGGTTTGTGATTTCCTCAGTTGCGCCTATAGACAACATTGCTATTGAAAAACCGAAGATTGGTTTTTGGAGATATTTCTCAAACTGACCCTACCCAGACTCATGACTCATGACTCAACTGGTCTTGTGGCCCTACACCCCTATGATTTCATTCACAACAAATCAGCAGCACCCATTTCCTAGTCCCCTGCCCACCAAATCACCCACAAAACCCCTGACCTCTGAGCCTTTAGGAAGACTGTTTTGAGAGATAACCTCAATTCTCTCACATGGGCCAGCCTTGCATTAGTTAAACTCTTTCTCTACTGCAATTCCGGGGTCTCAGTGAATTGATTTTGCCTGTGCAGTGGGCAGGAAGGACCCACTGGCAATTACCCATGCATTGCAGTTGTAAGGGAGCCATTGCCTACCTGATCCCTTCTATCCTTCTCCTTCCCCATGGCTCTTGAAACTTTTCTGTTCATTGGTTGGTTCTTGGTTCTTGAACTTAATTTACTCTCCTCCATTGTGTTTGAAGTGAATTTGTTGCATGGCTTTGTTTGCTTTTATTTTTATTTTTGAAAACAGTGTTTTGATGGGGTTTGAGAGAAAGAGGTGGTGGAGACACTAGAAGCCTGAAGGAAGCAGAGTCACAGGCATTAGTGATAGGAAAATGATAGTATAGACCAGGGATTCTGAAGGAAAATTGTGTTCTTCCTAATTCTGTTGAGGCCAGCTTTGCTTCTTAATCCAGAAGATGTTGTCTCCTAGGCCCCGTACTAAACTTAACACTGAGGTTTAGGGGGTAAAAACTAGAAGAAGAAAAAGGAACAGAAACCATATAATATTTGGGTAATGTATTTAAAAACTTTGCCTTCTCCTTCCAAAATTACAGGCATTTTTTTTTTACATTTTTCGTCATGTGTTGGCCTGCAATTTACATATTCATTAAATAATTAATTACTGATGTACATGAAAGAGACAATTTTTAAGTATGCATTAATTTATTAAATTGAACATCACATAATATAATCTGTAAATATAATCTGTAGTCCATGGGTATGCTTGCAGAAATCTGCAGAGGAATCCCCCCACATTTTGTGTTAAATTAAGGCAACTCTTCATGCTTTGAAATGTGCCTCTTGCTGGCTTTGCATGTATTTTTGTGAGGAATACAAATAAGTGGACATAAATAAAACATTTAAAAACTATTACCCATCAAGACTGCTATACTTAATATCCGAACTTAGGGAAACCAGATTGCTTTTATTTGCTGGCTTTCTAGGTAGAGGAATATTTGAAACTGCTAAATGTTTTGAAGGTAGTATTAAGGGATTAGTAAACTGAAATTTTAACTTCCATAGATCTAGAATTATCTATAGATAAAGTCGTGAAAGTCTAAGGCTAGTTTGAGAAAATCAGGGTTTGCACCTTTTAAAATAATACAATGAAGAGTTGAGTAAATGTCTTCAGGACATGATGAGTGATGAAAGCAAATCTTCACCTGTAAGACTAAATTATTTTTAAATGCTCTGTATTTATTTA
Source organism: Homo sapiens (assembly GCF_000001405.40). NCBI lineage: Eukaryota > Metazoa > Chordata > Mammalia > Primates > Hominidae > Homo > Homo sapiens. Next base: position 33,793,252 of record NC_000010.11, on the reverse strand, counting down.
TTTTATTTTATTTTTTTGAGACGGAGTCTGTCGCTCAGGCTGGAGTGCAGTGGCACAATCTCGGCTCACTGCAACCTCTGCTTCCCAGGCTCAAGTGATTCTCCTGCCTGTCTCCCAAATAGCTGGGATTACAGGCATGCGCCACCACTCCCAGCTAATTTTTTGTATTTTTAGTAGATAGGAGGGTTCACCATGTTGGCCAGGCTGGTCTTGAACTCCTGGCCTCAAGTGATCCACTCACCTCTGCCTCCCAAAGTGCTGGGATTACAGGCGTCAGCCACTGCAACTGGTCACATATATTTATTTACTTATTTATTTAATTTTTATTTTTATTTTTTTGAGGACGGAGTCTCACTCTGTCGCCCAGGCTGGAGTGCAGTGGCGCAATCTCCACTCACTGCAAGCTCTGCTCCCCCGCTAAGTTCATGCCATTCTCCTGCCTCAGCCCAGCTGGGACTACAGGCACCCGCCACCACGCCCGGCTAATTTTTTTGTATTTTCAGTAGAGACGGGGTTTCACCATGTTAGCCAGGATGGTCTTGATCTCCTGACCTCGTGATCCACCCGCCTCGTCCTCCCAAAGTGCTGGGATTATAGGAGTGAGCCACCCCACTCGGCCATATTTATTTTTTGACTGTCACATATGTCCGTTGGGAAAATGAAAATACAGAATATAAATAATTTTTTTTTTTTTTGAGACAGAGTCTTGCTCTGTTGCCCAGGCTGGTGTGCAATGGTGTGATCTCAGCTCACTGCAAACTCTGCCTCCCAGGTTCAAGCAGTTCTCCTGCTTCAGCCTCTTGAGTAGCTGGGACTACAGGCGTCCGCCAACACGCCCGGCTAATTTTTGCATTTTTGGTAGAGGTGGGGTTTGTTGGCCAGGCGGGTCTCGAACTCCTGACCTTAAGTGATCTACCCGCCTTGGCCTCCCAAATTGCTGGGATTACAGGTGTGAGCCACCTCGTCCAGCCAAGAAAAATATTTTAAGAGAAGCATTCACAATTCTACTACCCCAATTTTGGGGGGAGTGCCGTAAGAATACATATTCATCTACACAAAGTAATTACATAAATATATTAAATAAACAATTAAACAACCACCTTTTACCATTCAACATTTTTTATCTTAAGCATTTTCCATAATATTAACTATACCTCAAAATATCATTTTTGAGGACTGAATGAATTATTATCTTTTGGATGTCCAAAAATTAATATTACCAGTATTCCATTGGTACGCCACTTATAATTTATTTAGCATAAATAAATAACCCTAATGGACAATCTTATCATATGTATTTATCTTTAGGTTTGTGTGTGTTTTTGTATAGATGGTTAAGTAGCTCGCCTTCTTAGGATAACGTCTAGTGAGAGAATGCCTAGGTTAAAGATTGTGAGCATTTTTACAATCCACATTTGGATCCTAGGTCAGTTTTCCAAAGTCATCCATGCCAGAAGCTGCTGATTTGTAGCCAGTCTCCTTTGGCGAGGGTAGACTGCCATAACGGACAATTCCAGTTTACGATGGGTATCGTCCCAATTGGCAGATACAAGGCTCTGTGAGTTTGGCAGCAATAGGTTCCATCCAGGGCTTATTTTACCTCCACCTGCCCAGAGTTCATTATGGACCCTGGAGGAAGGCCCATCCATCCACAATGAGCTCCTAGTGGGCAGAGGAAACAATGGTAGCTATTGAGATGCTGGCTGGAGATGTCAACTTTATGCAGACAACTGTGTCTCTCTTATTCAGTTCACCAGCTGCCCCTGAATATCCCAGTGAACTACTCACCCCTCAAATATCCTTCTTAACGGGATGGAGGGGGAGGACTGGGAGAAGGATAACAAATGTGTACTGGATGAAGCAATTCATCTCTAGGAAAATAAGAACGAATGTGGAAAGTGCGTCTGGAGAAGATGCCGTATTCTATTTTTGGCAAAATGCGAACATCTATAGATAAATTGCTCTGTTTCCAGCACATCCAGATTTGACCACCTGTGAATTTAATTGAGGCATACCCAAGTAGCAATTTAGGTAATCTGCTCATTTATAAAGTTGGTGCCTGTGATTTATCTGCATAATGAGGGGGAGTTGGTTTTCTTTTGATTTTTCAAAACTGAAAAAAAAAATGGTTATCTTACTCGAAGCTAGTTTAAAGTTTAAAGGAGGGCACTGACCCAGGGTCATTGGTCACTTTCTGCATACATCTGTTTCCTCTGGGTCACAAGTCAATGTAGCCTCTCTGTTTTCAATTATTATATTATTCTCATTCTCAGGGCTGGCGGGAGTCCCTACTCCAGCAGCTGTCAGTCTGTCCCCAAACAGCAGCTCTGAAATGGCATCTGATGCAGGATCCGGATGGACAGGGTCCAGAGAGATGCTGACTGGGAGAAAGATGCGTTTGGGGGTGAGGTGATTCATAACGTCCACGGTAAAAAGAAATGCAGGCATTTGATAATTACAATTGCACTCAAAGCTTGCAATGGAAGCCACTGTTTCGCCACAGCAAGGCAGACACTATGCACAGTGCGTTCCTCTGTGGTTTATGTTGGAAGGTAATGGATTCTGGCTGTGGACTCCCTGAAGGGACCCCCTGGTGTCTCCTTTATCTCTAGCCTCAGCGTCTAGCACTTGGCCCAGCCCACACCGCGATTGTGAATTCGTGGGAAAAGGCCTTAATAACAAATCTTTATTATCACACTCAGATTTGTACTAGGAAAAAATAACCTGGAAAGAGGCCTGCACCGACTAATTTTGATTAACCTACAACTGAACCAGGCCACTCACCCCTGCAGCCAATTCTGCTCCCTCCAGTGAATATGCAGGTCAAAATGAAAGCAAGAACATAATTTTTAAAAATATGTACATTTCAGGCCAGGCGTGGTGGCTCATGCCTGTAATCCCACTCTGGGAGGCCAAGGCGGGTGGATCACCTGAGGTCAGGAGTTCAAGACCAGCCTGGCCAACACGGTGAAACCCTGTCTCTAGTAGAAATACAAAAAATTTGCTGGGCATGGTGGCATGCCTGTAATCCCAGCTACACAGGAGTCTGAGGCAGGAGAATAGCTTGAACCCAGGAAGTAGAGGTTGCAGTGAGCTGAGATCGGCCACTGTTCCCAAGCACACACCCTATAAACCCAGCCTGGTGATAAGAGTGAAACTTTGTCTCAAAAAAAAAAAATGTCCATTTCAGGTAATCTTTCTGTAAAACCTCCCATAGAATCCTCTTACCCATTATCATTGAATTGCTATGGACCATGAGAGATCTTTTCTCTTTCGCTTTGCAGTAAGTAAATGACCAAATCACCCAGGACAGATGAGGCTATCACCCTTGTTCTTAAAGATCCCCATGATAATATCAGGTATTGGCAAGCATGGGAAGAAATGGATTCTCTAAGGCATTGTAGGTATTAGTTGCTACTTTCAGCATTGTCTGTAATAGGAAAAATTTAAAACGGCCTAAGTATCAACAAAAAGGGAATAGTTGAATGAATTATTTTGAGCCATATTATGGAATATTTTACAAAAAGTAGATCAATATACACTGATACAGAAAGATCACCAAGGTGTATATTTTTGGAATGAAAGAATAAGTATAGAATATTATTTATAGTGTGATAGCATCTATCACATATAAATAGAATGCTATCCACCAGATATATGTACTGGTGGGGGAAGTGTGTGCACGTGTGCATGTAAGGAAAAGGTCTGGAAAAACACAGGGCAAATTGATTAGTGTGTTGTGCACTTTTTGAAAGGAAAATTAGGTGTGGTGGGAGAGGGTGTGGTCTGAGATACTTCAAATTTATTTGCAATGTTTAAAATGAAGATAACTGGTATTTATCTTTTTTATATATTCTAATTGTTACCTTTAATTTACTTTTTTTTTTGAGACAAAGTCTCATTCTGACATCCAGGCTGGTGTGCAATGGTGCCATCGTATCTCATTGCAGCCTTGAACTCCTGGGCTCAAGTGTTCTTCTCACCTCAGCCTCCCAAGTAGCTGGGACCACAGGTGCAGACCACCACACCTGGTTAATTTTTGTATTTTATAGAAATAGAGTCTCAACTATGTTGTCCAGGCTGGTCTCAAACTCCTGGGCAATCCACCTGCCTCAGCCTCCCAAAGTGCTGCAATTACAGGCATGAGCCACTGTGCCCAATCAGTCTTATTTACTTTTTATGTTACTTCACTTATTACTTTATTATAGTAAAGTAATAGTTATTATTGATTGCTTATGAATTTATTGATTACTTATACATTTTAAAAAGGGAAAAGTAAAGCTCTCTAGAGCAAGGCACACAGCAAGCACTCAATAGATGCTGTCAGGAATGTTGCTCCATGGGCATGTGGTTCCAATGTTTGTCGTGTTCTTGATTACAGACTGAATCAGGCTGAAATCCTTCTCATCTTAGCTTGAGCTTATGCTTATTTTTTCTGGTTTTGCCCTTATGTTGGGCACTCTGAAAATTCAAAGAACACGGCCGGCGTTTCCTGCCTCTTGCCAGCCTTCTGACAGGCCTGCTTGACATTCCGCCCGCTTCCCTGGCTCCCTTGGTGGGGAGAAAGTTCTCGGCTCTTGATCTGGCCACCCTGGATCATGGTGGTGCTCAATGGTGAACAAGTACATCAGCTCCCTGCTCGGTTAACGTGAGTACTCATGGACAGGGTCTGTCCACATCTTCTCGACAGAACACAGGAGTGGTCCCTGTTGGCTTAGGGGGGAAAAATTAAGATTCATTTTTCCTTGTAAAAGTGATTGACCCAGGGAAAATGTCCGCACCGAACTTGAGCTGTCAAGCTATTCTGTGGACAATTAGTTCCCTGTGGATTGTTGCATATCAATACATATCTGCAAACTCAGAGATTCAACAACTCCAGCCAAACACACTTATCTACCCACAGTGGGAAAAAGTGTTCACAGTAGATTATGTTAACTGTCCATCCAAGTTCTTTTTAACACATGAAAACAGCTGTCTTACTTTTCTCACAAGTCAGCGGCCTGCAGAATTCTATTACCTGAGTCAAATGTAACACAATTTAAAATAAAATAGATGAGCTTTATGATGAGAGACAAATAGAAACAGAGAATCCCATCTCTGGCTAGTGGGGAGAGGCCAGGCGAGAGCAGAATGAAACTACTGGAAATTATTTGCAGAGAAGAGAGCGTGCCCCAGTTTTAAATTTCGCCGCTTGGCCCTGTTTGGTTCCTCCTATCAAATAATGATGTTAGTCTCACCCGCTACCCCTTGAATCGGACCCCAGCAGGATGCTACAATGATAGCCAGTACCAAGTTCTAGAAGCTTTCCTGTCTTGGGCAATTTCCTGACTTTTAAAAATGTCTTTCTTAGGTGGTTTCCATCCAAGCAAATTGATGAGAAGCAAATGCTGAATAAAATGCAGCCCCAGAGAAGAGTAGAGGAGACAGGAGGTCTTGAGAAGAAAATGCCCACTCTCCCAATTCTTCTGCCTCAGCCTTGCTAGAGCTCTGCATCCAGCCCAGCGGCCTCGCCACCAGCTGCAAGTCCATTCATTTTTGGTGGAAGCTCCACTCTTCCAGCGCCCTGGCTGGATACCATTCCCTCTTTCCTGCTGCAAAAGCCAAGGTCTCCTCCAGGCTGAGGTGTGCCAGTGTAACTGCTCTTTCAGATCCAGATGACAAGATTCCCCAGTGGGATAGGGCCTCTCTCTCCCCAGGCCCTTCTATGGCCCAAGATGGCCTGGAGAAGTCACACACCCACCTCTTCCCAAGGCAGGGTCCTCTGAACTCTGGGGACTCCTCCTGTCCATGATTTTTTTATGACTCTAGAATTACTTGTTGGGTCAAGTTCCTGCCTCATCAGTTGAAAATATTTCTATTATTTTTCTGTGTTTTTTAAGGTTGTGCATTATAAAAATGTAGCTGATTGTAAATTCAACATGTCTCAGACTGTGAAACTATATGTCTGAGAGGAGAGTTGAGAATGTCCAAACTTTGCACGTCTTGGAAGTGAGATGAGCAGGCTATGAGGCCTACACTGCTGATGTTTGCTCTGTACGGAATTCTTGTCTGCAGAGTGGCAAGCAGGAGTGGAGCTGTGGCTGAATCAGACTCTGCATCCTAGCTGTGGCTGCTGTTCCCAAGCACACACGCTATACCCATCTAAGGGCCTCCCTCTAGATTCCCCTGCTTCTCTCCTTCTATCTCACACACATCTTTTACCAGCTCCCTTGCGTTGAATACCAAATAGTATTAAAATCATACAGGGATACTTCTGATATATTGCAGGTTTGGTTCCAGACCACCACAATAAAACAGATATCACAATAAAGTTAGTAACACAATTGTCTTTGTTTCCAGTGCGTATAAAAGTTATATTCATGACACTGCTGTCTTTTAAGTGTGCAATGGCATTATGTCTAAAAACCTATGTATATACCTTCATTTAAAAATGCAACCAAGCATGGCGGCTCATACCTATAATCCCAGCACTTTGGGAGGCCAAGGCAGGCAGATTGTTGGAGGCCAGGAGTTCGAGACCAGCCTGGCCAACACGGTGAAACCTCATCTCTACTAAAAATACAAAACTTAGCTGGGCATAGTAGCATGCACGTAATCCCAGCTACTCCACAGGCCGAGGCATGAGGATTGCTTGAACCCGGGAGGTGGAGGTTGCAGTGAGCCAAGATTGCACCACTGCACTCCAGCCTGGGCCACAGAGTGGGACTCTGTCTCAAAAAAATAAGAAAATAAATAAATAATAAGAAATAAATAAGTAAAAATATTGCTAAAAAATGTTAACGATTATCTGAGCCTTCAATGAACAAATTGCCATCTTTTTGCTGGTAGAGGGTTTTGTCTCAGTGCTGATGGCTGCTGACTAATCAGGGTGGTGGTTGCTGAAGACTGGGGTGGCAGTGGTAGTTTTTTAGAATAAGACAGCAATGCAATCTGTTACATTGATTGACTCTTCCTTTCATGAAAGATTTCTCTGTAGCATGCAATGCTATTTGATAGTATTTTACCCACAGTAGAATTCTTTTCACAATTGAAGTTAATCCTCTCAAACCCTGCCACTGTGTTATCAACTAAGTTTATGGAATATTCTAAATCCTTTGTTGTCATTTCAACAATTTTCACAGCACCTTCACCAGAAGTAGATTCCATATCTTCAGAAAGTAATTTCTTTGCTCATCCATAAGAAGCAACTCCTTGTCTGTTCAAGTTTTATCATAAGATTGCAGCAATTCAGTCACATCTTCAGGCTCCATTTCTATTTCTAATTCTCTTGCCATTTCCACTACATCTGCAGTTCCTCCCTCCGCTGACATCTTGAACCCTACAATGTCATCCATGAGGGTTGGAATCAACTTCTTCCAAGCTTCTGTTAATATGGATATTTTGACCTCCTCCTATGAATCACGAATGTTCTTAATGGCATCTAGAATGGCGAATTGTTTCCTAAAGGTTTTCAATGTAAGCTATAGCCTTACAAAATATATCCCTTAAATAGTAAGACTTGAAAGTTGAAATGTCTTCTTGATCCATGGGCTGCAGAATGGATGTTAACAGGCATGAAAACAACATTAGTCTTCTCGTACATCTCCATCAGAGCTCTTGGGTAACTACCAGGTGCATCGTCAATGAATGGTAGTATTTTCAAAGGAATTTTTTTTTTCTAAGCAGCTGGTCTCAACAGTGGGCTTAAAATATTCAGTAAGCTATGCTGTAAACAGATATGCTGTCACCTAGGCTTTGTGGTTCCATGTATAGAGTTCAGGTTGAATACATTCAGAGTAATTCTTAAGGGCCCTAGGATTTTCAGAACAGTCAACAAACATTGGCTTTAACTTAAAGTCACCAGCTGCATTAGCCCCTAAGATAGTCAGCCTGTCCTTTGAAGCTTTGATGCTAGGCAGTGGCTTCTCTCTAGGTATCAAAATCTCAGGTGGCATCATCTCCCACAGAAGGCTGTTTCATCTACACTGAAATTCTGTTGTTTAGTGAAGCTATCTTCATCCATGATCTTAGCTAGATCTTCTGGATAACTTGCTGCAGCTTCTCCACCAGTATTTGCTGCTTCACCTTGCACTTTCATGTGATGGAGATGGTTTCTTTTCTTAAACCTCATGCACCACCTCTGCTAGCTTTCAACTTTTCTTCTGCAGCTTCCTCATCTGTCTCAGCCTTCATAGAATGACATGAGGCAGAGCCTTGCTATGGATTAGGCATTGGCTTAAGGGAATGCTATGGTTGGTTTGATCTTCTACCTAGACCACTCAAACTTTCTCCATGTCGGTAGTAAGGGTGTTTTATCATTTATCTGTTCACTGGAGTAGCACTTTTTATTTCCTTCAATAACTTTTCCTTGACACTCACAACTTGGCTAACTGGATCAAGAAGCCTAGCTTTCATCCTATCTCCGCTTTTGACGTGCCTTCCTCACTAAGCTTAATCATTTCTAGCTTTTGATTTAAAGCGATAGATATGCAACTCTTCCTTTTACCTGAATACTTAGAGGTTATTGCAGGGTTATTAACTGGCCTAATTTCAGTATTTTTGTGTCTCGTGGAATAGGAAGACCCTAGGAGAGGGAGAGAGACTGGAGAATGGCCAACTGGTGGAGCATTCAGAACACACATGACATTTATTAAGTATTCTGTCTTATATGGGCATGATTTGTGCTGCCCCCAAACAATTACAAAAGTAACATCAAAGATCACTGATCACAGATTACCCTAACAGATATATTAATATCAAAAGCATTTGAAGAGTTGCAAGAATTACCAAAATGTGACACAGAGATACAAAGTGAACATATGCTGTTGGAAAAATGGCGCCTACAGACTTGCTTGATGAGGAATTGCCATAAACCTTCCATTTGTAGAAAATGCAATATCTGCAAAGTGCAATAAGGTGAAGCGCAATAACATGAGGTCTGCCTGTACCTAATTTTGGTATGTAGAGAGCCTTTTATGACAGTCTGACTTGCCACCTCTTGTGGATAGAATTACATCCTCCAAAAAGATATGTTCAAGTCCTAATCCCCATACCCATGTAAGTGACCTTATTGGGAAATTGGTTCTTTGCAGATGCAATTAGTTAAAATGAGGTCATGCTGGCATAGGGTGGCTTTTAATCCAACATGGCTGGTGTCCTCGTAAGAAAAGTAGAAGAAACACCAAGACACTCCCTCAGAGGGAAGTTGTCATGTGGCTATAGAGACAGTGTTTGGAGTGAGGCAGCTATGAGCCAAGGGATGATAGAAGGGACAGATTTTCCTGCATAGCCACCAGAAGATAGAAAGGACAGACTCTCCTACATAGGATCTAGAAGGAATCAGTCCTGCTGACACTTTGATTTTGGACTTTGAGACTCCAGAATTGTGATAAAATAAATTTCTCTTAATGTAAGCCACCCAGTTCATGGTAATCTGTTACAGCAGCCTTCAGAAACTAACACACCACCCAAGCCACAACTTTACCTCCTTCCACATCCTGAACCCATCTACAGCAGGTGCTCTGCTGTCCCGTTCACACACCAGACCTCTCCTCAGTTACTTGTAACTCACAAGTTTCTGTATCTTCAGGGTACAGCACTGGGGACCACAGAGAAAATAAGCTCAGAAAAAAAGGCAATTGGGTTTTCTCAGACCACAATGACCTCTGAGTAATGAGGCATTTGCTCCCCAGGTAGAGAACCTTAGCTAAAAAATGTATAATATAAATTGAAGTTAAGTATAATAATAAAATAGACAAGTGCAGATGATCTAACATGACACCTGTGTGGTGTGGTGTTTTCCCATAGAACTTAAATGCTGTGATCAATATTGAACCCAGGAGAAATTGGGATATGAGGGTAGCTGCATGAGACTTGTCTGATTCAACTTTTATGTAACAAAGTTGTGAGCTGTTTTTCAGTTACCATGGACCCTCAAGTCACGTGACCTGAGCATGCCCAGATGAACCAAGTGTGCAACCACAGGGGGAACCCAAGTGCTCAGATAGAGCACGGGGGACTGAATTAAGAAGCGGACACAGCATGGTAGGATCCAGGATCAAATCAGATGGAGCCCTGGTGTCACCCCACAGCAAGATCCAGTCAGATCATGCCACTTGGCATCACCTCATTGCAACATCCAATCAGATCACACTTCATTACCCCATGCTTATAAAACCTGACCCAGTCCCCAGCTCCGGGAGCCACTGCTTTGGGAATTACCCCTGGGATTCTCCTTACTTGTTTCAAGTAATAAAATCCCCTGGCTAAATCCTCCTTTGTGGTGGTCATTGGGCTGATACCCACCAAGCTACTGAACCCACCCGTTGTGTAGGTAACACAAGTGCAACAAGGTCTAGCGCCTCAGAAGCAGTGTGTAGCCAGAAGCAGCCTATCTGGTTGGATTATCTAAGAATGGAGTTTTTTTTCTATTTTTTCTTTTTTCTTTTTGAGATGGAGTCTCGCTCTGTCCCAAGCTGGAGTGCAGTGGCATGACCTCGGCTCACTGCAACCTCCGCCTCCTGGGTTCAAGTGATTCTCCTGCTTCAGCCTTCCAAGTAGCTGGGATTACAGGAACATGCCACCACACCTGGGTAATTTTTGTATTTTTAGTAGAGACGGGGTTTCTCCATGTTGGTCAAGCTGGTCTCGAACTCCCGACCTCAGGTGATCTGCCCGCCTCACCCTCCCAAAGTGCTGGGATTACAGGCGTGAGCCACTGTGCCTTGCCAAGAGTGGAATTTCTGGCATCCATCCCATAGGAAACACATTAAGTATACACTCACAGTTCTACCACTGTGTACTCTGATGGAGTCCATGGTCAAACATTAGGGCTTCAATCTTATGGGTCAGATTTTTCTGGCTGTAATGAAGCTGGAGGAAATTGGAATACATTTCCATTTCTGCTTTTAGTTTTTCAGTTTTGCCATCTTCCACTATTCATAGGCAGTCATGTTCCTTGACTTGAGTTCAAGGAAATGCTATAAAGTTTCTTAAGTCTTTTTCCTTACACATACTTGTAGTGCAAATGGCACTTATGAGGCATCTATATAGAAAGAAAGAACTGCCGGGCATGGTGACTCATGCCTGTAATCCCAGCACTTTGGGAGGCTGAGGTGGGAGGATTGCTTGAGGCCAGGCGTTTGAGACTAGCTTGGACAACACAGCGAGACCTGGTCTCTACAAAAAAATTTAATTAATTAAAAAAGAAAGAGAGAACTAATATAGAGTTGAATGAATGAATAAATTAATATAGAGTTGAATGAACGAATAAATGAGTAAGAGAATGGAGGCTATAAAACTCTAAATCGATTTGCTGAAGCTTTTCAAGCTGACATACTTCTCAGGGCAACAGAGCAGGAAGAGAAAGTCCCTGGTGGCTTGCGCAGTCAGGGATATGAAGAGGAAGAGTAACTCTCCCTCATTCCATTAGAACAGCTGCTACTTCTTTCACTGGTTAGGCAGAAATTCTTTTCAGAAGTCATGAAGCATTTTACGTGTATTAAGTTATGGGTTTTCTTTGCTTTTGCATATTTCTAGTTTTTTCTTCTTTTTTTTTCCACTCCAGGCTATATCCATGGGATTTGTGGAACTCATTGGAAACAAAATTTCTGATATTTAATCCAGTCAATCCACACACTGCTTTTCAGAGGGATTAGAGCTTTCTCCAGTTTGTGGACAGTACACACTGTAACCTCACCTCAAAATCACAACCAAACTTTGGATTACAATTTGATCTGGCCACTCTGGACAAAATGGGTACACTGCTTTTGTATCCAGCCTTCTTTATGATTGTCTTGTTATCTGTTTCTGAGCTATGTGGAAATGATTGTCTACATGTGCACACACACACACACACACACACACATTTAAACACACAGAAGCATGCACAAACATTGGTGTTTCTTTCTACAGGGAAAATGGAGGGCAGGGATATAGTTCATCATTTTATTTGCTTCACTGAATTACGATTCTACGTGTACCATTGGCTTCATTCCGAAGCTGCCTGAGCACAAGGGGGCGAATTCTGTTACAGCACAAGGCTGTACAACTGAGCAGCCAAAAGTATTTAGTGTTGCATTTGTTGTTGATTTTGAAAACAAACAAATGTGCATTGACGTAAAGCGATCTAAAAATTCAATTCAGGCATACTGACTTTTTTCACACTTAGGCATCAGAGAGTAGCTGAGAAATGAAAGATTCAACCAATAATGGATACGTGCCAGCCCGTGGATGTAATGCACATTTGAAGGCTTTTCATCTCAAGTGTTGATCACAGTTTTTAGCACGAATGAACACTCTGGTTGGCACTTTGAATGTTTTTAAGGGGCGTGGATGGACGTAAATGCTTGCATTCCTGTACAGTTTCTTTCTTCTCCACCTTCTTTGCTTTTTTCGGATGCACACAGAAGGATCTCTTTATCTGAAATCTGTCCCCACAAGCTTTGTACTTCATCAGACACCAGGCTGAGACAGGAGAACTAGGTTTCCTACTTCATTGTACCCCAAATCTCAGGGGAAATTGTCAATGATGGAAAATCTGAGAAGCCACTGTTTGGTAGAGGCCTCCCAAATCAAGTTATTACTTTTTTTGTTTTGTTTTGTTTTGATTTTTTTGAGATAGAGTCTCACTCTGTGGCCCAGGCTGGAGTGGAGTGATGCAATCTCGGCTCACGGCAACCTCCACCTCCTGGGTTCAAGTGATTCTCCTGCCTCAGCCTCTTGTGTAGCTGGGATCACAGGTGTGTGCCACCACACCAGGTAAATTTTTGTATTTTTAGTAGATATAGGGTTTTGCCATTTTGGCCAGGCTGACCTTGAACTCCTGACCTCAGGTGATCCTCCCACCTTGGCCTCCCAAAGTGCTGGGATTACAGGTGTGAGCCACTGCACCCAGCAAAGCTATTACTTTTTAATGAATGATTTATTCTAGAAATTCCCAATCTTTTGGGGCTTGTCATACTCTTATTTTTAGAGTTGTGCTATTCTCAACTCTGCCTGTTTTCTAAAAGAGCTTATATTTTAGACCATGAGCTAGCATGTCAAGAGAATTTAAATTATTGTGATCTCTTGAGGCAGTTTATAAAAATGTGTGAGTTTTCTGTTTTTACAATCACTGGACTCCTCCCATCCTGGGACAACATCAGGATGGCAACGTACTGATCTGTCATCTTCTTCTAGTGTAGGATGAGCTGCCACTCTGTAAAACTAGGCATTGCTTAACCCAGGTACTTCTGTATACATACACCAAACAGTATGGCCCCCAAACAGCAGGTGATTGTTATTTAATGCACAGAGCTAAACAGAGTAATTATAGGTTCCGAGGTAACAGGCCACATGGATGGAAGCTGCCTCAGTTCGGGCTTTCTTTGCATGAAAGTGTTCTAATTATATCTTTAATGGCCTAGAATTCACAAGAAGCTAAGAAAGCAATACATTGATATTCTTTCTGGGATTGTATTGGTTGATTGTTTTTGTTTTGTAAAGTTACACAAGGAAATGTTGAAGAGTCTATCAATACTTCAGCAGAGGTGCTTATTCCCTCTGAAACTGGCAGATCCTAGCCTTGAGACATACCCTGCCGTATAATACTTTATTTAGGTTTTGATTTTTTGAAAAGTGGGTTTCAGGGTCTGAAAGATAACTCCTTTTGAAAGCACGTCTTTTTGGTTTTCAGGGTCTGAAAGATAACTTTCTTATGTTGGTATTCTAACAAATACTGATTGCAATCATCTTGTGTAGCTTTAGTTTAACTCTAAGCTATAAAGTAGAACGAAGTCCTTACTGTTTGCATTTTCTTAATGGAAGATAGTTTAACAGCATTGTATTTCACCCAGATTTTAACTCATTATAGTTTTATAAGCTTAGGAGAATATCATTTTCATTGAAAAGCTATAAACATCATTTCTATTTCTTGAGCCATATGGAATGCATGATTAAATAAATAGAAATCATATAACAGTACCTACAAAATTATTTTTATTATATTTAATGCATTAAAAAAGCAAAAGGGTATTTTAAAACTGAGACTAGTGATGACTTCCTTCTGGAGTCTACTGTTAGTGTGTGTTTATCATATGCCAATCAACCAAGCAAATCTATGAATCGGCCATTTTAATAGGGGAAAAAAGTGGGTCAAACCAATTGTTTGGTCTTATATAGCTAAACTGATTGGTCAAATGACCTAAATTTTGCTGGCCAACACGTTGTCATGATGTCTTGTAGCATCATGTCGTAGTCCAAATTGGGATATGAAACTGCTCCAGCAAAAGTGCCCTTGTGGTACCTTTGCTACATTACTGAGTAGCACATCGGGAGGGCCTTCCTTTAGATGCATTTCCACTGACCACTGCAATCTTTGGGACCTTCTTAGAAGCATTGTGGTTGCAGTAGCACCTTTAGGCATTGGTGGAAGGATCAGTCCTGCTGGCAGGTATCACTGTAGCCTGGTAGCTTTCATGTTTTAGGGCCAGAGTAGTCAAAAGATTGAAAAAACTATCTGATTATCCTCCTGGTTTTTTCTATTTTTAGTGTTATTTTACTTTCTTTTCTCTCCATTGAAGAGAAAGTGATTTTCCCAAGCTCAGGAGGAAAGAGTTACCTCCCTACTCTCTCCCATAGTCTCACCTACAACAAGATGAAAAAGTGAAATAATCCCACTTTATAGATTCATGAATTCTGCTTTTGCTTGTGGTGTGATCATCTAAAAATACCTACTTAACTTTCTCATTGGATGTTTAATATAGGCTTATATCAAACTAAAACTCAAGAGAATATGGAAGTACTATACTGTTCAATTCTTTTTTTTTAAATTTCTTAAACTAATGGGCTCAAGTGATCCTCCTGCCTCAGCCTCCCAAAGTGCTGGGATTGCAGGTGTGACATGAGGTCTTGATTGGCCCCAAGAGTTCCTGAAGTGACCCCGGTAGGTGTCTGTTTGCATGACAGGCAGAGGCTAGGTCTCAGCCTCAGTAAAGCATGCCTTGAAGCTCATGGGGGCACATTTCCAAGGCCACCATAATATCTGTCACTCTAATTTCATTCACCCAAGTTCCCAAGGGCTCAAACAGCAGTCCGAGGAAGAAGCTATAGTAAAGACCTGAGTGACAAAGGAAAGAGCTATTTTCCTAACACTCCTATATCACATGCCAGGACTTGTGGCCATGGCCTACGTGATAGCTCAGCCACTGGTGTGGACAGTGGGCACTTTCTCCCTTTATCATTGGGATATGAAACTGCTCCAGCAAAAGTGCCCTTGTGGTACCTTTGCTACATTACTGAGTAGCACACTGGAAGGGCCTTCCTTTAGATGCATTTCCACTGACCACTGCAATCTTTGGGACCTTCTTAGAAGCATTGTGGTTGCAGTAGCACCTTTAGGCATTGGTGGAAGGATCAGTTCTGCTGGCAGGTACCACTGTAGCCTGGTAGCTTTCATGTCCACAGCCACCGATGGCATCTTGACCAAAAGCCAGAGAAAAGGACAGTGGCAGGTGCCACGCAGTAACTTACAGAGCTCAAGCACCCCAGAAATAACCTCTCATGTCCCAGAAAGGAAGATGAGGGTTTGAGGGGACTGGCCATTCTGCAGTTATGGGAGGTCAGAGGAGAGCCAGCACAGAGCAATGCCATTTTGTCATGGCAGAATGATCCTATTGTTATTCCCGGGCTGGAGTGGTGTCACAGAATATGGGCCTGAAAGGCTGTGAATTTCTTGTCTCTCAAGCTAAAAGCAAAAAAATCCTCTTTGAAAATTCAGAGAGAAACTCTTTCAGTGCAGAATTGCTGTCAAAACTGCGTTATCTTGTCAACCAGGGTGTCAATTAAACCGGGCTTGAAGAAGCATGTTCGGAGGTCCCCACCACGCCTGGTGTCTTGGAATTTCGTGTGGCAATCCTCCACATATAGTGCATGCAGCGTTTCTGTCACAATGTGAGAATGGGAATCATATGCTCTGTCTTCCTGAGGGGGAAAAAATATTCTTTAATGTTTTGCAGAAATGACACTGTTTTTCATGATCGGGTGCATCTCACGTCTGCTGTTCGGCTCAATACATTAGATTCACATCCTCCTGGCTGTTTCCACAGGCTGCAGTGGGGAATCAGCATTTTTCTCTGCTATGAGTTTGGAAAGTACGTGTCTATTTCCCTTGAGAAAAGAGAACGAGACTAAACTCTTCTCTCCCGTATTTCCACCTTGCCCTCTGCCATCTCATTTACTGTGTGACAAGTGTGTTAGTTTGGTCTTGAAAACATCTCCCCAGAAATACAAACTTGCCATTGGAATAACGGACATAGCTGAGGTGTCATCAGCATTTTCTTTGCCATCATTTACTGTATAGAAATCAACTTGGTTCTTAATGGGACTTTGCAAGATATAATCTCACAGTACATTTCAAGACAGAAGGGGGCCATATGGTCTATCCAAACCCATCCACCTGTCTGTCTAATGTTGGTATCATGGAATTTTTTTCTTCCTTGTCTAGCTCTTCTTTGAATATCCTCACAGTTGCATTGTTTCATTGTTGCCTTTGGTAGACCATTTCACACCTTAATTATTCTCTGCATAAAGAAGTTGGGTACTTTTTTTTCCCTTCCTAAAGGCTGAAGGGGGAAAAGGCTGACTATGACTAACCTGAATCTTATAATAGCAGGTGGGCAGTTAATTGGGAAATGAAAGCAACCTAACACCAATTTGCAGAAGTGTTCAGATTTCATGAGTAATTGCCATGTAAAAGGTAACTTGGCGGTGGGCTCAGTGAAGCTGAACAGCAGACAGAGCCTAAATATGGCTATGGCATTTCTGACATATGTTCCTTGCCTAGAGGTATAGTAAAAGAAAGGGGTTGTTCCTGGATGTAAACCTTGAATCCAAAGACATAGGGCATTTTTCAAAAAAAAGCAAACACCAATGAGGCCGGGTATTTTCAGTGGAGTCAGATGAGCTCTGTGAGTTGAAGTGACTTTTCTCATCATGGAGGCTGGGGTGTCACGGTTGCAGCATTTGGTTGAGTGCAGGTACAATCACCGGAGGCCAGCTTTCTCTCTCTAACCCAAGAGAATCCCTGCACAATGCAATCTTGAGGAAAGAGCCTGCATTTTACACTGCCCCCACCTTTTTTTTATTTTTATTTTTTTTGAGACAGAGTTTCGCTCTTGTCACCCAGGCTGGAGAAGTTGGAGAGCAGCAGTGCAGTCTTGGCTCACTGCAACCTTCACCTCCTAGGTTCAAGTGATTCTCCTGCCTCAGCCTCCCAAGTAGCTGGGATCACAGGCACGTGCCACCATGTCCAGCTAATGTTTATATTTTTAGTAGAGATGGGGTTTTGCCATGTTGGCCGGGCTGGTCTCGAGCTCCTGACCACAGGTGATCCACCTGCCTCAGCCTCCCAAAGTGCTGGGATTACAGGTGTGAGCCACCGCGCCCCACCCATTTTACCCTTTTTATAGCTATGCAGGCCCTGTTAGTGTCAGAGGTGTTTGAACCAGAGCGACTCCATCTTGAATGGGGGCTGGGTAAAATAAGGGTGAGACCTACTGGGCTGCAGTCCCAGGAGGTTAGGCATTCTAAGTCACAGGATGAGACAGGAAGTTGGCACAAAGTAGAGGTCACAAAGAGAACAACTGTGGTAAAGAAGCTGGCCAAAACCCACCAAAACTGAGACTGCCATGAAAGTGACCTCTGGTCATCCTCACTGCTCATTATACACTAATTATAATACAGTAACATGCTAAGAGACACTCCCACCAGCACCATGACAGTTTACAAATGCCATGGCAACATCAAGAAGTTAAGCTATATGGTTTGAAAAGTGGAGGAACCCTTTTCCGGGAATTGCCCACCCCTGTCTCAGAAAATACACAAATAATCCACCCCTTGTTTAGCATACAATAAAAAAATAACTAAAAGTATAATTAGTCGAGCAGCCCACGCTGCTGCTCTGTCTATGGAGTAGCCATTCTTTATTCATTTACTTTCTTAATAAACTTGCTTTCAGTTTACTCTATGGACTCGCCTTGAATTCTTTCTTGGGTGAAGTCCAAGAACCCTCTCATGGGGTCTGGATCCGGACCCCTTTCCAGTAACATAAGAGTGCCTTGCACATAACTGGTTCTCGATAAATAGAAGGGTGTTTGATGGAAATATGGAAGGTGTGGGCCTTCCAGCCCATCTTGAAGGGTGTATTCAGACTGAAACTTTTGAGTAACCTGTTGCTTGTCCCAGCTCCAAAGATGAGAGATCCTAAGTTTCCTTCTGACTTCCTTCTCCAGTATGTCTTTTCTCCTCCTTCTCCCTAACGTTCTATCCCAGTTTTCCAGCTGGATAGTTAAGTGGTCTTCCCGGCAGAATGCAACTGCACATCTAACTCATATTCCTGAGTAGAGCCAGGAAGAGTTTTACTGAATCCTGTGCCACAGGCTGCCTCATGTGCCGGAGAGCCTTATACCATTCACCAGGCGATCTTGGATGAAGGGCCAGTGAAACAGGAAAGGTCCCCTTGTCCCCCTCACAGGGGGTGCAACAGGGGGAGTAGCTCACTTCTTCCGTGCCTAGCTGCTCAAACCTCTTGGGAAGCATACAAGGTGGGCAGGTTGTGGGGCTCCAACCCCACGACAGCTTCTGGGGTGAATATTTATAGCTCCTGAAGCCCCAGTGGGCGTGTGTTACATACAGAGTGCTCTTTTAATTTTACTCTTTTAGTTTTCCATTTATAGGCTTGTGTTAACCAGCTCAATTACACCCTCTACCTTGTCGCAAAGACAGCAGGCTTTCTGTATTGCGGGTTCTTGCCTTGGTATACCAGAAGAATCGGATCACACCTGGGCTTGGAGAAGGAGCGAAAGGTTTTATTGAGCGGAAGTGGCCCTCTGCAGATGGGGAAGCCGGAAGGGAGCTGGCTTTTTCCTTGGAGTTAGGCCGCTCCACAGCCTGACTCTTCTCCGACCACTCAGGCCAAACTCTGCATCATTGTGCTGGTCAGTGGCCTGCCGGCTTGTCGGTGTCTGTCCGTGTGCTCTTCTGCTAACGTGCCCTTCTCGACGTCCAGCCACTTGTGTCTTCTTCCGGCGATGTGTTCCTCACGATGTCCAGCTACTTGTGTCTGCCTGCTAGGGTATAGGGCCAGGATGGGGGTGTGGCGGGCCAGGGTAGTCTTGGAAATTGCAACATTTGGGCGAGAAGACAGGACTGCCTGTCCTCATCTAGGCCCTTGGGGGTGGAGCCCTAACCGGGGACCACGCCCTCCTCTACCCAGCACTCCCCTTTCCACTTCGGTATCATTTAAAGGGACCATGCTCTTCTCTCCCCAGCACTTCTGTATCACCAGGATGGGGATCCTTTAGATGGGAGAGCTTCGTAAATGCACTCTGGACTGAAAAGCCCAACAGCTTTGGGGCTCAAACTGTCGATGGCCCAGAGGCGAATTTTCTATCCATAGACATCTCCGTGAGAGTGAAGAGATCGAGTCCCTCACTGACTGTGCCCTGTAAACAACTGCTGTATTTGGCTGGGGCCCTGAATTCTGCCATAAGGTGCCCAGGCTCCTGACCAAGTCATAACCAAGACAGGACATAGCAAGCCTCAAGAAAAGGTTACCTTAAGGGAGGCAGGGAGGTGGTCACCAAGACACAGAGAACACGTGTGGACTGAGAAAATTAACTTTAATGGGGGCATTTAAGGCATATGGGAAAGCATTTGGAAGAATCACAATTTTCATGCTGGCTTCCCAAGTCCCTAAGAAAAAAATTCAGAAAAGGTCTCTTCACCATTTGTGAATTGTGAAATAAACACATCTCAAGGGGAGTGTGTGGGTGTGTGTACATATTAATATTCCAGGGGTGGGGGAAATATTGACACGGATGATTTTGGAAGTACTTGCAATTCCTGCCCAACTCAGACTCATCTGAAATGGGTGTGTTTCAAAGGCTCAAAGGCTGCCAGATTCCTTTTGAAAGGAAATGTTTCTTCCCGTTACCTTTCAAAGTCAGCTCGCGGAGTTTAGCCAAGAGCTGTATTTCAATGTGTTGATGTCACTTAACAAGAGGAAGAGGAAGCGTTCCTCTCTGAGTGGGGTTTAGAGGGAGCCAGGAGAGTAACTGCAGCCACGTTAGCAAGGAAATGTGCCTGATGACTTAGCTGGGGCTTTTGTATCTTCCCCATTTACTAACAATTTACTAAATGCCTTCGCTAAAGTGTCTTTTTTCTGCTCCCATTGTTCTATGTAACTGAAACAAGCCAGCATAGCATTGTCATCTAAGTCAATAATGGTCACAAAAGCGCTTTCTCTCCTTCTGCAGCAGGGTGCCTGCAAAACATAAAAGAGGGTAGTGATGCACCCGAGCAAATTACCCTCCCAATCTCATTTAAATAACGTCTTCCCCTCATCTATGCAAAACTCAGATGAATATTTACAACATCCAGGAATAGGTACCACAGGAAAGAAAGAAAGAATAATAATAATAATAATAATAAAAACCCCAACCAACCCAACCCAACCCCGCAAGTGTAATCATTCTCAAAATGCTCCGGAAACAAAGTGTTCTAGCTGTGGTTGCCCGGCAACAGGCCCACTGTAGTATTCTGCCTGGGTACGTGTAAAGTGGAGCCGTCTTTTCTGCACAGAGTGTGCACTATCATCGTAACAGCAGAGACGGAGAGCAAGATGTGAGGAGGTTAAAAGTCAGGGTCAGAAGTTCAGGTTGCTCTGACCCTCAAATCAATTTCAAGCACTGTTTGTGACATTTTCCTGTGTTCCCTCGCTTGATGTTAGTCTTTGCAATGAACCACCGAATCAGACTTCAGGGCTCATGGGACTTTGGGGTTTCAGTAGGGTCAGGTCAATTTCTACCTACCAGTGTACTGTCACCTATGAGGCAAACCATTATCTAGGCGTTTGAGAACCTCAAAGTTTTGAAGCTCTGAGGGGAAAGAGAGAGGATGAAGCGCTGGGGCCCCTGTGTCTTTGGGGCCTGACATAGCTCAACCTGTGGCTTCAGGGGGACCGTGTGCAGCCAGGTCACAGTGGTACCGGAAAGGGATCCT
The DNA here is from genome assembly GCF_000001405.40 of Homo sapiens. Lineage (NCBI taxonomy): Eukaryota > Metazoa > Chordata > Mammalia > Primates > Hominidae > Homo > Homo sapiens. The sequence goes on along the minus strand of NC_000010.11, from coordinate 33,772,234 downwards.
GATCCAGACCCCAAGAGAGGGTTCTTGGATCTCGTGCAAGAAAAAATTCAGGGTGAGTCTATAGAATAAAGTGAAAGCAAGTTTATTAGAAAAGTAAAGAAACAAAAGAATGGCTATTCCGTAGGCAGAGCAGCCCCGAGGGCTGCCGGCTGCCTATTTTTATGGTTATTTCTTGATTATATGCTAAACAAGGGGTGGATCATTCATGAGTTTTCTGAGAAACGGGTGGGGATTTCCTTGAAACTGAGGGGTCCTCCAGCTTTTAGACCGTATAGGGTAACTTCCTGATGTTGCCATGGCATTTGTAAACTGTCATGGTGCTGGTGGGGGTGTCTTTTAGCAGCTAATACATTATAATTAGCATATAATAAGCAACGAGGACTACCAGAGGTCACTTTCATCGCTACCTTGTTTTTGGTGGATTTTGACGGACTTCTTTATTGCAACCTGTTTTACAGCAAGGTCTTTGTGACCTGTATCTTGTGCTGACCTTCTGTCTCTTCCTGTGACTTAGAATGCCTGACCTCCTCGGAATGCACCTGAGTAGGACTCAGCCTCATTTTGCCTAGCCCCTGCTCAAGATAGAGTCACTCTGGTTGGAAGGCCTTTGGCAATAGGATTGGCAACTCAGAGAAAGCTGGTCCCTGGCATGGGCATCTCTCCCAAGGCATTCTTCCAAAGGTATAGGGATCATTTTTTATTCTCCTTTTTAACAAATGTATATGTACAGGGGAAAAAGAGGAAGAAGGAGAAATCACATAAAATAATACGTCCTCATATGGCCTTAATCATTGGTCCTAATAGAGTTATGAAAGCGTGGATACCTGAGGCTGCAGTGTACTCAGACCCACCCCCAACCCCCTCCCCACAGCTGGACATGATACCTAGGGTGGTTCCAAATCTCACAGGACTTTTCATTTTATTTCTAGATCATTTTAAGATGATCTCATGAACCTAAGCAATAGGTGACTTCATTTTTGAGTTTTTTCTTATTTATTGGTTATTAATTTATAATATAATTAAGGAGTTTTAGTCACTACAACTCACAATTATTTGGGGGGAGGGGTTCACATAATTGCTTAATTTGTGACTTATCTGAGCAAAATATTAACAATACCCCTGAAAACTCCCACCTAAAATTTCCCCAAATATCTCTGTGATTAGAATAACTTTCCTGCTCAAAGCTCTTTAGTGAGTACCCCGTTCCTCCGAATAACATTTAAGCCCCCTAGTTTAGCAATTTTGCTGCCTGGCCCTGACCTACCTTTCTAAGGCTTATCTCCCACTACTTCCCTCTGCGAAATCTGGGTTCAATCAAACCAAAAGTGCAACTGGATAAAGCCGAAGCTGCGCAGCAGGGCGTCAGGGCATCTGCCTGCTAGTCAGCTCCCTCCTCATTGACAGTGTGATTGTGGGCAGGCACCCTCTTCCCGTCTCTTGGTCTTCATTTCCTAATAAATGCATTGGAGGAGTGAGACCAGGTGCTTTCTAAGATCTCACACTTTTAGATCCTGGATTCTTCAAAGAGTTTTAGGCTGTTGACCACCCTGTCATTTCAGAAGCTTTCTTCTCTTGGATTTCATGATATTGTTCTCTCTTGGTTTTCTCTCTACTTCTCTAATGCTTCTTTTTAGTTTGTTTCTCATGTAATGCATCCTCTATTCCAGGATGAATGTTGATAAGACCTGTCCTCAGCAATCCTCTCTTTCAATTTTCTGGATGATCTCAACCATGATCACAACTCTGTGTAATGCCCCAGAGCCTATTTCTGTAATCTCCGTCTCCATCTGAGAAGGCCACCCTGAGTTCCAGTTACATGCTCCAACTCCACCAGACTTCTCCAATGGGGCGTCTCAGGCACTCCCATCTTAGCGTTTCTAAGCCTGAACTCATGATCTTTCTCCTCAAACTGGTTGTTCACCATGCTTTACTCCCACATTTTGTTTAGTGATATCTTGCAAGCCACAGACTTCACAGTCATATTAGAATGCTACCTTTCCCTAACTTCCAACAGATACTCTCAGGTAAGTCATCAAAGTCTGGCCATTTTTTATTCCAATTAAATATCTCTTGAGTCTCTCCTTTCTTCTCCAACCCCAGTGTCAATACCCTTGTAGAGACCTGACTGCTCTTCAGGTCTCCTAGCTAGTTTCCCTGCCTTTAGAATGACCAGCCACCCTGAGGCTTTCATTCTGCTGCCAGTGCCATCTGTATAACATGAAGTATGATCAAGCCCTTTCTTTTCTAAAATCTGTTGGTGTTTCGTCATAGCCTATTGTGTGAAGTCTGATATCCTGAGCATGATGTACAAGGCCTTTGTGATTGGTGCTGTCTCATTTCTCTCGATCTGCCCCATGCACCAGGAAGATGTCATTACTTTGAGTTCATGACTGGTCCATGCTCTCTAACACCTCTATACCTTTTCAATGTGGCCCTCTCTGCCTAAAATAATCCTACTTACTCTTCTCCTTCTCTGTGCTTCTCTAATGCCCTAGCCATGCCTCTGTTTTCTGTTGTATTGTTTTTTTCTGTGTGTGTGTGTTTCCCGCCATTGGATTGAAAGCTACCTGAGGCCTAGGACTGCCCTCATTTTTTCACTTAGCTCATTACTGGAAGGAAGCTGGCATTTGTATAATTCTTGAAGGCTGAGAGTGATGGCTCATGCCTGTAATCCCAGCACTTCGGGAGCCCAAGGTGGGAGGGTCGTTTGAGCCCAGGAGTTCAAGGCCAGCTTGGGCAACATAGTGAGACCTTGTCTCTACAAAAGAATTTTAAAAATTAGCCGGGTGAGGTGGCATGTACCTGCAGTTTCAGCTATTCAGGAGGCTGTGGTGAGAGGGTTCCTTGAGCCTGGAAGGTCAAGGCTCCAGTGAGCTATGGTTGCTCCACTGTAAAAATAAAAGAAAAAAATATATATATATATATACACACAAAATTGTTAAGTAAACAGTTGAGTCTGTATGGTTTATTCACTCTCTGATAAATGGGTCTTGCATTTTTCTTGAATGATCTCTCTATTTCTCTTTGACTTTCCATATAATATTTAAATTTGAATATCTCATTCTTTCCTTCTCTAAGCCTTTTCCAAATATTCTAATCTAAAGAAACAACTTCATCTTCAGAAATAACTTATTATCTGTCATGTATTTCATAATTAACATTGCCCGTGTCAGTTCCTGCTCCCCAGGTAAGGTATTTGAAGTGTTAACTTTGTCTTGCCCACAATGATTTGGCAATCATGGTCTTCAGAAAGTACTTTTTTCTGTGTTGATTATTACTGGTGAACCTGGTTTACTGATGCCAGTCTTGTCATGTCTTTTTTTTTTTTTTAAGACAGGGTCTCACTCTGTCACCCAGGTTGGAGTACAGTGGTGTGAACTCAGGTCACTGCAGCCTCCTGGGCTCAAGCCATCCTCTCACCTTAGCCTCTGGAGTAGCTGGAACTACAGGTGTGCACTACCATGCCTGGCTAATTTTTTGTATTCTTAGTAGAGATGGGGTTTCACCATTTTCCCAGGCTGGTCTTGAACTCCTGGGCTCAAGCAATCCGTCCACCTTGGCCTCCCACAGTGTTGGGATTACAGGCATGAGCTACTGTGCCTGGCCATTGTCTTTTCTATTTAGTGCCATTTTTATACCACCACAGAGTGGTCACTTAATATCTTAGCCATAAAAAATGGAGCTGGTACCATTTCTTTTCTTCTCTAAGAGTCTGCTTGCTTCTCTTATTTGTTTGTTTAATATTTAAAGAAATAAAGCAAGGTGTCACAGTTACATTATAGAAAATGTTGCCATGACAAACACTTATATTAAAGAAATTCTAGTCTTATCTGTGCTTCGAAGATATGTCCATTTTAATTAATCTTACAAGGGGAGCTCAGAGAAATTTTGGTTCTCAAAGCAGTAATATCAAAAGACAAACTCCAAATGGGAATGGTTTTGGAAAGCAGGTGACGAGGAATATGTGTTATTAAGATCTACTGGTTGTGTAAGAGCTGTTATTATTCATGATTCTGCTTTATATGCTTAATATTTTCTTCAGAGGTTTAGGCAAAGATTATTGCTGTATTTCTGCAGTCATTGCAAAAACCCAGCATGAAACTCAAGACTAGGAATAGATAAACCTTTAAAAAAAAATAAGGTTTGGGTGAGGATAGGTATCCCACAGTACACTGGACATTTCATAGAACTTATCTGATGCCCTCTTGGGAGACTGTCAGAAATTTTGCAAATATTAGGAGAGTAGACTTTCCGGGGCTGCTTCTGTGCTCCACTTCTGCCTCTAACAAAAAGAAAAAATATAAAATTATGCAATTAAAAAGCTATTAGTTAAGTCCTTTCAGGCCAGAATGGAGCCTGGACTGGAGTTTGGGGTATATGTTTTATTTAGCCCTGAAATTTATAAAACAAAATTTTAGTCTTTGGTGAAACTTACATTCCTAGAAACCCACTGGAAAAAAATAGTTGTTTATCACCTTAAAAATATGCATTATCCTTTTATTTAAGTGCTTTTAATGTGGTGAGCAATATTTTATATCAGTCTCAACTTTTAATTTCATAAAATCCCAACTTTTAATTTCATACAATCCAACTAGTCAAATGCAGCCACCACAACTGAAATTACCTTCTCACCTCTAGCCCCTTAGGTTAAGAAAGTTTACTGGGAGGGTTCAAAGGATGCCTTGGAAGACTTTACTGAATAGAAGATGTGATCAGAAATGGCAAAAGAACTATGTTGGATTCTAATTTGTGGGGTTTGTGATATTTACTAACTTGGTTTGTGAAAATTGGGTCTTGGAACTAAGACTTTCTTATGAGAAATATATCTAACTTTGCTTCCACTAAGTTTAACAGTACAATTAACAAAATCCTGTTACTCCCTTCCCAGCTGATGGCACTAAGGCTGAACCCAGAAGCTGCAGCAGTGGACGGATGATGATCTGAAGAAATGAGATCCCTGATGGGCTTGGAAGTCATGGTTCCTGTAACCATGATGTCACACCCTCGTCCTGACACCGAGATGGGCTGGACACATCTGTCACCCAGGGCAAACAAAATGCTTGGTCTGCATCTTTCAGAAGAAAACTAAAAATCAAGTAATTTCTTAGAAGTTTGCTTGCGTGTGGCTTAAGTCTTCTTCTCCTGTTGAGGAAGGTGTTGAGTTTGACCATGACAGCCCCACCCAGTCCTTGGCTCATCTCACCCATCAAAGAGGATCTGGAGATTCAGAGCTATGCCGTGGAAGACCTTGTCAGAGCACCAGGCCATACTGTGCTGCAGGTGGGGTTCAGGTGCCCAGTGACAACCACCGGGGCCGCTCATCCCTAAACGTCTGTTGAACTTAAAGTTCTACTCAAGACTTTCTACATTAAATACCCTTTCATACAGCAAAATCAGCCATGTTCTGAGATGTGAAACTGCAGCACAAAGTTACTGTGGTCTCCACCTATAGAAATGGAATGTTACTTCATAAAGCCCCAGGCCAAAAAAGAAACCCCAAAACTCTGAAACGACACCCTTAAATTTAACCTGAACATCTGGCCAGCCTCCTCCATCATTGAAACTTCTCCTGAGTGTTGGCATGGATCCTATGTTTCTCCAGCCAGGGAGCTTTGCTCCCCATTCTTGATGGACCCACTGAGTCCCAATTTTCTACATTTTACTTGGGTCATTCCACCACTTTGGGATGCTTTTCCTACTCTGTTGTACTTTAAAAATGTTTCTTCTTTCCTATTCTCAGCTTCACGCATTTGTCTTCTTTCTCAATTCAACTTGCTTAGTTCTCGCTACATCAATTCCTAGAGCCATCCATCTGCACTTCTGAATCATTTAAGTTTTGTTTGGCTACAAGTAATGGAAACCCACTCTGAGTAACTCAAGCAAGAACTGGAATTTATTGGAAGGACAGTGGGATATATCATAAGATCCAAAAAGAATTGAACAAATAAAATTTCAGAGGGAAGAAAAAGGGCAGCTCCAGTGACTTCAGCAACAAGACAACATAAGTCTTTCTAGAGCATAGCTACTAATATTATTCAGCTGCAAGAGCCCCTCCCCATGAGAAACTTGATTGAAAATTCTGATTTCCCACAGAGAAGAATCTGATCGACTCAGTTTAGCTTTGGTTGCCCAACTGCTCAATCTTGCATGAATTATTTCCAGCCAAGGGGACAAGGTGTATTATAGGGACACACCTGCTTTCTCCAAAGAAAAGATCTGGGCATTTCCTGATCATTTCCCTGAGAAGGAGGAATCATTGTGAGCCAAGAAGATACCTCAAGTATAATGAGCTCAGTTACACTTTTTTGATATCTGAGTATTTGGTATGTAGTGTGCATTTTAAAAAACATGTCTCTCTCCAGGACAATGTTAACCTCTTCCACGGTGGAGTGGGGCTATGTGATTTTGTGCTTAATTTACCTAGCTGGTGGGCCTCCAGTAGAGGCTGTAGTCGAGCCAGCTGATACCACATCAGTTCTCCAAAGGTAAGTTTCTCTTGGCTAATATTCCTTCTCTCAACTTAATAAACACCCACTATACACCAAGATACATTGAAAATTTAAAGGTAAATTAGATATGATCACTTTTCTTAAGACATAAAATCTAGTAGATTTCCTATATAATGAATATTTTTTAATTTTTATTTTTAGAGACAAGTTCTCAGTCTATCACCCAGGCTGGAATACAGTGGCAAAATCATAGCTCACTCACTGCAACCTCAACTCCCGAGCTCAAACAATCCTCCTGTCCCTGCCTTCCAAGTAGTTATGACCACAGACACATGTCACCACGCCCAGTTAATTTTAAACAATTTTTTTTTTTTTTTTTTTTTTTGTAGAGACAGGGTCTCACATGTTTCCCAGGCAGGTCTTGATCTCCTGGCCTTAAGCAATGCTTCTGCCTTGGCTTCCCAAAGTGCTAGGATTACAAGTGTGAGCCCTTCACCCAACCTATATGAATAATATTTTAAGGATATTTTAATAAAAAAATACTTTCAAAAAATTATCATTAGACCCATTTTGAAGGTTCTCAGAAGCTGGGCAGTTTCTGCTTGAGTTATCAAGTGGGCTCCACTTTAGGCAAGCTTTTGGAGACTCACTGTAAAGTACAGGACTCTAAGTGACCACATCTCTCAAATACAGTGTTTTTTATTATCTCCTGACATTTGGAGCTTAAGGAAATATACAATGACATGATTTTTTTCCCTCTAACAATCCAAGACAACATTGGAAGACCACACACGTCTCCACTTTATTGACATTTTGCATTGTGCTTGCAGGTGCTATCTTTAGAGGTGTGATGTTGCTCTTGTACTATGTATATAAATGCTTTCTATGACTCAGGAATTCTATTGCATTTACATGAAACTTGTTAGAGTAGAAAGAGACTGGAGTAAGCTAGACTTGGGTTTCAGTCTTTTCAACTTTACAGCTTACTAGCCTCATGACTTTGGCCAAGTTACTTTCTGAGACTTGGTTTCTTTATCAGCAAAGTGGAATAATGATAATACATATTTTACACATATGTGTAATAATATAATATTACACATATGTGTAATAATAATAATACATATTTCCCATAACATTGTTATGGGAAATAAGTATGATAATATATGTAAAAGGGGCCAGGCACGGTGGCTCACATCTGTAATCCCAGCACTTTGGGAGGCCAAGGCAGATGGATCCCATGAGGTCAGGATTTCGAGACCAGCCTGGCCAACATGGTGAAACCCCGTCTCTACTAAAAATACAAAAATTAGTCGTGAGTGGTAGCACGCTTCTGTAGTCCCAGCTATGTTGGAGGCTGAGGCACAAAAATCACTTGAACTTGGGATGTAGAAGTTGCAGTGAGCCGAGATCATGCCATGGCACTCCAGCCCAGGCAATGAAGAGAGACCCTGTCTAAAAAAATTATATCATATATTTTATATATATATATATATATATATATATATATATATACACATACATACACACACACACACACACACACATATATGTGAAAGGGCCTGCCAAATGTGTGTGTGTGTGTGTGTGTGTGTGTGTGTGCGCGTGAGAGAGAGCGAGAGAGAGAGAAAGGACCTGCAAAATAGAAAAATCAGTATATATTTTCTTGCCTCCAGCACAGTAAAACCATAAATCTCCTTCCCTGGGCCTGCATCTCATTATAGATGCCTCCTCTGTGTCCTAGCCTGCAAAGACAAGCAGCTCAGGGAGGATGGGCAGGTGGGTTCCTATTCCTTCCAAGGCAGCCCAGCTTGATAGTATCCAATGATTTCTGAGGCTGCATGGCCATAGGCAGTCAAACTCTGGGTATCTGAACAGAAGGCTGAAACCATAGAATCATTACCCTGTGACTGCTGGCACAGCTTTGTGTATTCTACAGAGGCTTACTATATAGTTTATTTTGACACACAGACAAAGATGCTTAATGTAAGGAACTGCTACAGGTTAATCAATCAATGGCTCCTGTAGTGGTTTTTATTTTTAAAAACAAGTGGATGAATAAACAAATTTGGCCTTGGGATGCCATTCAGCTCAAAGTCAGTGGCAATCACAAATGGCTTTAATAAATGAAAGAGATATTTTGGCATAGCCCATTGAGGCATATGAAGAGTAATGCCCTTGCCAGGATCATAGAGTACATTAGATACTCTACTTTAATTGCTTCTTATGAATGGAAGGGATGTAGGAAATGGAATTTTAATTTGTACATTTAAGTTATGTGATTGAAGTTGAGAAGGTCTTTGTGACCTTATGGATTTGAGAGAAAAAGAAAACTTTATAGGGCATAGCTGAAATTGGCATAAAAGTTATGTCCCATGGCTGACATTGCTGCTGTTTGATGCTTGCTGTCAAATTGTAGAAAAGCAAGACTTGAATCCCAGAGTGATTTTCTATGTGTGCATTTGCTAACAAATAAGGCTGAGTCTAGTTGGAACTTTGGGTTGTTCAGAAACGGTAGAAACATAATCAGTTGTTCTATCTTCCATTGCGAATTATTGGGTTGGTGGAAGCTTAAACTGTTTTTACACCACTTGCTTGATAATCAGACCCAGACTGTATGTTCTGGAAATATACTGACATATTCTATGACAAGCCTTGAGGGCTTCTAGCATGAATTAAGATGAAAACCCTAGAGTGGTATTGACATTTCATTTTTGGAAAAGCCAGAGAAGGCATAAGGAACATGGCTGGATGGCAGGCTGGGGTAGCTTCTTCACTTGGGCTCTGTTATCATTTTCCACAGCACTGTTTGCTGCCACACCCTGAAATGCATTCTTTGATGGTAGAACTTGCCCCCCATTTAAATTCCATGTGCCTATGACTTATTCGAAGGATGCCCTGAGTGCATTGTGTTTACAGCTCTTGTGCAGTCAGATCTCTGCCTCGTCTCCCGTAATTGTCAACCATCTTGGTTGCCCAATGAGAAGCAGCTTGATATGTGCATCAAGCCAACTCATTTTCTCTGTTTTCATGCCTAATTCCCCAAAATGAGTTTATTCCTCACAGTATATAAATAGATATTTGATATATATCTGACATATCATATGCCTGAAAAATCTGACATACATGTACAACAATGAAAATAAACATTAGACCAAAAATAAATAAATAAAAATAAAAAAGAGATAGGGCTTTTTCCTAGCTAATTATGTGATCCTGAGTAAATAAATAATGTGTCTTCTTTGGACTTCTCATTTCTCATCTTTAAAATTCATAAACAAAAAAGTGAAAAGAAAAAATAAAAAAGAAGAAAAAAATTAAAAATCCACAAACAAGGTATAAAAATAAAAATAGATAATCTGTAAAAAGTATCTGAAAACTATTAAGGCCTATATAAATGGTGGATGTCTTAGTCTGTTTTGTGTTGCTATAAAACAGGGGTGTTCAATCTTTTGGCTTCCCTGGGCTACATTGGAAGAAGAATTGTCTTGGGCCACACATAAAATATACTAAAATTAATGATAGCTGATGAGCTAAAAAAAAAAAAAAAATCACAAAAAAAAATCATAATGCTTTAAGAAAATTTACAAATTTGTGTTGGGCCATATTCAAAGCCATTCTGGGTTGCCTGTGGCCTGTGGGCTGTGGGTTAGATAAGCTTGCTATAAAAGAATATCTCAGGCTGGGTAACTTATAAAGAAAAGAGGTTTATTAGGCTCATAGTTCTGCAGGCAGTACAAGAAGCATGGTGCCAGCATCTGCTACTGGTGAGGGCCTCAGGGATCTTCTAATCATGGTGGAAGGTGAAGGGGGAGCAGGCGTCACATAGCAAGAGAGGAGAAAAAGAAAAAGGAGGAGGTGCCAGGCCCTTTTTAACAATCAGTTCTCATGGGAACTCATAAAGCAGAGATGGCAACAAGCCATTCATGAGTGACCCACCCCCATGACACAAACACCTCCCACCAGGCCCCACTTCCAACACTAGGGGTCAAATTTCAACATACGATTTGGAGGGAACAAATATCCAAACGATATCCAGGGGCAGTATTTTAGTACTTGCTTTGAATGGAGCATATCACTAGGAAAGATGAAAAAATGAAAGACACAGTACCTGCCTTCATGAGATTGGTAATTTCCACAGGAATATCACACATATACACATATAAGAATTAGCCATGGGAGTCATTATATGCTCACGCATATAATGTAGGCAGGTGGCCTCCACCATGATCATAGTTCAAAACAATTGAAATCTTATAAACATTAAATTGTACACAAGCGTAAGGTGTTATTATTAACGATAAACATGATCATCATTTTACCATTTCCATATGACACTGATTATTTTAGAGATTGTTGCCATCTTTCTTGATGTCCTAGATTAGGTTCAAGATAAACCTACGTACATATCATTTATTTAATGCCTTTATATATCTTGCCTACCACTATATCCCAATACTTAAAACAATGTCTGAAGGTATGTCATGGAATGAATGGATGAGTCAGTTAATCAATCGATGAGAACAGAAGCTGCTTTTTATTTGGGCCCACCCATGTACTTTGTAATTCTGGAGAAAAAAATAAAACTGGTCTGGACACACACACACACATATTAGCTTCATCATACAAAAAGACATATCGGCATTGAAGACAGCAAGTACAGGGGCCTGGTAGGTATCTGAAAAACCTGTCTAGATAACTGTTGATCTCCCGCATCCATTGAGAACCATTAGTCTAATGTACCAAGGATTCTGTGTCTCTACCATGGTGGAGCAGGGAGATGGAAACCTTTCATGGACAGTTTCCGGCCTTCTAACTTTCTCTGATTCCTTACAGCCACCTAGAGCTCATGCTATTAAGACACTTGCTTAAGGTTACTATGTGAATTTAGGTCTGATTGAATCGTTGTTTTAACCAGGATATTGTTCTAAAAGCAGTTGGGGGGATGTAAAGCAAAATCTTAACCCATCGGTGTTCACCTAATGCTGGTCTTGATCAGTCTAAATGGAGTTGTTTCCCAGGAAGATAAACTACTCTAATCAGTTTCAATGCAATAGTTAACCCCTCAGGCCAGAGCATATGGTTGTCATTGTGCAGCTGCGCTGATAGAGTAGTTGGGCCCTTCTGAATGTTTGTCCCATTTTTACATAATTGCTGACCACCCATAATCTGCAAGGAATAATCAATTTTTTCTTTCCTTCTGATTGTCTAAGGAACAAAAGCTGCCCTTCCTTCCTTATTGCAAAGTTTGACAAAAAGCAAAACGTGAAGAATAAAAGCGACTTGCATTGTCTAACATCTACCGCAGTGTTTGAGCTGCAGCTGCTCCTCCTCCCCTGATTGTTTTCAAATATTTCTTCAAAAAAGGCATTAAAGAAAAACACAAGATATTGCACAGGGAACCAAAACAAATCACAATCTTCAAGGACAAAGCATTGCAAAATGGCTTACATCCCCAAATGGGAACAGATATGGTTGGAAATTAAAACAATCTTTTTTATTTTAAGCGGAAATGCTAGCAGATGCCACAAGAAACATATGGAACTCGCCACAGACAAATAGGGAATGCTTTCTGCGTGTGGAAGTAGAGCAAAGGGAGTGACCACCTCTGACTGTCAGGGGGAACCATCAGCTCGAACTGTTTGCTATGGCAGGAGGGAGTTTGCAGAGTCCGGAGTCCTGCCCTCATGAAAAAGCTTTAACGGTCTTGACTGAGTAATTTAAGTCATTCTTGTCAGGGAGTTTCAGAACACTATGCACAATTATATTTATTTCACAATGCATTGATTCCAGATATCTTTTTAAATGTGCTTACCTCTGTGTGCGTTGTTACCTGTTCCCTCTTTGAATCTCTGAATGAAACAAAATAAATAGGAAAAAATGGAGACATAGAAGCATTGTCCACAAGGCATCTCCCACTCTAGAGGTCTCCCAGCCCCGTGCTAGCTTGTTAATTTATTATCGCTTGTCTGTCAAACAAGGAAGATATAATTTGCCACACAACATGTTTTCCTAAAGCAATGTTTTTGTACAATTTCCTGATTTCCAAAAATATGACCAATGATATTCTGGTTGAGTTTTGTTGTTGTTGTTGTTGTTGTTTTAATTTCTCTGAAAATGGCAGCGATATAGCAATCATTCCCTTCCCCATGTACCACGTGGAATAATTTTACTGTGAGACTCAGAGAAGGCAATCACAAGCCATCGTTCCTTAAGTAGTATTTATCCTTCCCAAATAGTTCACTGGGGGGCGAGACAGGAATAAAATGCTTTCTATATACAAAAGTATTGTTTCTAAAGATGAAAAAAGCCTGAAATCCTGACTGACATTCAAGTTGGAGGTGCTGTGAATATGTGGAAAAATAGGATTTTACACAGTGACACCACCAATAAGCGTTCTGAAAGGCATGCTTGCAATGAAAGAGCTCCGTTTGGAACAACCCAGATTGTGGGCTAAAATGGTCTCCATGTGGCAGAGTATATTTGTGAATGAAGTGCCTGTCAATGAGGATAAATCAATTTTAACAGCTCATTTATTGATGAAACCAAGTCTAGTCTCAGCAGTTAAAGTGCTTTCTTGGAACGAGAACTAGAGGATTCATCTGTCTCACCTTAACGGATGAAAGAAAAGCTTCTCATAAAAAATGTTATGGCTCCTCTGCCACTGGAGCTTGGATGAGCTAATATTTGATAATTAGTTAACAGGGCAGTTGGGAAACTTAGAATGCCTGCTCTTTCCCATGCTTGTTGGATTCTGTGGAGTAAGGATCATTCAAATATGCCTAAAAATGAATGCTGTAATGGTTGTATTCTGGAATTATTTATCTTTCTAACTCCGCCTAACTTCTTTAACTCTATTTTTGATTTGACGACTCTGGTTTATTTACCATCCCAACACTGTGCCTGGCATTTTCCAGGCCTGAACTCACACACAGCTCATGGGAATGGCACCCCATGGAGTTGCGCAGTGCACAGCTGGGTGCACTGGCCCTGTATAGGTCACCTCCTCCCTGAGTCTGGAGACCTACTCGTCTTCCTTCCTAGTTGAAGTCCTGCTCTTTCCGCTCCTGGTTCCAGCTCTTCTGTGAAGCCCTTCCCCACTCTAACAGAAAACTCTTCTCTTGTATCTATGATGACCTCAGTCACTACTTGGAATTGACCATGTTTTGTTAGTTGTATACATGTGTCTGTTGAGAGACATGAGGTGATTGGAAGCTTCCAGGCAGAGTTGGAATGCTGTTTTCACTTCCCATAATGCACAAGTGTCTGCCGCCTTGATTACTGGCACTATGCCAAAAATCGAGGCATCGTTCTTGATCTTTCTCTCTTTATTACTTGCCTTTCTTCAAAGAACAAGTCCAGGCAGCTCTATGACCAAAATATATTTCTAGTCTTACCTCTTTCCACCACCTCATTGTCTATCTTCTTAGACCAAGCCACCATCATTTCTCACCTAGACAAGCCACCATCCTTTCTCACCTGGACAGCTGCCATTTGCCCCACAACTAGCTTCTGCTTTTACCCTTTTCCCTCAATAATCCATATTCCACATAGTATGTATTTTCTCCCCACCCCTGTTTAAAATATACCGTTAGCTTTTCATTGCAACTCACATAAAATCCAAAAACTGCATAGTTTATATTTGTCATTTTGTACATGCCTAGAATCTGAATCTCCCTTTCTACTTGGGTAAGCACTCACCACTGTATGAGCTTAGTGAGAGGTAAGACTGTGCTTTCTGTAGTGAGCTAATTTAAGCACTGGTGGTGACTTAATTGCTTTTTCAATTAGATTCAACAGGGGACTATGTTAAATGAAGTTGAGAGGGATATATATTGGTAAAATAAAAAGTGGGGAGTTCAAATTCTTCAGAGTTAGAAATGCTGGAGTAAATTTATTCTTGTAATTTGTCTTATTCTTTTCTTCTCCTCTGTGAGGGTTTAGAAGGTCTTCATTCATTAAGGACTTGAGAAACATGCTTTTGAAATGGTACCATCATCTTTGAAAAACATATCAGTGTCCCTCTTCTGTGAGCCCTGAAGTGAAAATACGATCCCTCATTTCAGTGTGGCTAGAAGGATTCTAGAGTGGAAGAGACTAACCAGCAGTGGATAAAGGTCAGAGGTGAAGAGGGGAGGGTGAGCATGATAGGCTATAGGTCCTGCCTGGGATGTGTGACAGTTGTTAATTGAGGATGGATCCTAAGACTGAGGTGGGAGAGGAGAAAGAGAGAGAGAGTCCTTTAAGTCCTCTTTTATATTAGAAATTCTATTTCTGTTAAGTAAAAAACAGAACTTTAGGATTCATGGAGAGAGGCCTGTTGAACCACATTGAGAGATGTAAAAGCTCCTCATCCTATTCCCAGAACTGTGCTCATTCTGGAAACCTTTAAGTGAAGGGAAAAGGCAGAATCCTTGAAGACCCTGCAATACAATCACAAGTAGAGACAATAAAATATCCTTCTCGCTTTCCTCAAGGAAGCACAAGACTTTAAATTAGAGTAACCGCGCAATGAAGCAATGGAAATACCCAACTATTCTATTGGTCATTAGACCTTTGGTTGAGCTAACACTAATTTCTGGTGCTCCAAGTAATACTTCAGTCCACCAAGCAAAAGGAAGAATTGTAGAGGGTCAATAATTCAGCTGATGAATATTTATTGACCAACTACTGTCTGATAAGCATTGTTCTAAATGCAGAAAATATACTGGTGAGCAAGATGGAGTACTTGTGAAGCTTATAGTAGGGGAGAGAGGTAATAAATAAACAAAAAAAATTATTTTCAGGACTAATAGATGCCCTAAAAAGGACAAAAGAAGGAAGATAGTGAAAAGTGACTTAAAGGCAGCTGTTGAGTCCCGAATCCAGTGGCCCGAATTATGAAGAAGAAGAGACAGTCATGGAAGAGAGTTCCAAACAAAGAAAACAGGATCCTGAGATGAAACAAACACGTCATAGTCTTCAGGGAGAAAAAATAAGGCCAGTGTAGATTGCAGTATATTGAAGATGGTGGAAAACAGAAATAATTGATATCAGAATCAGTCAGGAGCCAGGAGAATCTTATAGGCTACAATAAAGAGTTTGGATTTCATTCTGGTTGAAGTAAAAAGCCATTTGAGAATTTTATGCACAGGAGTGACATGATTTGATTTATGTTTAGAAAAATTACCTTTGATTCTGGGTAGAGTAATGCAAAAATTGGTGGAAACTGAAAACTTTATGAGCCTATTACATTAGTCAAAGAAGAGATGATAGTGGTAGAGACAAGTGTCATGGGAGTGGTGATTGTGGAATGTAATCAAATTTGGGGTAATTTGGGGTACACTTTGTAGGTAGAACTTATGTTCTACTTTTTTTATAGAACTTATGGATGAATTAAATGTCAACACAGGAGTGGAATAAAGGATAAAAATCAAGATTTCTAGTCTGAGAAACTAGGTAGATGGTAGAAGTCTTGCTTGGGAAAGAACAGGTTTGCTGAGTGGAGAACAAAAATGAAGTGTTCTCTTTTATTAGTTTAAGATGTTTGTTAACATCCAAATGGAGATGATTAGTAGCCAGGAGAATATATGAGCTCAAGGAGAAGTTCAGGCATGTAAGTGCATATACACATACATACATATATATGTGTGTATATGTGAGATATATATATGTTATTGAGAGTCATGGATTGGGTAAGATAACCTAATGAGAAAGTATACATGGAAAAGAGAAGAGGGGGCCAGGCGCGGTGGCTTACCACTGTAATCCCAGCACTTTGGGAGGCTGAGGCAGGCCCATCACCTGAGGTCAAGAATTTGAGACCAGCCTGGTCAACATGGTGAAACTCTGTATCTACTAAAAATACAAAAATTAGCCAGGTGTGGTGGCATGCGCCTATAGTCCCAGCTACTAAGGAGGCTGAGGCACGAGAATTGCTTGAACCCAGGAGGCGGAGGTTGCAGTAAGCCAAGATCACGCCACTGCACTCCAGCCTGGACAACAGAATGAGACTCTGTCTCGAAAAAGAAAAGAAAAGAAAAGAGAAGAGGGAGAGATGAACACCAACCAAAACCCTCATAGACTGCATACTCTGACAATTAGATGCTGAAGGAAAATAAGAAGCTATCAAAGGGTGATAAAAAGCATTAAGTCAGGTGAGAATGTAAATTGAGTTTTGACCCAAGTCTGCCTTGTTATACCCAGTGGAATCTTAGACCTATCCCATTGTGTTTTCCCCAGTCTAAACATATCATGTTAAAATAGGTAACATTGACAACGGACAGAAACCATGCACACCAGCTCCCAGATCTGTGAAGGGAAGACCAAGACCAAGTGAATGTCCCTGGATTTCTCCCTCTTTACCTCTTTAACAAAATAGTATTACAAAAGCGATCTTGCATAATTAGAGACTTGAAAATGCAAGGGCATAGTGATTTTTATAACATTCTGGTTTCATGTTCCACTGTGACTTGCTAAGGGGTCTTGGAGCATAATATATTACTGTTTGATTAATCAAATAGTGACTTTCATTTTAGTTGCTGTTTCAGATGTGATTTCCTTACTAAAGCAAATTAGTGCCTCCCTGGCACCTGGTATACAGTATGAAGTAAAAAAATACTTTTCGTTAGTCTCATTAAACAAAGAACACTAGAATTCATTTGCTTTCACCTGGAAAGGATTGCAGATTTGTCAGAAGTTATTACTTTACCTCTAACTGTGGGCCACAATGTGGGCCAGAGACACTGATCTTCTCTCTATCCCACACAACATCATGCTGGTTCAGTAAGTTTGTAGTGTTTTGCTGCAGTGAAAGTAGCAGATCTAGATGCATCAACAAGACATGTACAAGCCAGAGGTTGTACCATAAATTCCATGAAAATATAGGGCACAACTACCTTAGCAACATTATGGGGATTGCACCTGACAAAACAGAGTATGTTTGCATTCCATACCACTAAGAGGCGGTCTCTCCAGATTTTGGAGGTATTTTAGCAGTCTCCCCTTGCCCATAAAAAATATATTCAAAGACCCTCAGTGGATGCCTGAAGCCCTGGATAGTACTGAACCAGACAGCCATCAGGTGGAACGCCTTTCTGTTCGTGACTTCCACCCACAAATTTTACACCTTTTCCATCTTAACTAAGCACTTTTCATGCACTGTGACTGTAACTTTTTCAGGTTCGAGGTGTGACAGCAAAACTAGTACAAATTTCTATTTCCTTCTTCACAATTCCACAGATAGAAGACTTGTTCTTACTATAGATCTTAGCAACCTCAGTGTGCGATTTTCTTTCTTTCCTCCTCAAGTCAAGAACTTTCATTTTCTCACTTAAGGGAAGTGCTTTATAGCTTCTCTTTGGCATATCTGAATTTCCAGCATTACTACTCTTGTGCTTTGGGCCATTATTAAGTAAAATAAGGATTACTTGAACACAGCACTGTGATACCACGACAGTTGATCTGATAACCGAGACAGCTTTTAAGTGACTCACAGGTGGGTAGCGTAGACAGCATGGAGATGCTGGGAGAAGGAAAGATTCATGTCCTGGGTGTGGTGGAGGAGGACAGCCCAAGATGTCATCATGCTTCTTAGAATGGTACACAATTTACAATTCATGAATTATTTATTTCTGGAATTTTTCATTTAATATTTTCTGACCATAGTTGACTGTGGGTAACTGAAACCACAGAAAGCAAAACCATGAATAAGTGCGGGTCTATCATACATGAAATATTTGTGTGTTCCACTCTAACCCACTTACAAGGTGAACTGAAAGGCTCGAGTAGGGACTAGAGCAGGAGGTTGACCAATGGCATCTGGGTGACCAGCCATTTTACTACTTGGTCCTCATGGCTGAGCAGAATTCTGGTGCTTTAAGTGTCTTGGAAAATGGGAATACTACATGAAATTCTGGTACCATCAAATGGGAAATCACAAGAATTTTGAAGGGAAATCTTACCTTCTTTAATAAATATTTATCCTTATTTTACTTAATAATGGTCCAAAGGACTCATGCTCCTTTTCAGAAACAGTTGTTTAGTTGTTTTTTTGGTTTTGTTTTTGTTTTGTTTGAATGCTGGGATCTGGTATAGATTGAATGCCTGATCACAAACAGTAGGAGACCATGTGATTCATGCTGCCCATCATGAGTAAGGATTGTCGGATTGCCATTGCCATAAAATCTGATATGTCCAGCGTGTCTTCATCATATGAAAATAGGGTTTATGAGACAGAGACCAAGCACGTTGTGAAAGAACAAGGCAATTCCATAAGCACACAGCTCACATTCCCAGTATGGCTATTCCTGCCTCACTGCAACCCCCTGTTTAATCTGCCTTAATACCTCATTGGAGGTCCCTATGAAAAGATGGCTACAGAGGAACAATTTTAAAGCCAGGTTTACAGATGGCTCTGCTTAGTATGAGTGTGCTGGTCCCCCTGGAAATGGACTGCTGTGTTATTACAGCTGCATTTATCACAGGTGGTCCTGAGGGGAGTGGAAAAAGAACATCTTTCCAGTACAAATAACTTTGGGTAGAAGATCTCATAACTACACTGTCAGGAAGAAGAGAGAACCTGAGATAAGAATCTATTTCAGGGCATGTGCAGTGGTTCATGGTGTGGCATGGTGTGGCATGTGCAGTGGTTCATGGTGTGGTTCATGGTGTGGTTGGAGACATGGAAAGAAAAATATTAGAGGGCTGTTGACAATGAAATTTGAAGGGAAATATGTAGATGGACTTATTGGAATGGGTCCAGAGTGAGATATTTGCTGCTGATATGAATGCTCACCAAACAGATTCCACGACAGAAATATGCCTCAGTTATTAGGTTGTTGAGAAGAGCATCATTGTGGTTATTAGTTAAACCTCATTGTCCAAGTATTTCAGGGTCCTTCATGGGCTCTTGACCAAAGGAAGCATGGCAGGAAAGATGGAGGCTGAGGATAGCTTCAATAACTTGGACTTTTAGTCAGTAAAGTTCATCTGGATGCTGCCATCTCAAGAGCCTAATCAGCAGCAGTGAGCAGTCTTGAAATTTTGATATCATATTATATCCCTGGGGCAGGTGTGAGTAGACAGTAGTAATCTGGTGGCAGGCTTTCCATCTTGAAGAGGGAAGCATCATCATAGCCTACCATACACCACTGCTTGTGACTCAGAAACTCACTTAGAGACAAAGAAAAAGAAGGAGGATGAGGAAGAGAAGGAAGAAGAGGAGAAGGAAGAGGAGAAGACTGATGTCCCTGGGAGCTGGTATAGATTGAATGCTTGATCACAAACAGCAGGCGACCATGTGATCCATGTTGCCCATCACTAGGGAGTCACTGGTTCTATCATGCAATATCCCCATTACCCAAAAGCACCCGGCTTTATAGAATGATGGAATAGCCTATCAGCTGAAATGTCGTCTCCTTATAGAGCCTTTCCCTGACCACCCAAGTAACTCTCTGTCTTATTATTCTGTTTTATTGTCCACCTTGTATTTCTTTTCTTTTTTTTTTAAGATGGAGTTTGGCTCTTGTCACCCAGGCTGGAGTGAGATGGTGTGATCTCAGGTCATTGCAACCTCTGCCTCCCCAGTTCAAGCAATTCTCGTGCCTCAGCCTCCCAAGTAGCTGGGATTACAGGCACGCACCACCATGCTCAGCAAATTTTTATATTTTTAGTAGAGACGAGTTTTCACCATGTTGGCCAGGCTGATCTTGAACTCCTGACCTCAGGTGATCCACCTGCCTCAGCTTCCCAAAGTGCTGGGATTACAGGCGTGAGCCACCATGCCCAGCCTCCACCTTGTATTTCTATATAAACTTGTTTTAATGTATTACTTAAAAAAATCGATTTCCTCATTAGAATGAAAACTGGAGGAAGTTGAACCACACTAGTCTTATTCATCACCTAATCTATAGCATCTAGAACAGTACTAGGAGCAAAGTAAATGTTTAGTAAATATTTTTAGTGAGTAACTAAGTAAACTATTAATGAAATGAATAGTTAGGACTTCATATATATTTGATCAACCATTGGAAATTTAAGGCTGAAATTACTTAGCAAACACTTTCCCTTTTGACAGGTGGATCTGAATCTCCATCAGGAAACCTGCAATCCTAGAAATTTTAATGCCTGGGAACAAATTTAAAAATAAACCAAACTGGCATTTATTCTTTCAGAACCTATTACTTGCAAAACGTTATTCCAGTTATCACAGGATATATTGATGAATGTGACATGTCTACCGCACTCAAGGAATTTATAATTGAGAAGAGAAAACACGTAGAAAATGGTAAATAACAGACAGAAATAATACTATTGGATAATTGTGTATATGCAAAGAGAAAGTAGTGATTGATTGATCTGGGACTGGGGAAGAAAGGTTTTGTGGAAGAGGCAATATCTGAGCTAGGGCTTGAAAAACACATAGAATTTCAATAGGCAAACTTTGAGAGAAAGATGTAGGTGGAGGCAAGACATTGAGTTGAACAGTGTGTCTGGGGGATGGGTGATCCAGAAAGCATGGAGAGATTGGTTGGAGGTTTTGGCCAATCATTCAAGACTTGTATGCTACTCACTCAGGTGGTTGCCTTCATTGCGTAGCCAATGGGAAGACATCTGAGGCTTGTGAGGAAGAGCCTTACACCATCTGATCAGTGTTTTAGGCTGTGTAGTGAGAGAGAGATTAGTGAGGGAAGAGACTGGAGACAAGGAAACCGAGTAAGAAACTATTCTGAGAGTCTAGGGGGTAAAAAATGCAGGCAGACTTGAAATCGATCTATGCTAGAGGAGATGAAATGAACCAGATAGATGTATAGATATTAAAAGAGGTTTTGTAGTAGGATTAGACAACATATGGTATGTTGATGAGTTGAGTGAAAGCACAGTCTAAAATAACTTTGTAATTGTACTCTGGGTGATTTGGAGGATTGAGGTGGTGTTAAATGTTAAATGTTAAATGATGAGAAGATGGAAGAAAATCAGGGATCTAGTGGGAGATTAATTCAATTTGGCTGTCAAGTTTGAGGATCAATAGAACATCCCTCTTCACATGGCAAGCAGGCATGCAAAAGTTTGGGATGAAAACTCACAATGGAAGTCAGGTCTGGTGACTCAATTTTGAAGTGATGTTTAAATATCGTAATGATGTTAAAGAGATGAGAAAGCCAACACTTAACAATAAAGAGGAAACAAGAAAAGAGATAAAGGAGAATGAACAGGCTTGCTCCAACCAAGATGGCAAAGCAGAAATGTGTGTGACTGGTGATCCTAGCCCTGCCGTTCTGTCTTTTTCTCCCAGTGGTTCTTCCTCCCTTTTCCTCATCATGCTTCAATTATACCTGCCTTATCTTTCCCAGGGCAAATAAAGAAACTCAACACACCAACTTCAACTCGTCACTTCATAGTAGTTTCCTACTCAAAACCGTTCACTATTGTCTATATACCAATGTCCAAAGTCCCAACTCTTTATGTAGCATTTGGAACTTTCTTTGGCACAGCCACAGTGTAACCTTGTATTCCATGATGTTGCCCCTCTCTCATTCCCACACCCTGTGCTCCATGCTGACTTTTCTACATTTGTGGCTTCACTCTCACTGTCCTTGTGCCTGGCATAGTCCCTTCCTTTCTTTACTGAACTACTGGGGGCCTAAATGCACTTAAAGGTTTTAAGCCTTCATAGTTTTTTTTCCATTCAAAATTCCCTCACTTTATTGACTGTTATAGAATCTTAGCCGTGCTTCTATTATTATAGCATATGCCTTGGCGTCCCTTGCTATTTATATGCCGTTGTCCTTCAATAGACTGTGAGCCTCAGGGGACTGTCACTTCCTGCCCTTTGTACCTTGTACAGCTTTCTCAAGAACTCTGAGCACAGCAGTGATTAGATGGATGTTTTTTGAAATAAAAGAGAAAAATAATTGCAGTATGGCAGTCTTAGCTATGTGTCTTCTCTTTCTTAGTAGGACTGATCTGATATGACGGTAGGAAACATCACTGAATGCCTATTAACAGGTGGAGAGGTCTCTGGTATTGCTTCATTCCCTGGCCGATTACTTCCAGGAAGAAAAAAAAAAGAAAAGAAAAAGAAAAAAAGAAACCCACAAAATGTATTAGGTTTGGGACTGGAGGGAACTTCATTATTTTTAATGTCTCAGTAAAAGGTCTTTTTTTCTTTCTACATTTACCAGACTAATCCCAATAATGTCTTTTAAACAATTAATTCTAGTTTCAAAAGCATTCTACTCTGCAGTTTGTCCAGAATTAAGTGACCATTAGAAGGCATTAGCTTAGAAATGAGTGCCCTAATTACTTCTGAAAGTTAGCAGTAAAGGAGAAAAAAGTCTAAATTTCAGAGACATCAGCATCCCTGCAGCCTCCTGGCTGCTTTTTGTATACGTTTCTGTCCTCCTACCACACAAAATGTTGCCAGAGGAAAGTACTTTGGTGTTTGGATACCTGCCAACTGAATTTTGGATTAGGCAAAGTTACTTCTTGTCCCAACTCTGGAAAATAAAGCATATGAAAATACATTAAAATGTGGACAGTTTACTTTGGATAACGTCAGAGAATGCCATAAAACAGGAGCATACAGATAGGGTACAAATGGTGCCAATCTGATTGTGAAACCACAGAGTTTTGCTACTTCTTAGAAAGGGTATTGTACACATAGCACTGTGGCAAACTTGCTTGTTTCAGCAGCAACTTCATGTCAATTTGCTGTCTGAGTTCAGAATGCACAGCTGCTTGTGTAGGCCCATTGGATATTCTGTTCCTAATTCTAGGTATAATAGAGGTCTTAGGTTTCTAACACATTCTCGTCTGGAGGTGAGGGTAGTTATTGTCATTTACCCTGCTCAGGGGAGAAGATGTGCAGGGCTCTGCACGTATGGCTGACGGAACAGATTTCTCTCCATGGAATAGTTTTGTGCATCCTATGTGTAACCCATTTGCACATGTGAGAGGGAAGTGTTAGCAGGGCTCACAGCCTTAATGTTTGCTTTATAGGCAATTACTTACAGCTTCCATGTCCGCCCATGGAAGTGCAGGTGTTCTTGAAAAGGATTCTTGCACTGTGGCGGTGGAGGCTTCTCGTATGTACTGTTTCCCTCTTCCCCTTTGCTAGAATGTAAGATCTTGGTTGTTGTAACCCTTAGGGGAATAGGATAGGATTATGAATGCTTTAGTGGGGTAGGGCAGGGCTTGAACTCCTTTAGACTGCTTTGTCAGGATGTTGAAGTTTAGGAACAGAATGAAACAAGCCAGCTATTTTTTTCTCCTTAGATTTCGCTCTAAATGATAGCAGCTACCATTTCTCAGGTCAACATATCTTTTGCATGTCTCTGTGCTGAAGAGAGGGCCTTTGAGGCCACGGACTTGAATGACTTTCCTGGCAAATCTGATTTGGGTTTCTTCCCCACTTGCTGAAGTGGACAGTAGGAAGTTGGCACAGAAAGGCAGTCTAGGCTGGTGGCAGTGGCTTACGCCGGTAATCACAGCACTTTGGGGAGGCTGAGGCGGGCGGATCACCTGAGGTCAGGAGTTCAAGACCAGCCTGGCCAACATGGTGAAATCCCGTCTCTACTAAAAATGCAAAAATTAGCCAGGCGTGGTGGTGGGTGCCTGTAATCCCAGCTACTCAGGAGGCTGAGGCAGGAGAATCACCTGAACCTGGGAGGCGGAGGTTGCAGTGAGCGGACATTGTGCCATTGCACTCTAGCCTAGGCGACAAGAGCGAGACTGTCTCAAAAAAAAAAAAAAAGAAAAGAAAAAGAAAAAGAAAAAAGAAAGGCAGTCTAGCCTTACTTTCTAGACTGGGCTTCATACTCCACACTTCACCCCCTGGCTGTGTCCCTTCCTTTTGGTGGTACAGGCACCTGCTTCCTTATCATTAAAATCCATCCCACAGTCTCAACGTGATGAGTAAATGAGATAAAATGTATGAAAGTTTGGGCACAGTGCAAAGCATATAGTTAACACAAGCTGGCCGTAACAATGACACCACCACCACCACAAAGAGTTTGTTGTCCAGTTATCAGAAGCTTCACAAAAAAGAGAGCTATCCAAGGGGAGGGAGCAGAGAACAGCATTGCTGTTTCCATATTGCTATTTTGGCAGGAGTCTGGACTTTAATCAAATGAAAGTATATTAACTTCAGAGCACCACATGACACTGTACCTGCAGGCCTAATGAAGTCTTTGATGTGGTCTGTCCAGTTGCATAGGTACCCTACCTTTAATCATGGGAAGCCAATGACAGATAGTAACTCATAAGACTAGCTTTCCTCTCAAAATATTCTTACAGCATGATTTTCTAAGTAAATACCTAGGCATATTATTTTTTTTTTTGCCTTTATACCAAATTAGAAGCAGGTGAGATGATGCTATTTTGTGGCCTTTGCCATGAGAAGATGAGTTGTTCAGAGCAAAGAAATATGTCTTCTTCAAAATTTATATCTTTCTCTGAACTCCTATGGTTTAGGTGAGAGCTCAGGGCTAGAAAAACTTAGAAGTTTTGGAAAACTGTACGTATTGTACCCTGGAAACTAGTTTCAACTCCTTCAAGAAAGATTGTCAAATGCAAGGATGTTATGAATTCATCACGCATTAATCATTTAGCCCCACTGGGGAATTTTCTGTTCCTTGCCTTATCTGTCATTGAAAAAAATTCACAAGACCTACATTATTCCATTTATGTTATGGTTATAAATAATCAAATACAATTTGCTACTCTGTGGTTTGTAATGCATTCAGATTGACTTAGAACATGATGGAAAAGAACAAGCTTGGTTTGTACTTGAGGTTTGCTAAGGACTGGAAATCCCCAGGTAGTTCTCTCTCATTATGTAGGGCACAGTTATGTTGTAGAGACCTCTCCAGAAGCCCAGGGGAGAGCCTCCTCTCATTAGGCATGTACCAGAGAGCACCGTTGATGGGAGAGTGTGACACTCCGCAGATCCACAGGCGGGGATGAGAATGATCAAGATTTTTAAAATGGAAATTTTTTGAGTCATCTTGGCTACAGATTTTTTTTTTTCTGTAATCTCCAAATCCTTCAATGCAAAAAAGAAATAGAGGGTGATAATTCAAAACTGAAGATTGTTGCTGTGAATTGGTAGTGACAACAATATGGTCAAGGTCTGTTTTTCACAGTTCGGTTCACACTTATTTCAGGGCTGGGGGAAAATGTGTTCTTGAAATAAAATTCAGCTCATTCAGAGATTGTGAGCATGAGATCTTAATGAAGATTCTTTTCTTCTGAAATTATGAGCTTCCTTCAGGGTTCAGCCTCCCTGCCTGCCTGAGATCTTCTAGCAGACTGGAGATGGATGCTATTCTCATTGGCATTTCCCAAGGCCAGTTTCCAAACTTGTCGCCCACCAGCCCCTGTTGGCTGGAGTGCGGGATTCTAATTAAGTCATTGCACATTCCGGCTGTCTCCTTTGGTGGCAGAGCCACGCCCAGGGGGATGCTGAGCCTATGACAGTTGTGTTCCTGAGGCTCCATCGTGGACAACTGGATTACTTGGCTATTGCCACTCAGCCTCTGCGCTGAGCCTATGGGCTTTGTTCAGGTGGTGTTTGCATGAACAAGTGAGTTATCCATGGAAAACATTACCCTCATTAAGGCATTAGCAAAGTTCAAGGGTATTTCTACACTGAGGCATCTATTTGGGCCATAGGCACAGCAGCTTGTGCTGTACATCCTTGGTATAGCAGGTAGAGCAAGTATGTACTTCTGTGGTCAGATTTAAAAGGCCAAGATCAGAATAGGTGTTCTGACTCTGTTGACCTTGTTTAAGAGGAGATGAGAGCCCTGAAATCCTGGGTCCTTTATGTGGCTACAACTCTTGAACTGGCAGATTCCCTAGTGCCCCTTGACTAAGGTGTCCAGTCCCAGGACATACGGGGCCAGTAGAGTCCACCGTAAATCTATGTCTATCAATACAGGCAAGATTCATCTTTACCTAGACTGGGGAGATAACCCCCAATCACTTTCAGAAATTTCTCCTCTCTGCTTCTCCTCCTTCCCCTCTTCCATCTGTTTCCTGAGATCTAACATCATGAGCATATAAAAACCTGAATGCCCCATGCCTCACCAGCTTGTGGAGACAAGTCATATAAATATTGATATTTAAGTATTCTTGCTCATGCGCTTGTAAAGACTATCTCTGTCCCTCCTCCTCCTCCTCTCCCATCTATCCCTTGAAATCTGGGGCATTCACCTATCCAAATAGTTACTTCTCTACACCCGCACTGTTCATCTCTTCTTTGTTTTGGTCATGAACCCACTGGAAGAAGCCTTCATGCTTAAAAGTTTCCCATGCTGGAGGTGCTGATCTTTGAGTGTGCCCACACTTCTGATCCAGGAAGTACCAGGAATAATGGGTTCTAAGCCCACCTGTAGCTTTCTCCTTTAACCATTCCCTGCACTGGGCTCCAAGCCAACCATGAAGTTTATCCTGATATAGTATATGATATATATATGTATTTATGATGGAATATATATATATGATAGAATATATATATGATGGAATATATATATATATGATGGAATACTACTCAGCCATAAAAAGGAATGAATTAATGGTATTTGCAGCAACCTGAATGGGACCATAGACTATTATTCTAAGTGAAGTAACTCAGGAACAGAAAACCAAACATCATATGTTCTCACTCATAAATGGGAGTTAAACTATGAGGACGCAAAGGCATAAGAATGACACAATGGACTTTGGGGACTCAGGTGGAAAGAGTGGGAAGGGAGTGAAGGATAAAAGACTACAAATTGGGTTCAGTGTGTACTGCTTGGGTGATGGGTGCACCAAAATCTCACAAATCACCACTAAAGAACTTACTCATGTAACCAAATACCACCTGTTACCCCAAAACCTACGGAAATTAAAAAAATTTTTAAAAAAGCAGAGCACCCTCCTGCATGTTAATTTATGTAAATGGATACCTGAAGTGACAGCCAGTTCTCCAGTTCCAGAAACAGTCAAAATAGAATCCCAGCCCAGCATAGTGGCTCATGCCTGTACTCCCAGCAGTTTGGGAGGCTGAAGCAGGAGGATTGCTTGAGCCCAGGAGTTCAGGATTATCTTGGGCAGCATAGTGAGACCCTGTCTCTATGAAAAATAAAAAAAATTAGCCAGACTTGGTGGCACACATTAGTAGTCCCAGCTACGTGGGAGGCTGACTGGGAGGATTTCTTGAGCCCAGGAATTTGAGGCTGCAGTGAGCTATGATGGCGCCATTGTACTCCAGCCTGGGACAAGATTGAGACCCTGTCTCTAAGAAAAATAAAAGTTAAAAAATAAAATAAAATAAATAAAATAAAACCTCAGCCTGGCACTCAGTTAGGACACTCTGTTACAGACAACAGGAGACCCTATAGGGCAGAGACCATCCGACTGTGCAAAGAAGATGCAGCCGAACGGCTCCTCCCTCTGGGTGTTTGTCATGTAGGGACTAAATTGTGTCCCCCTAAACTTCATCTGCTGAAGCCCTAACACGCAGTGTGACTATATTTAGAGACAGAGACTTTAAAAAGGTAATTAAAGTTAAATCAGGTTATGTGGTTGGGGCTCTAATCCCATGGGACTGGTGTTCTTATAAGAAGAGGCAGAGGCTGGGTCTGGTAGCTTGCATTTGTAGTCCCAGCACTTTGTAAAGCCAAGATGGGAGAATCACCTGAGCCCAGGAGTTCGAGACCAGCCTGGGCAGCACAGTGAGACCCCATTTCTACAAAAAATATAAAATAATTAGCAGGGCATGGTGGCATGCAACTGCAGTCCCAGCTACTCTGGAGGCTGAGGCAGAAGGATTGCTTGAGCCCAGGTGGTCGAGGCTGCAGTGAGCTGTGACTGAGCCCGCACTGCACTTCAGCCTGGGTGATAGAGTGGGACCTTGTCTCAAAAAAAGAAACAAAACCAAGTGAAAAAGAGGCAGAGACACGAGGGATGCATGAGCACAGAGGAAAGGCCATGTGAAGACACAGCAAGAAGGTGGCTGTTTGCCAACCAGGAAGAGAGGCCTCACCAGAAACCAATCTTGATAGCACCTTGACCTTGGACTTCGAGCTTCAGAACTGTGAGAAAATAAATTTCTGTTCTTTCAGCCACCCAGTCTGTGAGATCTGTGGTGTCTCGTGTGGCAGCCAGAGCTGTTCCAATCCTTAGTTTGCAAAGCTGGGCCCCTGTGCAGGCATGTGGGTTTTCTTACAGCAGCACTGTAGTAACAGGTGCAGAGAAATAATAACCCCTTGCCCTTGTACAGTCATCTGTCCCTTCCAAATGGCTTTCATGCATGTTATTTCATTTGGTTCTCATAATACCTTTATGGCCCTTTGCAGGAGTTAGGGCATTTTATTGCCATTTTACAGCTGATGAAACTGAGGTATAAAAAGGCTATGTAATTTATGTAATTGGTCTGAAATCACCTTGAGAGTTTGTGCACCAGGCCTAATCCAGGATTCTTTTCACTATGCAAGGGTATCTATATGTGGATTAGGATAAAGGACCTACGTGCAGCTGGAGAAAACATCCATTCTTTTTTGTGTTTTTAGCATCCGTGTGATGGCCAATGTGTCCCAATTCCCATTCACAGAATAGTTGCAGAGCCTCTATGAAAGAACTCAGTGGAGTCATTTTATGATATGTAGGACAAGATGATAGCAGCAGGAAATAGGCAACAGCGTTGCCAAAAAAATAGGCCTGTGGCAACCCAGTGGGGAGTGAGCCCAACGACAGGGGCAGCTGAGCCTCTCTTGTCAGCCACCGCGCAGCCTCCGCCCCATCCTGCTGTCTGAGTTAGATTGCTCTTGAAGCTGTCTACACTGCAGGTCCCTATTATCATTTAGCTTTTCATTCTATGATTCTCTGTAGGAGGGAGTTGGAGGTAACGTCCTTTCAGGCTTGATGTTCTGTTAAGAAGTGGGTGTTCTTTCTACCCTTATTCAGAAACTCCCAGTGGAGACCGCCTTGAGTGGGCTGTTTCTCTTCTTAGTCCAGCTAAATCTGTGGGATAACTCAGAGGGATTTTCCTCCCCGAGTCCCTGACAGCAGTGGGGCACCTCTGTGAGCACCTCATTTCCAAAACAGCTTTTACATGGATGGCCAGAGATACAAAGAATCATATTCCAAATTCACTCTGACCTCTTCTCCATCTTGAGAAGGAAACTGCCAGGGTGAGCTTTCTTCTTCCTTTAATGATCATGCTGTTTCGTGCCTTGCTTTTGTTCTGTCTTATATGGTGACCTGGGAGCCCAGCTGCCTGGGTTGCTTATGTGACCTTGAGCTAATTACTTAATCTCTCTAATCCTGAATTTTCTTCACCATTAAATAAGGATAAAAGCACCCCTCTTCTTGTGATTGAAGTAATCATTACATGGGCTAAATGTAAAGTGCTTAGAATAGCCCCTGGTACGTGGTAAGTGGTATGTAATGTAAGCTATTATTAATAGTATTACATCAGTATTCCTTATCCAGTAGTTACCTCTCAAATGAATGTTGATTAATATACATAAAACGTTTTCAGGCTGGAGTGCAATGGCATGATCTCGGCTCACTGCAACCTCTGCCTCCTGGATTCAAGCGACTGTCTTGAATCCTCAGCCTCTCGAGTAGCTGGGATTACAGGAGTGCACCACCACAACTGGCTAATTTTTGTATTTTTAGTAGAGACAGGGTTTCACCATGTTGGCCAGGCTGGTCTCAAACTCCTGACCTCAGGTGATCCACCCAACTCGGCCTCCCAAAATGCTGATATTACAGGTGTGAGCCACCGCATACGGCCCACAAAACATTTTTATACAGTTAATTTTCCTAGCTGCACTAGTTAATAATATGCATTGGGACTATTTCATTTAGTTTTTAAATGGACAAAAATTATATATATTTATGGTGTATGACATGATGTTTTGATATAATATACGCATACCTTGTGGAAAGGCTAAATCAAGGTATTTAGCATATGCATTACCTCACATGTGTTTTCGTTATAGTGGGAACACTTAAAATTTACTCTCTTTGCAATTTCCAAGTATGCAATATATTGTTATTAACTATAGTCACCGTGATGTACAAGAGATCTCTTGGCTTATTTCCACTAACAGAAATTTTGTTTCTTTTGACCAACATCTCTCTACCCCCGACCCCCTAGCCTCTGGTAACCACCATTTTACCCTCTGTTTCTATGGGACTTGACTATTTTGAATTCCACATATAAGTAAAATCAAGACACTGTTGTCTTTCTGTGCCTGTCTTATTTCACTTAGCACAGTATTCTCAAGGTTCATGTATGTTATTGTAAATGACAGAATTTTCTTCCTTTTAAAGGCTGAATAGTATTCCATTATATGTGTGTATCTATCATCTATCTATCTATCTATCTATCATCTATCTATTATCTATCTATTGTATCTTTCATCTATCTCACATTTTCCTTATTCATTTATCTGTCGATGGACACTTAGGTTGATTTCATATGGTAGTTCTATATTTAATTGTTTGAGTAATCTCTAAGCTGTTTTTCCAAAATGTCTACAATAGTTTACCTTTCCATCAATGGCACACAAATGTTCCCTCTTCTGCATATCCTGACCAACCCTTATCTTTTGTCTTTTGGTAATAGCCATTCTAACAAGTGTGAATGACATCTCATTGTGGTTTTATTTTGCATTTCCTTGATTATTAGTGATGTTGAACATTTTTTCATATACCTGTTGGCCATCTGCATGTCTTCTTTTGAGAAATGTCTATTTAGATTCTTTGCCCATTTTTCAATTGGGTTGTTTTCTTGCTATTAAGTTCCTTATATATTTAATATTTTGGATATTAACCCATTATCAGATGTATGATTTGCAAATATATCTTCCATCCCATAGGTTGTCTCTTTACCCTGTTGATTGTTTTCTTTCCTGTGCAGAAGGTTTTTAGTTTCTTGTAACCCATTTGTCTATTTTTGCTTTTGTTGCCTGTGCTTTTGGGACCACATTTAAAAAATCATTTTTTCAGGTCAATGTCATAGAATTAGATGTTTTCCTCAAGGAGTTTGACAGTTTCAGGTCTTATATTTAAGTGTTTAATCTGTTGTGAGTTGATTTCTGTATATGGTATGAGTTGAGGGTCAAATTTCATTCTTTTGTATGTGGATATCCAGCTTTTAAAGAGACTGTCCTTTTCCCATTGTGTGTTCTTGGAAACTTTGACAAAAAAAAAAAATTGACCGGCCAGGCACAGTGGCTGATGCCTGTAATCCCAGCACTTTGGGAGGCCGAGGCGGGTAGATCACCTGAGGTCAGGAATTTGAGACCAGCCTGGCTAACATGGTGAAGCCCCATCTCTACTAAAAATACAAAAAATTAGCTAGGCGTGGTGGCATGCACCTGTAATCCCAGCTACTCAGGAAGCTGAGGCAGGAGAATCACTTGAATCCAGGAGGCAGTGGTTGCAGTGGCTGAGATCGCACCATTGCACTCCAGCCTGGGCAACAAGAGCGAAACTGCATTTCAAAAAAAAAAAAAAAAAAAATCAATTCACCATAAATGCATTGGGATTATTACCATTATTATTTTTCCAAGGCATATTTATTTGGAGGAGCTTGGGATTATTTTTAATCTTGCTCTTTTATTCTTGGTTCCTCCAATTTTAATCTTGTTGTCTTCTTTCTTAGCTACTCCTCAGATTTAAAAAGTTTTAAAGAATTAAAAAATACTACCTTTCTATTCTTTCCTTTTAAATTATTTTCAAAATATAAAGTTGGCAAGATTGATTCCATGACAACCTAGTTGCCTCTCATCCTCTTCTGAATGCCCATTGTACTTCATGTCTATCACGAATGCATCATCACCCAGCTATACTGATGTTTGTAGGGCCAAGGCCTCTATTTGATAGCTTTTCCAAGTCCTGCACAACACTTTGCATGCAGTAAAAATTCAGAAATTACATGGGGATTGATTTGTTCATGTCCTATTTATTTCATTCCCACATCTAAAGTGTTTATCTCCCACAATTGCCAAGTCAATTCTACTCCCACTTAATGTACTTAAATATACACCTGGTGATACTAAAATCCACCCACAGAAAGATGTATATGTCATATTGCTTTGCTTTTCCAGTCTGATTGCCTTATAAGTTCCTCTCTCCTACATTATCCACCCACATTCCCATGCCTCTACTAGAAGGTAAGCTCCTTGGGAGCAGAACCTTGTGGGGCTTGTGTGCTGACATGTCCTTGGTACTCAGAATAGTGGGTGATAGACAATATTGGTTGCCTATCAGCCACTGCCCTTGCTTCTTTGCCAGCCCTGATTTTTCTGGCATCTTTTAACCATGTACTTCACATGGCTGGCCCCCTCACTGTGCCCAGTGTGTGTATTGAAATCCATCTAAATTTATCCTGGGTTTTTCTATTCTTGTTGCTAGTAATTAGTTTAGGAATGGGCACATTCTGTGCTTTTGCAACACTTACTTGTCTTTGACCCTATAAAAGAGCAATGTGATAGCTGGATCTGTGGCAGCCACCTTGGCATCATGAGGAAAGCCAGCTCAAAAGCACAAGTTAACACCACAATGATGGCAGAGTAGGAGGAAGTGAGACTCTGGGGCCTTGACAACATCATTGAGCAACTACTGATGAACCAATTTTGGAACCACTCCATCCTCAGACTTCTTACTTGAGATAATACATTTCTATAAATGTTTAAGCCACTTTTAATTGGGTCTTCATTTTCTGCCACTGAAAGCATCTTGACCCAGGAGGCATGCCATAAATATTTGTGAACTTACTGACTGATGAAACCTGCCTTAATTTATGTCACATCAGTGAACTAAAGCTCTAAGTGTTGAACAGGAGAGGCAGAAAATTCTGATGGGAGAAAATCCTACTGTTCATTATTTAAGCAGTCAGGAAAACAATGATGTTTGTGTTGTTTTATTTCTTTTTTTTTTTTTTTTTTTTTTTGAGACGGAGTCTTGCTCTGTTGCCCAGGCTGGAGTGCAGTGGCGCAATCTCGGCTCACTGCAAGCTCCGCCTCCCATGTTCACGCCATTCTCCTGCCTCAGCCTCCCGAGTAGCTGGGACTACAGGCGCTTGCCACCACGCCCGGCTAATTTTTTGTATTTTTAGTAGAGACGGGGTTTCACCGTGTAAGCCAGGATGGTCTTGATCTCCTGACCTCGTGATCCACCTGCCTTGGCCTCCTGAAGTGCTGGGATTACAGGCGTGAGCCACCATGCCCGGCCTGTTGTTTTACTTCTTCACTTAGCTGGTAGGGTTGATAAGTAAGGAGGTTCTAAACCTTGGGAAAATCACATTAAAAGAAAAATTTTACTACATTTTTTGGTCACTTTTTAGTTGAATTATATATTTAAATTGGCCAGTGCTCAAAATATTGCCCTTGTGAAGGTGGCCCTGGGGGCTTTTGCTCTGGCTGGTGCTGTTGCAGGATGTGGAGCTGGGCCCCCTGGGGCCCCTGAGCCACTAAAGTGCCCATCTCTGGGGGAGGGCTGCAGAGGCCTCCGGTCACTACCAGGGCTGACACCAGTGGAACTATGTGGCAGGTGCCATGAATGCAGACCCGATTCCATGGTTTTCTTAAGGGCCATTTGCAGCCCAGATAAGATCATTCTCTTTACACATTGTCAGGTGTTCCTTACCTGCCCGCCTCACCTGTCAGTTCTGAGGACCGCAGCACCGTCCCACGAAGAAGGAAAGCAGGCTCTGGCATCAGGCCACTCCTTCATGCCTGCCTCTTGTGGTCAAGGTGTCAGAAGGACTCTTGGTGATCTGTCAACTTCAAGCTTTGCTGTCTCACTTGGAGTATTGCAGTAACTATATATCCACTCCACCCCCTGCTTTTGCCTCATTCCCATTCAGATACTGCAACGGCACCAGGGATGTACTTTCCTCAAGGCAGAGTTGTCGGTGCTGCTTCTCTGCTCACCATCATTTAATGGCCCTATCATCTACGGATGTACGTAGGCTTCTCAGTCCACCATGGAAGGACTGGCTCCATCTGGTCCCTGCCTTCCTCTGTCGTGTCATCCTTCCCCTCATCTTCCATAGATATAAAAATCTACCCACATCAAACTGCCTTAGTGTCCAGAATGTGACACATGCTAATACCTCTTTGGTGCCTTCATTGCTGCTATCCTCTCTCGATTGCATTGTCTACCTTGTTCTCCCTGCACCTCCTTTTTTGAGTCAAATCTTTTTTTTTTTTTTTTTTTTGTGAAACAAGATCTGGCTCTGTCACCCACGCTGGAGTGCAGTAGCATGATCTCGGCTCACTGCAACCTTTGCCTCACAAGCTCAAGCAATCGTCCCACCTCAGCCTCCTGGTTTGCACTACCACATCTGGCTAATTTTTGTATTTTTTGTAGAGACGGGATATTCGCCATGTTGCCCAGGCTGGTCTTGAACTCCTCGGCTCAAGCGATCTGCCTGCCTCAGCTTCCCAAAGTGCTGGGATTACAGGCCTGAGACACTGTGCCCAGCCTGAGTAACATCTTTTGTGGTCTTCTGGGAAGCCTTCCCTGATTCCTTCATGCAAAATCAGAGTCTAACTTTTCTCTGCTCTTCCTTTTAATCACCTAACTGAACCAATCACCTTGTCTTAGGATTGTTTCTTTATCTCTCTCCCCAGCTACATGCTGAGCATGTTGTGGACAGAACTTGGTCCTGTTCATCTTTTTCTGTCCAGTGTCCTGCACTGGGCTTAGCACACACTGAGTGCCTGCCAGATGCTTTGTGGTTTTAATGGAAGTGAATCCAATGGAAAAAGAGTAAGAATGAAACACCTGCAGCAATTTCTGATGCAGGCAGGTTTGTTGTAGGCATCCTCTCTTTGGGTTTGATCCTAGGAACCCAGAAAAAGAACCAAACATTAACTCCTTTGCAGGGTAGCGTCTGGAAGTAGGTCTTGAACAGAGGAAGAGAATTTGGGAGGTCGAGGCAGCACTGCTACATGAGCACCGCTAACTGACCTAGAAGTAATCAATGCTTTGTTTTCTCTTATACGTTTTCCTGCCATTCAGACCATCAAAACATTTTTGCAATCTAATAATAATACATTAGGCTAAGTGTAGTGGCTCACACTTGTAATCCCAGCACTTTGGGAGGCCAAGGTTGGGAGGATCACTTGAGGCCAGGAGTTCAAGACCAGCTCAGACAACGTAGTGAGACCTCATCTCTAAAAAACATAAAAAAATTAGCTGTGTGTAATGGCACATGCCTGTAGTCCCATCTACTCTGGAGGCTGAGGTGGGAGAATTACTTGAACCCCTCGGTGGGGGCGGTGGTTGGGGCTGTAGTGAGCCATGATCACACCACTGCACTCCAGCCTGGGTGACAGAGCAAGATCCAGTCTCGAAAAAAATAATTATAGTTACATATTAAAGCTTAAATAGGTTAATTATATTCATTTTAATCCTCCTTTTACTTCATAATTTAGAGCTCTGTAGGGCAATGAACTTGCACCATCTCCTAAGAAGTCTAAGTCCTTGACTGACTGTGAGACTGGAACATTTGTTCTTCCATTTCTTCCAGGGTCTTCTATTTCCATTTGGGAAATTGCCATCTGTTTCTGATATCTCTCCCCAGCTTCCTCTGTGAACTAAAGGGCAAAGTTTCAACTCTATAATTTTAGCAATATCCACCTCCTCTGTTGATAAATAAATCTTTCTGTTTTCTTTTGGGAAACCGCCATCTCCTTTGCTCACCTATCATTCAATACATGCTTCTGTTCTTTCAGGGACTTTCTTTGGAATGTTATTTGGATTTATCTTGGACAGAGAGCTGCACCTGGATTTCAGAAAGGTGGTCTCCCAAGGATCCTATAGATCAAATTCTTTCACAGTATTTTTTCCAATGGATAAACAGAAGAATCTTCCTCACTCCTGAACTGCCATTGCAAGAGAAAAACTGACTATCCCTTTGTGAGGGAGGAAAAACACTGTTAGTGACATCTTTGAATGAGATTCATTTGTTTGTATTCCTCTCTTCATAGCAACCAACTCTGTTTACTTCTGTGATTTTTGTTAGCTGGGTGAGTCAAGGTGCCTTAGTTTCGTTTTCCTGATCTCTAGATTTTAGAAAAGTGTACATTCCCTTTTGCTTGGCTACCATGCCTGAACTCAGAAAGTATAATTAGCAAGATGGTATTTTACATTGAAACATTTGCATTAGTGTCTTTTGAGAGAATGCTACAGCTAAGAGAAGGATAGAAAAGTAACAGGTGGGCCAGGAGTGGTGACTCATGCCTACAATCCCAGCACTTTGGGAGGCTGAAGCGGGCAGATCACTTAAGGTCAGGAGTTCAAGAACAGCCTGGCCAACATGGTGAAACCCCATCTCTACTAAAAATACAAAAATTAGCCAGGCGTGGTGGCATGCACCTGTAGTCTCAGCTACTCTGGAGACTGAGGTGGGAGAATTGCTTGAACCTGGGAGGTGGAGGTTGCAGTGAGCCAAGATTGTGCCACTGCACTCCAGCCTGGGTGACAGAGAGAGATCCTGTCTCAAAACAGAAAAAAAAGTAACAGGTGATGAATGCTTTTGCTTTTGGTGCATGGGATGGTAGCTGACCACTGAGAGGACTATGCCCATATCTAGCTTGGTTAGATCCAGTTAAAAAGGCATATAGAATGCCCAGGAACCCTGTGTCCTTCGGAAGTTCAGTCCTCTTTAGGAAAGCTACACCTATACATTTCAGTTTCTTTAATGCTTTACAAGAGTTTCTGCCAGTTTCCTTTGGTGAAATGGTTTCCAGATCATAGGAAGAAAAAAAGGAAAAGAAAAAGAAATGGAAATGATGAATGGCTGTCATGTGCTTCAGCTCCCAAGCATGAAATTGGGGCTCAGGCCAGAGGAGTGAGTTTTCTTTGGGTCCAAGCCAGCAACCTGAAACCCCAAGAACCCGGTCTTTGGATATGTCATTATCTACCAAGCCAAAGGAAATGGTTGACATGATGCTGACTAAGTGAGATGAATTTTGGTCTATAATTTATGTGAACACCAACTAATAGTTAAAATGTCAATTACTATCAGTATCAAATTGTCCAATCATGTAGACAGTGAGAACAGAGACACAGGGCACTTCCCGAGCTGTCGTAAGGAGTTTGGGCTGCATACTCCGGCGATGATCACTAATTTTGCTGTGTTTTGATTTAGTGTTTTTGTTAATAGAGTCTAGTATGTCTGAGAATATGAAAGTAACACCTGGTGTGCTCTGTGCAAATGCTTCTCTGCTTCAGGAGGAAAGCCAAAGGGGACATGCAGCAGAACCTGAAGCATCATTATAAATAGGCTCCAGGGAACAAACTCCTCAGATTGCTGAGAATAAAACAAAGTCAGAAAAAAAGTACAAATATACAAACCTTTCTTATATGCAAGACATACCTTTAAGAAAAGATTATGTTCAGAAGTTTGTTTTGGGGCAGTTTGTAAACCAAACTAGGTTTTTGGGTTTTTTGTTTGTTTGTATGTTTTTTGAGACAGAGTCTTGCTCTGTCACCCAGGCTGGAGTACATTGGTGTGATCTTGGTTCACTGCAACCTCCGCCTCCTGGGTTCAAGTGATTCTCCTGCCCCAGCCTCCTAGGTATCTGAGACTACAGGCCAGCACCATCTGTCTCACTGTGATTTTATGCCACATCAGTGAACTAAAGCTGTAAGTGTTGAACAGGAGAGGCAGAAAATTCTGATGGGAGAAAATCCTACTGTTCATTATTTAAGCAGTCAGGAAAACAATGATGTTTATGTTGTTTTACTTCTTTTTTTTTATTTTTTGAGATGGAGTCTCACTCTGTCGCCCAGGCTGGAGTGCAGTGGCGCACTCGGCTCACTGCAAGCTCCTGGCCTGATAATTTCTGTATTTTTAGTAGAGATAGGGTTTCACCGTGTTGGCCAGGCTGGTCTTGAACTCCTGGCTTCAAGTGATCTGCCCGCTTTGGCTTCCCAAAGTGCTGGGATTACAGGCGTGAGCCATTGCTCTGGGCCCCAAACCAGGTTTTCATTGCATAGCTTTGTTTGCATTCAAATGTCCTCAAAACACATTCTTGTGTGCACAAACACACACACGCATGCACACAATTTGCAAGTAGAGGCACTGAGTCCAATTTTTAAAAATGTTCATGTGGAGAAGTCTAATTTTCCTGATATCTTAAGACTGTGAAAAGGTGCATATTCTGCCTGGAGTTATTCCTGCCCGAACTGGGCATATCATAGGCTGTGCTAGACTAGTGCCTACATGAAGGCAAAGCTGATGACTTCACAGCCCTTGAAGCAATTGCTTCAGGTCCCAGTGCCTTGGGGATCACATTCCCTTCCTTTTGAGCAACTGAGGTCTAGCAACTCTCAAGTTTAGCTTATTACACGAAGAGTCTCCAAGAAGAACAGGCAAGGCAGGAAGGAAGCCCTCTCCTCGAAGGACCTAAAAGCTCAACATGCTCACGGGGAGAAAAGCTGCAAGTTTATTTTAAATTTATAGTATTTCCCAGATCTACATCAAATCTAATAATGAAAGATATAATAAATTGACCTTTTGGATTTTCTTGTACACAAATATCCTAAATTCATGTCATTATTTTATTCCATTTCCTTCCTTCCTTCCTTCCCTCCCTCCCTCCCTCCTTCCTTCCTTCCCTCCCTCCTCCCCTCCCTCCTTCCCTCCCTCCCTCCCTCCTTCCTTCCTTTCTTCCCTCCCTCCTTCCTTCCTTTCTTCCCTCCCTCCTTCCTTCCTTCCTTCCTTTCTTCCCTCCCTCCCTCCCTGCTTCATTCCTTCCTTCCTTCTTTCCTTCCCTCCCTCCCTCCCTGCTTCCTTCCTTCCTTCCTTCCTTCCCTACTTCCATCCCTCCCTGCTTCCTTCCTTCCTTCCTTCCTTCCTTTCTTCCTTCCTGAACAGCTTAACTTCATTTGCCTGGCTTGCTCTGCCACCTCTGTGAGAAGTCACCACCAATGAGAAGATAACGAATCACACCGTGTCATTTTCATTACTCTGCTCATCTTACAAATCTACAGGCTGTGCTGGTGGATGCTTCTAAGATGTAATATGAGTAAGAGAGAATTCAACATTTCTCCACTAATGTGTCCAGAGAGTCACAATGGCTTTCTGCTTGCCACATTTCCAGGGTTGGGAGGTCCTACTAGTGATCTCAGCCTTCACCTGGACGTGGAAGGTGAAAATATACAATCCATGAATTCAATATCCACTGAAAATAGATTTCTGGCTCAACAAGAGTTTCTGAGACTTCCACTGGAGTTCTCAGGTGCAGAAGGAAAATGCAGTGGTCTGTGGAGCTCACATTCTAGCTGATTAATACGCTGCTAAACGCTGTTTGGCAATCTGCCAGGAGAAATATAAACAGCAAAAGAACTTACTCTATAAGTTATCTGTCTTTTTGCGAAATCGTACAAGGAAAATGTTTAAGAAAAAAAAAGATAGGAGGATGTGTTTTTATTACATCTATACTCATCAGATCCCAGCTCTGTAAAACGCATTAAAAATAACATGAAGTATTTAAAATCAGCAGCAATCACCTTGGTTGGTTACTGATTTACAAGATTAAAAACATTCTGAACTGAAGATGAAGGTGCATGAATAAACACGGGTTCCTGAAAGAATCCTTGGTGATTACTTGCCGGTCTGTTTGGTGAGGGGTTCAACATCTTAAGGAAAAATGTCAGCACGTAAGTGAGGAGGAGGCGTTGATAGTCAACCAGTTTCCTTAGGAAATTGAGAGGACTGTTTCCTAGTCGTGGTGCAGAGCCCTAAACATGATCAGGACTGGTTTTGAAGTCTCTGGCATGCATTGGTTGAGTGGTTGGGCAAATTTTCAAGCTAAATGTGCCTCCTGAGGGCCTTCCCAGTGTTGGGGGGAGACATTCCCTTTATTCCACACCTGTTGGGTTTTCTAACTCATAAATTCCTAGAACGCAAAAGGGTCTACCACGGACGTGGAGTGCAATCACAGAACCGGCATCCTGAGAGCCAGGGCAGGACCTGATACTGTTTTAACATATCCTAGTCTTAGCCTTTGAGTGGCTCTACTTGAATTGATTCTCTTGTTATTTTTTTGCCTTCTTTCAAAATTTATAATTTTGGAGGAAGCACACATCTCAAATAGACAGAGCCTTTGTTTATCTGCATTGTAAACAAAACACTATGGGAGCTGCATAATAAATACACATAAAAATGGGAAGAGGAAGATGAGCAACAGCAGGTTGTGGTCAGCTTTGAAGAATAGGTGCCTGAGTCTACACGTGTTGATGTGTGTGATGTGTCGATGAGTCCAGTGCCTCAGGGTCAGCTGGTGTCTCGATGTTCCATGTAGGGATGTGACTGGAGGGTAAATAAAGGTCAGGGAACTATGAGGTCGGGAATGCAACTGATGAAAGCTGTGTTTGCATCCATTTCTACACCCCAATGCACCTGCGGGATACAGCTTTGACCCTCAGTGACTGTCTCAGAGCCACGATATTCTCCACTGTGGTCAGAAGTGCTGAGTCTCTTTGCCAAAACCCCCATAGGTATATATGCTCTTACCACTGGAGGATCCCTCTGGATTTTTGAGAATTAAAAACCGTATTAATTCTATTTTATCATTTACTTATTTTAGAAACAGGGTTTTGTTCTGTGGTCCAGGTGGGAGTGCAGTGGCACAATCACAGCTCACTGCAGCCTTGAACCCCTGTGTTTATGCCATACTCCTGCTCAGCCTCCTGATTAGCTGGAACTACACGTGTGCCCCACCATGCCTGGCTTAACATTTTTTATTTTTTATTTTTGTAGAGCTAGGATCTCATTATGTTGCCCAGGCTGGTCTTGAACTCCCGGACTCAAGTGGCCTTCCTGCCTCAGCCTCCCAAAGTGCTAGGATTACAGGCTTCAGTGTATCTGGCCCATATTAACTCTTTATAGCATTTGGAGGCCTCTGCAGTTGAGACAGGCTGTCCGTGAACCCACAAGAAGATGATGGAGTTTTCAGTGAGCATGAACTCCACAGGACAAGCTAAGGACACATCCTGCATGCTGCTCCAGGGTCTGACTTAAGGTCACTCGTGTTCCAGATGCCACCTGAACTTGTGCCAACCAATTGGACTACAGGGCATCAGACTCTCCTTTGTGCATTTGTTTGATCCGAGTTTGGCTTTCTAAGTAGGTAGATTTCCAAGTCCAGCTGAGGGAGGAAAAATTTGCCAGATGAAGAAAAACTGCTTTATAACATGAAGCCCTCTATGTCTCTGTGATGGCAAGGTGTCTTAGCAAGCCCATCCTAAGCACTTCATAAAACATCCTTGTTGCTGGGTCCCAGTGGCTCAGGTGGCTTCTCCAGATGCTACCCCGACCCTCATTACAATATCTTTCACTCATGCTTTGGGTGTCCTTGATGTCCTGTAGATTTGCACCTGGACCTGCCTCTAACAGCCACTGCAGACAGATGCCCCTTTGGGATGGCCCAGCTCGCTTTCCGTCACAGCTGTGTCCCAGATGCTGCATCTGCCCGAGTCTTGGTGTCCCCTTCCAGAGCCGTTCTACCCACTGAACTCAGGCCTGGGAATTCCAGGCCAGCAACTGCTGCTTTGAGAGGGAAGTTGGAAAACTGCACATCAGGGTCAGGCTTCATTTTCTTTCCGTGAACCAAGATACCAGTGCTTGTCCACAGGAAATAGCTGCTAGAAACAGCTCTGGAATCATTGATACAAGCGCTAGGTATTATTATAAAGCTCTCTCTTGGCTTTCTGCAGTCTCTGCCCTTTACTGACTTGCTCACTGGACACCCCCTGTCACTGGGTGATTTCTTGATTTTCCCCCTTTTCTGGCAGCACAGTTACACATTCCATTTAGCCAGACACTTGAGCTTTCCTCCTTGTACACATCAGCGTATCAGCAATAGCAGATAGCAACCGAGATACCCCACAGTGCTCTTTCCCAAACCTCAAAACCATGCTAACGTTCAACCCGAAGGTAAGAATTTTCTAGAATTAAAGAGATCAGTAAAAACATTCCTGTTGTATAAACTGATGATGTTTTAAATGTTGGTTTCAAATACATTTCAGGCAAAGTGCATAAAATATATTGGAGCATGGGACCCATTCTGAGGTCATTGTAAGAAGGTGATATCCAGGTATTCTCCTGGGGAATTATTTGGGTAGCCCAGTGAGGGACAAATGAACAGGACATAGGCTGGTTCCGGCATCAGTGGGTGATGTCTGTGACTATGTCAGGATGACAACACAGAAATTTTTAACTCATAATTCTAGGGAAGTGGTAATATGAACTAAATGAAAGCCTGTTTGGGGGAATTCTGAACTGCATTTATACCCCACCAGAGAGACTCATGTTAATGAAAAGGGCTACAGTGATTGAGGTTAACTCTGTCCCAAGGACAGTATTTGGTACGTATTACCTCATTGAATCTTCGCAACAATACAAGAGGGGAACAATATTTATCAGCTCCATTTAACAGAGGAGGAAGCTGGGCTCAGTTAGGTAAAAGGACTTGTTTATGGTAATGTGGTTGATACATTGCAAGCCCAGCAGACTAACCCTTTTCCTCTTGCCTCAAAGCCCATAATCTCAGGACTGTCTCCCATGTGGGTTGGAGATCTACTCACACTCTGATTCTAGTTCTGCATGTGAAGGGGTTGGGAGTTCTTGCCTGAGTTCAGAGACAAAAGAATACCCTTGTGCCTCAGGTGGAGGACACTTTATCCTGGTGCCACTCCCTTAGAAAGTCAAGTGACAGTTGTTTTGTTTTATGTTTTCAGGTTTTTTGGTTGGTCAGTATCCAACCACGCTGCCTATTTGTGGTACCTCTTTCATTCTTTGTACTTTTGGTGGGATAGTGTGCCCTTCCTACTCCAAAAAGAAAGAGAAGGTGGGTGTACCTTCCCGCTCCCTGTACCTGAAGGCCAAGCCTTAAATATGTGGCCTTGATCTGGCTGTTAGAATTTCCTGCCTGGGTTCTCGACATAAGACTTGTGTCATATGACACTGTAACTGCCCAACGGGTTCACCTTGCCCACTGCCTCAACAGAGCTGATTCATCAAGACAGGGGCATTGCAATAGAGAAAGAATAATTCATACAGAGCTGGCTGTGTGGGAGACTGGAGCTTTATTATTACTCAAATTAGTGTCCCTGAGCATTTGGGGAGCAGCGTTTTTAAGAACAACTTGGTGGTTTGGGGGAAGCCAGTGAGCCAGGAGTGCTGATTGTTCAGGGATGAAATCACAGGGAGTAGAAACTGTTTTCTTGCACTGAGTCAGTTCCTGAGTGGGGGTCACAAGATCAGATGAGCCAGTTTATTGATCTGGGTGGTGCCAGCTGATCCATCAAGTGCAGGGTCTGCAAAATATCTCAAGCACTGATCTTAGGAGCAGTTTAGAGAGGATCAGAATCTCATAGCCTTCAGCTGCATGACTCCTAAGCCATAATTTCTAACATTATGGCTAATGTTAGCCCTACAAAGGCAATCTAGTCCCCAGGCAAGAAGGAGGTCTGCTTTTGGAAAAGGCTGTTATTGTCTTTGTTTTAAACTATAGACTAAGTTTCTCCCAAAGTTAGTTCAGCCTAAGCCCAGGAATGAACAAAGACAGCTTGAAGGTTAGAAGCAAGATGGAGTTGATTAAGTTAGATCTCTTTCACTGTCTCAGTCATAATTTTGCAAAGGCGGTTTCATGACAAAAGGTGGATAGAAACCATAGTGAGAACAAGAGGGTGTGCAGTGCTGGTGGCAGCTTCCTAGACTGTTTCTGCTGAGAGGTACTGCTTGGACCTTTCCAGCTAACTGGGTTCCTTCCAACTTGGCTCCTTCAGCCTCCCTCTGGTCAGGGAGCCTTCAGCATCCCACCAGTGAGTTCTCCTCCACCATTTTTTCCT
The DNA here is from genome assembly GCF_000001405.40 of Homo sapiens. Taxonomy (NCBI): domain Eukaryota; kingdom Metazoa; phylum Chordata; class Mammalia; order Primates; family Hominidae; genus Homo; species Homo sapiens. The sequence goes on along the minus strand of NC_000010.11, from coordinate 33,727,934 downwards.
TAAGAGCTGCTTTTGTGTGTGTGTTGCTGAGCCAAGAGCCAGTCATCTTCTTGCAGCACTGTGTCTCCCAGGTCAACAGAGAGGAAAGGCAGTTGAGAAGGAATTCCCACTCCCTGACTTCTGGGGTTTGGGTCCCTGGGTGGCTGGATTTGGGGTCAGCTAAAGTCTTGGATTTTTAAGCAAAATATGCTTTTGCAGAGAAATCTTTTGCAGAAACAAAATGCTTTTTGACAATATTAATTTTGACATATATGCTTTATGACAATATTCATTTTGGCTGTGCACAGTGGCTCATACCTGTAATCCCAGCACTTTGGGAGCCCCAGGTTGGTAGATCACTTGAGCTTGGGAGTTTGAGACCAGCCTGGGCACACACGGCAAAACCTGTTTCTACAAATACAAAGATTAGCTGGGCATGGTGGCGTGCACCTGTAGTTGCTCTACTCAGGAGGCTGAGGAGGGACGATAGCTACAGCCCAGGAGGCAGGGGTTGCAGTGAGCTGAGCATGTCATTGCACTCCAGCCTGGTCAACAGAGTAAAACTCTGCCTAAAAAAATAAAAAATAAATAAGAAAATAAACTTGATTTTATTTTAATAAGAAAACTATATCAAAACAGAAAATGTTAGTCTGTGATGTTCTCAAGTTTGTGATGTTCTCAAGTGACAAGAAGAGACTCCAAATGCATAAAAATCACTCCATTTCGAATTTGGATTAAAAGGTCAAAGTGCATGTGACAAGGCTTTGGTGAACCCCAACCTCTCTATTGTGCCTAAATGTCAATATTCTGGCATTGCCTTGGGGTCCTTTTTACCCTCAGCAAGTTTGAGAAATAACTCCACTTACTTTTTTGTAAGTTAACGCACATCAGGAAAAATGTGATTTGATAGGTTATTTTTCTATTGAATGTCCAGCTCCCTCCTCACAGTTTGAAAGAGCCTGTCACAATTCCCAAATTCCCAAAGTATTAATGCTAAACCACCCATGAAAAGAAGCACATGCTCAGAGTTAGAGCAAGCAAGCTAAACTAATGAGAGCCAAAAAAAGGATGCATATGTGTGTGCGTGTGTATGTGTGTACACACATAGATATACACACACACATGCACACATATGTATATACACATGCATATGTATACACACATGATATACATATGCATATATATAAATGAATATTATATATTTTTTTTTTTATTTTTTTTTTTTTTGAGACAGAGTCTCACTCTGTCGCCCAGGCTGGAGTGCAGGGGTGCAATCTCGGCTCACTGCAACCTCCGTCTCCTGCGTTCAAGCGATTCTCCTGCCTCAGCCTTCCGAGTAGTTGGGATTATAGGCATGTGGCATCACACCCGGCTAATTTTTGTGTTTTTAGTAGAGATGGGGTTTTGCCATGTTGGCCAGGCTGGTCTTGAACTCCTTACCTCAGGTGATCCAGCTGCTTTGGCCTCCCAAAGTGCTGGATTTACAGGCATAAGCCACTGCACCTGGCCTATATGAATACATACTTTAAAATGTTTTTTTCAGTGATCAGAGGTCTAGACAAAAAAAAGTTTTTATTTCTATGCTTTTTGATGCATTTTAACGAAAGTCTAAGTGGGAAGCAAGTTGATACAATTTCTACGTTAAGGCCATGCATTGTGGCTCATGCCTGCAATCCCAGCACTTTGGGAGGCCCAGACAGGTGGATCACTGGAGCCCAGAAATTTGAGACCAACCTGGGCAACATGGTGAAACCTTGTCTCTACAAAAAATACAATAATTAGTCGGGCATGGTGATGTGTGCCTGTAGTTCCAGCTACTCAGGAGGCTGAGGAAGGAGGATTGCTCAAGCCTGGGAGGTCGACGCTGCAGTGAGCTAAGATCACAGCACTGCACCACAGTCTGGGCGACAGAGTGAGACCCTGTTTCAAAAAAAAAAAATTGTTCTCTACATTAAACAAATAAAATGTCTTAAATGTTTAAAAACCTCTGATGGAATTCTTGCTGCTTAAATCTTCAGGTGCAGCAGCTGCCTTCAGGAAGTCACTGGACTGGAAATGAAGATGCTGAAAATTCCTGACCAGACTCTCTGAAACATTTTAGCTCCATGACTTCACAGCATTGCGCTTGTTTCCTCACATAGAAAATGAAGGGTTCAGGTCTTTAAAGAACTTTCTAGGTCTAAAAACAGTCAGTGAATAATTTATGGAAATGCACTGGATGTGATTTCTCCTACTGCTGCTGTTGTTCATGGACCTGACTGGTTTTTTCTGGACAGTAAAAGGGCCTCACACATTGATGAACCTTTCCCCCCATATCCCTGCTACTTTCTCACCATGCTGCCACTGCTGGGTCACGCAGAAAACAGGGGCACTAGGCCGTGGGTGGAGATTCTGGGTAGTGGATGGTGTCATCTGAGTTGATCCAGGGCGCCCAGAGTTCATGCCTCCCGTGCCATCAGTATTTCTGCCATGAGCTCATTCACACAGCATTCATTCACTCAAAATGTTAGCAGTATATATATGTACAGAGACGATCACAAACATTAAAATCCAAAACAAAATGTATCACTAAGGATACCAACAAGGAGCAGATGGCTCACACAAATTAGGAGGTATCAAAGAAGGGTTATTTACAAAGAGACTCTTTATGAAAATGTGGGAAGCACAAAGGATGCTACAGTGACCTGAGGTTAATAGCAGTGGAGTAGCCACCATGACTAAGACTGAAGGGACAAGGGAGTGGTGTCTGGAATTCTTAAGAATCTCAAAAAGGGGACCCTCTGAAGAGGAGCAGTGACATTTGGTTGAGCAGCACAAACAGCCCAAGGCAATCTCTCAGAAAGGGATCCAAAGAGAATAAATAACCTGAAGATACTGTCTTCTCTCCCTCTTATCTGCTGCCAAGTCTATTCCCTGGATAAACCCAACTGGAAGCCAAGGGTAGGGGAGTCTATTGATGGAGTCCATAGACATCCACCTTCTGAGGCAGGAGGGAGGAGGGAGAGGGGTGAGGGTGGATTCAGAGGGTCAAAGAGAAGACATCCAGCACATAAAGCGAATAAACAAATGCAACCTGGGGGAGAAATGATTTTAAACTCTTTTATTAGGTAATTATAACTTTAAATCACTAGTTACATAAAAGCAATAGCATATTTGTTTTGCCTTTTGTTATGTGGACTTAGGAACCAGAACAAAAGATTACTCTTTGAGCTTCAATGGTGACTTCAACATCTAATGGATGCTCATGGAGGTAAGTGAAAAGGGACTAAAAGACTTCCTGGTCAGCAGGACCAGAAAAATACCAAAAGGGCATTTGTGTATCTATGGAAGGAATATCCAGGTCAGCGATTGGTGCAGGACTCCAGAAACAGAAAAGGGATGGTGCAAGATTTTTGATAGTGCTTATTTATACACTGAACAAGAGAGAGAGTGCTCAGGCCTGAGAATGGAACCAATTCCGTCCCCCTGCTTGGCATCCTTTGCAGAGAGGGACACATCAGGGATTATCTCCCAGTTCCATGAAATGTCAGGACTACATAACCAACCCCTTTGTCTTTGTACTTATTCTTAGAGAAGCCTCTGATTCTGATCTGACATGATTTGTAATGGCTACAAACCGAGACTCTGCTGGTTGACCTCCTTTGCCTGAGATAGTGCCATATTTCTCATGAGAAATGAGCAAATGGGCATTCAGTTTGCATTGTTCAGTCTCATAGCTTGGTTGAAGCCTGTCCACTCCTGCATGATGGGTGTGTTCTCACATGCTGATATGGTTTGGCTGTGTCCCCACCCAAATCTCATCTTGAATTGTAGTTCCCATAATGCCTACGTGTCATGGGAGGGACCCAGTGGGAGGTAATTGAATCATGCAAGTGGTTACCCCCATGCTGCTGTTCTCATGATAGTGAGTGAGTTCTCGAGAGATCTGATGGTTTTATAAGGGGCTTCCCGTCCTTTGCTCTGCACTTCTCCTTGCTGTTGCCATGTGAAGAAGGATGTGTTTGCTGCCCTTTCTGCCATGATTGTAAGTTTCTTGAGGCCTCCCCAGCCATGCTGAACTTTGAGTCAGTGAAGCCTCTTTCTTTTGTAAATTACCCAGTGTCGGGTATGTCTTTATTAGCAGCATGAGAACAAACTAATACAGATGCTGACCACTCAGATTTGAGTCTGCAAAGCTGAGGGTTAGACCATAGGCCTTGATACTCCTGAAGCTACTTGAGAGCCAGTAGACATTTCCCTGGGGATACAGGAGTATAACCTTTTTACCATAGGAACTTTTGTTTCCAAACCAAACTGGGTCCATTTACCCTCATGCAGCAGAAAGCCAAACACCAAAGCTCCAGATTTTTGCAACAAGAAAGGTTTATCACTAGGCAGCCAGGCAAAGAGACAGGAATCAGGATCAAATCTGTCTCCCCAAGCTGGGGTTTGGGGGCAGTTTATAGTCAGGGAGTAATGAGGCATGATCTGACTGGATCTTGCAATGAGGTGATGCTGGGAGTCACAGTCTGACTGGATCCTGCTATGGGGTGACTCCAGGGCTTGATCTGATTGGATCCTTCTTAATTCTGTCCCTGTTCCTTAATCCAAGCACTTAGATTCTGCCTGTGGTTGCATACTTGGTTCGTCTGGGCATGCTCCTGTCATGTAACTTGCAACGTGGGGTTCATGGCAACTGAAATACAACTCACCACTTGTATTACACAAAGTTGAACCAGATTGGGCTGGTTCTGCAGTTAGAATTCCATCTAATGCCACTTTTGCAAATACTCTCATTCAATCTCCACAACAACTCTTTGAGAATGATTATGATAGTCTTATTTTTCAATGAGTATAAACTGCAAGTCAGGGTAGAGAAGTAACTAGACCAACAGCATACAACTAGTAGGTTGCAGAACAGGAATTCAGTCCCTCTGACTGAAAATTTAATTTCACTAATAGCAATAGCGTACATATGTATTAAAAAACGAGTATGTACTAGACTTTTAACAAACATTAATTCATTTCTTTCTTATTTATTTATTTTTTTAGAGACAAGGTCTTGCTCTGTCACCCAGGCTGGAGTGCAGTGGCCGATCATGGCTCACTACAGCCTTGAACTCATGGATTCAAGCAATCCTCTCACCTCAGCCTTCGCAGTAGCTAGGACTACAGGCACGTGCCACTGCGCATGGCTAATTCATTTATTTCCCAAACAACTTTATGAGTGAAATTATTAACATCCCTACTAGTAAGTGAGGCAAATGCAACCAGAGAAGTTAAGTACTTTGCCCAAGATGGCACAGTTATTGGTGAAGTGAGTTTTCATCTTCAGGCAATCTGATTCCAGAGGCTGTGAACTTTGCGCACTGCCTAGGGTCCAGACTGAGAAGAAGGCAAGCAAAACTCCCTGAGGATTACTAGCAGGGAAACATAGGGAAGGCAATGGAATACTGGGAACAAGTCAATTCAGGCCAAGGCAACTGTTAGAGGCTTAAATGGGTTCAGACGCTAATTGCAGATCTAAACTGATCTTTTTCTTTGTAACTCTCTGAATTAAATACTGCTTCCCTTGTCTTTCAGATTATCAGAGAATTTAACTCCATCCCTTGTTACACATTTGAATGAACACTACAGGAGGTTCAGAAGGTTAAGTTACTAAAAACAAAACCTTGGTGTTTTGCTTTGTTTGTTTTTGGGGATCCCGAATGTCTATTTCCAGTCCTTACGGAACCAGGAAGTGCTAATATAAGAGGAATGTGATGGTCAGAGTAATTTGATACAAAAGAAATCAGGAAGTCCTGGGAACCTTTGAAAAAGATGGTTGTTGAAGCATTTCTCCTTGAATTTGCTCCGTAGGGTCAATTAAATTGTTGGTTTGTGAGAGGTTTTTGTCAATGATGAAACTAGCATTGCATTTTAACTTTCACCTGGCCTTTATCTAGCTTATACTGAGGTCACAACTATATTTCCCTGCCCTTCTTTCTGATACAACTCCACTAAAGAGCCCTATCTTTTTTCTCATTTCTGTACTGCGACATTTATTTCTACATGAATGCTCTTGTAACCTAGTAGATAATAGCATGTTTTAGACAGCATGGTCGTGTTGTGCTATCCAACATGTTGACCACTAGCCACATGCGGCTATTTAAATTTAAATGAAATAAAACAAGAATCGAGTTCATCAGTTGCACCAGTCACATTTCAAGTGCTCAGTCACCACATGCAGCTGGCATTGACTGGCGACTACCGCATTGGACAGAGCAGATATAGCACATTTCTGTCATCACAGAAAGCTCTACTGGAGAGCCACACATAGAGCTCGACCTCAATTGGGAAGAAGTGACAAAACATTAAAAGGGAGTGGAAAGGAGGCTTCCTTGGAAGAGGCCTCTTTCCTAGACTCACAGCTGGAATCGAGTCTGTACATCTCAGAGAGCAAGCTAGCTATGGTAGACTCTGAATATTATACTTTGTAAGCCAGGATATTCATATACCAGATACTCTCTGTGCTTCTAGCCTCTTATTTTCAGTAATATTTACAATGCATGTGGGGAAGTTAGAGCTTTTATCAGCCTCACAAACAGGAACCAAGGAATGGGGTTTAGGGCTACAATTTGATCTGAGCCTTGAGAAAAAAACAAACAAACAAAAAAAACAACCCTTAAGGAAGCAGCTACACAGCAGCAGGGAAGGAAATAGAGGCCCCTTGGTCGGCCTGCCCTTCCCCTTGCCCGGAAATTCTTCAAGAGAGAGAAACCAGAGGATTTTGGATTTTATTTCGTTATCGAAATCTATGCTGTCTTTGCAAGATGCCTCACTGCCAGAATCTCTGAAGCTCTCTGGCTCTATTAAGCCAAAAGGCACTCAAGGTAATTCCTGCAGAGTAGTGCCTCTCGACTTTGACTGTACATGAGAATCATCTGGAATCTTTTAAAGCCCCTGGTGCTCAGGCTGTACCCCAAAATAATTGAATTCAAATCTCTTGGGTGGATTCCTTGCATCGGTGTTATCTTAGGGTTCCAGGTGATTCCGATGTGCTGGTTGAGAAATTGTGCTTGCTATGAAGAACCCCTGTTATTCACAGAACAGAGAGACCAACACGCATATTCCAAACCTTTTCTCCCTTCCCTTTGACAGTAATATGAAGGCCTTTAATTTATATTAATATGATCTGTCTTCATAGTATGCAGTCAAGTAGAAAAATCTGAGTTATGAGCCAGAACATCAGAGTGCAGTCCAAGCTCTTCACCAAAAAGCTGTTACTTTTATGCTGTTTCACCTCTCTGCACTATAATTTCCACACCTGAAAACTGAAGGTAAGAGCCTTGAAGGGCTCTAACATTCTTTGTGTTGTACACTGTTTGCCAAGGCTATGCTAAGTGCTATGCTAAGCATGGAACAGACTCATGCTGTTCCACGAGTCTGGAGTGCCCATTTGATGACACAGCAATGTACAATCATCTTGTTACCCATAGAGGGTGTCCAGGTTCTTGGTGTTTTGAACAATGAATTAGGCAAAATGCATAAACAAAGCAAGGAAAGAATGAAGCAACAAAAGCAGAGATTGAAAACAAAAGTACACTCCACAGGGTGGGAGCAGGCTGAGCAGCCATTCAAGGGCCCAGGATACAGAATCTTCTCAGGTCCAAATACCCCCTTAGAGGTCTTCCATTGGCCACTTGGTGTTCACCCCATGTAAATGAAGTGTGCCAATCGGTCTGATTGGTTGTGGAAAGCAAACAATCAGAGGCTAAAGTGAAGTTACAAAGTTGCACTTCTATGCAAAGGAAGACTTGGCTCACAATTGGTTGCTTTCCCCAACCAATCAGAGGCAGAAGTAAAGTTACAAAGTTACACTCCTATGCAAACATCTGATTGCTTGCAAAAAGCAACCAATCAGAAGTACTTTCAATTTCCCATCTGCCACACAGAAAAGGTGAGGGTTTGCAAGGGAAGTAGCCTCTGGTCCTTATGTTACTTAGGCATGGAAAGTTAGGGTTTTCCTTTCAATTTAGTTCCAGGAAGTCAGTGTGAAAGGGCCTTAGGTTCCCTGGCTCCAGACCCTTATTCCCCTGCCTCAGTCTGATGAGCCATGTACCCACTCAGCATGTGGGGATAAAGAGATCTATTTCCGATTGAAGCTCCACATTGTTCACTGCAGAGCCTCCTTAGGCATAGTAGGCACTTACTTTTTTGGGCTGAATGAACGTACACTTTAGATGATTTTTCCCTGGGGTACTGATGAGCCAATTACACAAACAGAGTGAACAGTCTGGTTAAAGTCAGCACAGTTAGATGCAGGCCTTTCCCAGGACAGCCAGCTGCCTCTCTGCCACCTCTGTCCCAGATAACCAGAAGAGTCTGGATGGCTGTTGTGGCATATGGCATAAGGCTGGTGATGAGGTCTTTGGATGCCGGGCCTCAGCTGACCTCACCATGATGCACACAGGGACTCCCAATATGCAGCCTGTCCTCATCAGACTAGCTCAAGACCTAGGTGCAGCTGAGGCTACCAGTGGAAATCGTCAGAACCCACAGCTGCTTCAGGATGGTGAGGGCAGTGAATGGCCCAGGAGACTGGATCCTCGCCTATATTTGCTGCCAACGAGCTGTATGACCTTGAGGACAAAAATCTCTTTGTACATTAGTTTTCTTATCTTTAAAATAAGCTGCCTGGCTCATGTGATTCTAAGATCCTTTTCAAATCTAAAACAGTAGGAAAGCACGTTTTCTTTGGAAAGCCATCCTCGTTATTACTCAATGCCCTGTTCTTTTCAAGGCCTTGACAATAGATTTTGTGATTATTTCCTCAGTCTTTTCCCCCTAACTTCCTATGTAGCGAAGTTAAACTTAGAAGCCCAGGGTTTTTCAGGGTCACTCCTTTTTCCATTTAGAAAAAGAAACCAAGTTGTTCCATTCCTGCTTCGGTCAAATCATTTACCCTTCAAAAAATCTTGAAAATGATAGCTGATGATCCTGAAATTACTCTGAACATGTTCTTAAGTGTATATAGTTCAAGTTGTTGGGACCTCGAATGGATTTTAACTGTTTCTCTTATTTTGGTTCATTTCTCTTTCTTCTATTATAGGGCTGCCCCACAGTCTTATAGAGACTGAGGTAGAATATAGTGATTTTTTCGTGTCATCTGTCAGTCTCTGAATGCAGTTTCCCCAGTCTCTTAATGCAGTTTCTCCAAGCTCTGTTCCCTGCCCAGGGGCAACAGCATTACCTGGGAACTTGTAAGAAATGCAAATCATCAGGCTGTCCCAGACCACAGAATCATTGTCAGTGTTTTTTGTTTGTTTGTTTGTTTGTTTGGAGCTGGAGTTTCGCTCTTGTTGACCAGGCTGGAGTGCAATGGCATGATCTTGGCTCACCGCAATCTCCACATCCTGGGTTCAAGCCATTCTTCTGCCTCAACCTCCCGAGTAGCTGGGATTATAGACATGTGCCACCACACCCAGCTAATTTTGTATTTTTAGTAGAGATGGGGTTTCTCCATGTTGGTCAGGGTGATGTCGAACTCCTGACCTCAGGTGATCTGCCTGCCTCAGCCTCCCAAAGCGCTGGGATTACAGGCGTGATTCACTGCGCCTGGCCGGTTGTCTGTGTTTTAAGATGATTCTGATGCATGCTAAATTTGAGAATTTAAGAACTACTGCTCTAATAAAAGGTAACATTTCTTCTTACCCTTCTCATTCCTAATGTATTTCTTTATTTCCTTATATAATATGTTAACAGACTATGAGATTATTTCTTTTTAAATCTTTTGAAAATGAAGTTCTATTTTCTCCATTGACTTTTCTTATTCGGACTCTAAAAGACCTATTAATTTCTCTTCTTATTTGTTGAATGGCTTAGTTTTCTCTTTTGCTGGCTTTCGCATAGAATGAGTTTATTACTTGGCATGAATTAAATGAAATGCAATCACATAGGTGGCCTATGAATACTTTTTCTACAACTCTAGAGTCTTCCTGCTCCAAATGTGGTCCTAGGCCAGCAGCACCAGCATCACTTGGAGCTGGCTGGGACTGCAAAACCTCCATCTGCACCCCGGTTCCACTGAATCTGCAATTTTTTTTTTTTTTTTTTGAGACAGAGTCTTGCTTTGTCACCCAGGTTGGAGTGCAGTGGTGCAATCTCTGCTCACTGCAACTTCTGCCTCCCGAGTTCAAAAGATTCTCCTGCCTTAGCCTTCTGAGCAGCTGAGATTACAGGCATGCACCACCACACCCAGATAAATTTTTGTATTTTTAGTAGAGATGGGGTTTTACCACGTTGGCCAGGCCGGTCTCAGACTCCTGACCTCAAGTGATCCACCTGCCTCAGCTTCCCAAAGTGCTGGGATTACAGGCGTGAGCCACAGCTCTCATCCTGAATCTGCACTTTAACAAGATCTCCAGGTGATTAATCTGCAGATTAAAGTTTGAGATGCACTGCTCTAGAAGAATATTTCAGACCTTAAATGGAATGATTGTTTCAGAAGTTGAAATAAATTTACTCGAAAATTTCAGCCAATCAGTCAAATTTTATCTCCAAGGTAATATATCATTATATTTGATAATATGAGCTTCATGATCATGACAAAGAAGGAAGAGTATTTTTTATCTGAAAAAAGTGGATTATGTTCTAGTAATCGATTTTTAAAGTATTCATTCTTTTACATAACATTGTATTAACCTAAGGATAGAATTATGGAGAAGAACACCTAGGTAAAGGAAAGATTATGAGAAAGAATTTGCCAGTTATAATATAGACTGCTCAGCCAAGGAACCAGCACAGATAATGCCACCATTGTATAAAAGGTTTACAAAGCAGTTCTGGAGGCAGATATGGTTTTCTAGAAACACAGTGTAGTGATAATGTTGGTCATTGCAGTGTGTTTATTCAGTCGATAACTGTTGGGCACCCTGCTATGCACTTTACCAGCATTTCCTCATATAACAGCCAAGGCAACCCTATGAGGTATTAACAGATATTACCATTATTCCTACTTTGTAGAGGAGGAGCCTGAGAATTGGATGGTTTAGTTACTCAACATGCACTTTCATTTCAGAGAGACCTGGGTTTGCTATTACTATGTGTCTTAATCAGAGTAACATTGGTGGCCATAACAGGCAAAAATCTCAGTTTCAATGGTTTAAGAAAAAGAAGTTCATTCTGACACATGTTAAGTTCAGAAAGTATGTTTCTGATTAATGGGAGGCCCTTCTTCCAGCTTAGTAAGCCAACTTCTTTTATTCTTGTAACTCTGCCATATTCCACAGTTGTCTTGCGGGGCCAGGTGCTCATCTGTATTGCACAAGGGGAAGAAGAAAGAGGAAGGGGTTTGGGTGAGAGGCATTCTAAAACATGGGTCAGACCTAAAAATGGCATGCATTGCTTCCATTCATATTCCATTGGCTTGAACTTCAAGGAAGCCTGGAAAATGTGGTTGATCCCAGAAAGAAGAGGAAATGGGTTTGGTGAACACATTTCCATCAGACTAACTCCCTGACTTCATGCAAGTAACTTATACTTCTATTTATCCTCCTGACTTCAGTTTACTCATCTGTTAAATGGGAATAATTATACCTACATCATCAGGAGGTGATTAGATTTAAATTACCTCACCACTGTCATTACTATGATGTGGCCTGATAAATTCCTGATTTTCCTTCCTGACAATTTCCTGGCTTAGAAAATAATCTATTCAAGACATTCTGATTGTACTGAGGATCAGGATATGACTGAGACATTGGAATTAAACAAAAGTATCATTAAAACTGTGCTAATATTTAGCACAGTTAGGCATAGACATGGGATTTTAGAAAAGTGGATTTCAAAGACTTCAAAACATAGATAGTTATCTCCTTCAACTAACAGACTATGAATGTGAATATGGCTTATTATGGAGGGAATGGTTTGTACATCTCATTTTATCACAGAATATGTAAACAGCAGCAAAGATTTCTCTGTACACTGCCTCCCCCTTTTTCTTCCTTGGTGAAATTATGTGCGACTGTGGTGTTCGAATTTCCTTTCCGCTTAGACGGCATCTCAAAAAAAAAAAAAAAAGGAATGAACAACAAAGGAACTAGGGTTGTTTAGCCTGGATAGAGAGGACTGGATGCAGAGAAGTAGGCATGCTAGCTACTTTCCACATGGTTTAAAGACTGCCGGGGGGACAAACTGCAGAGGGCAGGGCTGTGACATCATCAGGGATGAGCTATTACAGGGTCATTACAGGGTCCGGTCTCATTTTGATATCCAGAGAGCATGTTCAGAAAAAGAATGAGGAGTCTTCGAAAAGTAGTGACCTCCCTTTGGTCGGAATGGCCACCTGACAGCAGTGTGTGGTTGCAGCTGTGGATGAGAAAAGGAACTAGACAACCACTAAACTCTCTCAAACCAGAAGCCAAGATGGGCCTCGGTTCCTCTCTGTCCTTGTTCTACTTTCCCAGGTGGAGCTGAGGTGCTGTCTGAAGCTGGTTGCCTGGGATGCCAGGGCTGCCGCCTCGCCACTCTGCCCACCCTGGTGGCTGCACTGCCAGAAGCAGCACATCGTGTCACTTCTTGACGCGTGCCGCCTCCAGGGGAGAGACACCTCTGACAGCTGGCCAGGGAACAGCCCTGATGTCAACTGTCAGAACACCCCATAGCCTGCACTTTCGAGCAGGAGAGATAAAATTTCACTGCTGCAATAAGACGGCAGACAATATGCTCGAAACTAAACTAACCTTAAGTAAGTCCCTTAAATTTATATGAGATTGAGAGTTCTTCTGAGCAAGCCAATATAATGATCATTAAGATGATAGTTACAATTAATGGCATATTTTTAGTTTACTGGTAAATATTGTAATCGTTGTGTTTAGTTGGAACACCCTGGGGGCTGTCCTACTTTTCTATTCATTTCTCCTTAATCGCAGTAAATAACCTTCCCAATTCATTACTACCTCCTATTGCTAAAGGTTTTTTTTTTTTATTCTGAGAATCAAAATCAGAAAATATGGGAATGGGAGAGCTCTGAATGAATGCTTCTAAAACAAAATGTCAATATAGGTTTTATATATTTCTCAAACAGAATCCAAATATTGAGCTTGAAGCTGATGCAAATGAGATAGTGTTGTGAAATTCACATTTAGACTGGGGGTCTCAGTGTCGATCTCAGCAAACCATTAAAATGCAGCAGTGAAAAATTTCAGTAACATTGCGCTGCACTCTACATGTGACTCAGAGCAATTCGGCTCTCCTTCCTTTGCAGGTTTTTCTTTTCTACTTTTAACTTCAATATTTGGCTGCAAGTCATTTACTATGCTACAAGGTTCTGGAGGATAGGGTTGAGGTTTTAGTCATCCAATCCCCTATATAGGCATAGGCACTCAATAATTATTTGGCAGACAAATAGACAAATAAGGAAATATATGAAATGCTAGCCAAGCAATTGAACTGTAAATGATCTCCAAAAGAATCAGAGAATCCCAGTGGTTAAATGACCATTGAAGTTATTTAGTTCTTTAATGCCTCTCTATACCATCTCTGCCAAGTAACTTTTATTTTGAGACATTCACTATGGGGCTTGGCACTTAGTTCCAGATTTGGATGAGTTTGACTCTGTAAAGTTCTTTTTTTCTGTTGATACAATGTAGCTCCTACAGGGTCTACTCATAGTGGTCATATTCTTATCCTTGAGGGTATACACAAGGGTTCTCATCCTCTAACACTTTACTTGCCTCCATGAAATCGAAGACAGTTATGAAATCTATGTGCTTTCTCTTTTCTAAGGTAATCCCCCAGGTTCTCCATTCATTTCCCACATGAGATATTTTCACACATATCCTCATTTTAACATGGTGCATACTCTCAGATAAATGGGCAGAATTAAAAAGAATACTCTCTCAACTCCAGGGAGCAGAAGAGAATCATTGGGTGGCCCATACAATTCCTTATTCTGGCGACTCCCCCACTTTTTTTTTTTTAAGACGGCGTCTCGCTCTGTTGTCGCCCAGGCTGGAGTGCAGTGGCGCGATCTTGGCTCACCGAAACCTCCGCCTCCTGGGTTCAAGCAATTCTCCTGCCTCAGCCTCCCGAGTAGCTGGGATTACAGCCACCTGCCACCATGTCTGGCTAGTTTTTGTATTTTTAGTAGAGATGGGGTTTTACTACGTTGTCTAGGCTGGTCTCAAACTCCTGACCTCAGGCGATCTGCCTGCCTCAGCCTCCCAGGGTGCTGGGACTGCAAGCGGGAGCCACCAAACCTGGCCTCTCCCTTTCTGTTCATGCAGTTTGGTACCACATTATTTTTCGAGGCAACCTCCTTGTGCACCTGGTTCACATGAAGCTTATTCTCAACATACACAGTCTTTATCTTTTTTGCTGGCACTAAGTTACATTTTCCCCATACCACGTTGTTCAGTTTATTTTTTTTAACAGGATGAAAGATTGTACATTTATTTTGATTATATGTTGTCATGATTTCATCCTGACGAGAACTTATAGAGCTAGTGCCATAATCCTACATTTTTTGTCCTTCTAAATCTTCTGTGTGCTGCAGATCCAATAAAGCCACCTTTTCAGTCGTCCTCTAAGTGGCTATGCCTACCGTTGTATCGGACAAGACCAGGATGTGGCAATGGCTTTTGAGTATCTTTTCTTTTGAATCATTTGGCTGGAATGTACGAAGCCACCTTTATTTTCATTAGGAACTCACCTGCCTCCTCTCCATTATTTCTTATATTCTCGTTATCTGTAAATGCAGTGACCGAAAACAACAACCATTTTATTTATGCTCACTGATGATGAGCCAGGAATTTGGACAGGGCACAGCAGGGTGGCTGGCGTCTGCTCCACAGTGTCTGGGGTCTCAGCTGGGAAGACGTGAATGGCCAAGGGTGACTCAAAAAGCTGGGGGCTGAAATCATCTGGAGGCTTCCTCACTCGCATGTCTGGCGCCTGGGCTGGATCACTCAAAGGCTGGGCTCAGCTGGGCCTGTCAACCTGAGCCCTGACACGTGGCATCTCCATGGAGTTCAGGCTTCCCGCAGCATGGAGCTGGGTCTGCGAAGAAGCATCCAGAGAGAGAATATTTCAAGAGAACCAAGGGGGAAGCTGCACAGCCTTTTCTGACCTAGCCTCAGAAATTACAAAGCATTGTTTTCTTCTATTGGTTGAAGTCAATACAAGCCTGCCCAGATACAAGGGGAAGGGGAACTGAACCCCACCTCTCCATGGAGGTAGTGTCTGAGAATTTGGGGGTCCTTGTTTTTTTAAACGTCACGTCTGGCTGACGTGTGATTGACAACTTTCCAAATCTATTCAGTCTCATGAGAATACATTTTTGTCAAGGTTTTTTTCAGGGAGGGAAAGCAACAAGAAACACATGTATGAGCTATATATTTGTAATGCTCAACCCAGATACAGTTTTTTTGTTGCTGTTGTTTTAGTGTGCAAATTTTGGAGGTGCATTCAAAGATTAGTAGAATATTTCAGAGTGGGGAGAAGGGAGAGTTGGAGAGTGGAGGAGGGAGGGATTGTTAAGGGACATTAGACATTATTTTATATATTTTTTTGAGACAGAGTCTCACTCTGTCACCCAAGCTGGAGTGCAGGATGCAATCTTGGCTCACTGCAACTTCTGCCTCCTGGGTTCAAGCGATTCTCATGCCTCAACCTCCCAAGTAGCTGGGATTACAGGAATCGCCACCACACCTGGCTAATTTTTGTATTTTTAGTAGAGACAGGGTTTCACTATGCTGGCCAGGCTGGTCTCGAATTCTCGACCTCAGGTGATCTGCCTGCCTCGGCCTCCCAAAGTTTTGGGATTACAGGCGTGAGCTACTGCACGCGGCCAAAAAATTATTTTAGATTAATTAGCCCATTATTTGATTGCAGTGAGGGTTTCACAGATGTACACATATGTCAAATTTATCAAATTTCACACAACAAACATGTCGAGTTTTGTTTTGTTTTGTTTTTGCAAATTATATCTCAATTAAATGTCTTTAAATAAAAGGCTGTGATACAGAAACTCAGCCTGGGTTTAAGGAAGTAACTTACATTTCTATGAACTAGACACTTTGATCAGTGAGACAATATAAATATTTGGTAACATGATAATATTTAAAATTTATTGTAGCCATTACAAGTAACTAAAAACACCAAATATTAGAATCTGCTAAAAAATACTCATAAAAAGATAAATATACTTCCACACATGCAAGAAAATCAGTATTTTTTTTTTTTTTTTTTTTTTTTTGAGATGGAGTCTGGCTGTTGTCCAGGCTGGAGTGCAGCGGTGAGATCTAGGCTCACTGCAACCTCCGCCTCCCAGGTTCAAGTGATCCTCCCGCCTCAGCCTCCCGAGTTGCTGGGATTACATGCAGGCTACCACACCCGTCTAATTTTTGTATTTGTATTTTTAGTAGAGACGGGGTTTTGCCATGTTGACCGGGCTGGTCTTGAACTCCTGACCTCAAGTGATCCACCTGCCTCGGCCTCCCAAAGTCCTAGGATTATAGGTGTGAGCCACCACACCCAGCCAATCAATAGGATATTTTAAAAAGCATCGTACTGGATGGGTTGAGTATTCTCTAGTGCCATGTGATATTCAAGGCCCTAATGAACCATGCGTCTGATTTCCGTACTTCATGGATCCCTTCTTCATGAGTGGTTTGATTCTCAACCTGGAACATCCTCCCCTTATCTGCTCCTGTGTGCAGTTGCTGTTGAGGCTGAAGAAGCTCCCGCTAGTGGAAGCGCTGCCTCAGGTAGAGGAAATGTCCTGCTCTGTCCCGAGACTGCAGAGGGCTCATGGCCCTAAGGCCTCTCCAAGACACACCCGCTCTCTGGATTGATTCATGGGAAGTGAGACAGCAAGAGCAACAGGCAGCCTCCCCATGTCAGGGGTAAAAGTGAGTGAACTCGAAAAGCAAAATCCAGGGGTAAGACTTGGGGAGATTTCCACATTGTACTTAAAGGAAACCATACCACTAGTAAGGTTACCTGACAAAACAAAGACAGTTTTGAAATCTTAAAACTAAATTTTTATCTAAATAGTTTTAGCCAGATTTCATATTATAAAGTTTTTTTTTTTTTTTTTTTTTTTTTTTTTTTTTGGAGACATGGTCTTACTCTGTTGCCTTTACTCTGTTGCCCAGGCTGAAGTGCAGTGGTGAGATCATAGCTCACTGCAGCCTCGAACTCTGGGCTCAAGCAATCCTCCTTCCTCAGCTTCCTGAGTAGCTGGGACTACAGGTGTGCAACTACCATGCCTTGCTAATTTTTTATTTATTTGTAGAGAAGAGGTCTTGCTATGTTGTCCAGGCTGGTCTTGAACTCCTGTCCTCAAGCAATCCTCTTGCATCAGCTTCCCAAAGTGCTGGGATTACAGGTATGAACCATGGTGCCTGGGCTCACTTTTTTTTTTAAAATCATCACATGATATCACCATTTAGAATTCTTGTTCTCAAGGGAAACAGCGGGCACAGTCACCACATCTAATAGCAGTGTCAGTGCTGGTGTGACAGTTTTAGAAGACGAGCTTCCAGAAGGCCTAGGGTCTGTGTGTTGGTGCAGTGAACAGACAGCCTCACTGCATACTGAACTCTTCTCTGAGATCAAACGGGTGATAATGGATTATGGATTGGCCAGCTCTAACTGGCCAAACTTCAGAAATGTGCCTGGTTCACTGCCTGGATGTAAAAATCATTGTCATTTTCCTCTTGGAGTTTATGTTTCAGTCCTCACTGCAACCTAGTAGCTTCTAGACAAACATTCCCCTCGGAACATATGTTTGAAAGGGAAGGCGTATGTTCCCTGGAAGTTCTGTGATGGAAATGCAGCTTAGGATTCCAAGTGCTCCCTTTAAGAGATTCAAGCGTTAGCAGACCATTTTAATTAAAGTTCTCTAGACAGGAGGCAGAAAAATAAGATTGACTGGAATGAATATAACCTGCATGGTGCGGTGGAAAAAAACCCATGTGGGAATGTAGAGTTACACTACACGTTTTCAGGAAACAAATCAATATGTAGTCCACAAACAAAGCACGAGCCACCGAAAGTTGAAGTTAAAAATATCACATCAAATGGCTTGAGGCATACATTTATTTGAAAAAATACATCTTTATTGCCTTACAAATTCGCTTTAACAAGAGATTCGTTTTCCTACTGAAGGACATGCTGATTATTGTCCTGTGGCTTTCAATTAATAAGTTCACAGTTAACAGTTTTTAAGTACACTGAATCATGTAAATTTCCATATTGCAGCAGCTAATTTATTTGTTTATCGTGGTGTAACAGGCACTGCATGAATCTGGTTTTGAAATCAATTCCAAGCAAAGCAGATGATTTTTGCAGGGCAGACAATATGTAATGAAGACCATCAAACCTCTCCCTGTGCCACAGCATCTAGAGTGGGTCTCATGCTGCCACTGCAAACCGAAAAGGTGAGGAACCCACATCAATATCCACACAGGCATATGGGAGGATGGTGTCTTGTTTCTGTGTGACTGTCTGTGATTCACTGCTGTCTTTTATTTATGATTCCACAATTTTTTCTTTGAGAGTTCTTAATGTATTCACAGACACACAAACACAAGGATCATTAAGTTACAAGCTGGGTTTATTTACCATTTGCAGCTAGTTCAGATGGTATGCCACTACTGAACAGCATTTGAATTTTAAGATTACATACCAACATTTCTTCTTTTCCCGCACCCTGTCCCAGACCCAGGCATGCACATGGAATTTTATTCTAACTTCTGGAAACTGATTTCTCCATAGAATGCTTTAGGATTAAAGAGGAATTCTTTTTAAAGACCAGACGTTGAAAAAATTCCCTATAGAAGCAATAGAAAGTCCCCTGGGGAGAAAGAGGGTTATGAAGAGGGAAAGTATTTGGAGAAAAGAGACAGAAAAGAACATTAGAAAGTTCTGACACTATTTTTTCAAAAAAAAAAAGTCATAATGATGATCTGTGCCTTTGAGATGAATAAATGAATAAATGTTTGAGCATTTCAATCAGCAAAATGCACAGACCTTGAAGAAAAAGTGACACAAAAGCATTGAGAGATAAAATTGACTAAAATGTCCTCAGTTAATTTGAAAATTTCAATACACTCTGGAAATTGCTGGCAACCAGAAGAAACCTCACAGCCATGCAAATAGGAATTTTCTTTTCCTGCGTGTTCATGCTGATGGTGTAATTGCATTTCTGAATGTATATGCTAGTATTTATAATGGCCTTGAATGTGTTGATCTTGGACATTTTTCTTATGTAACTTATTAATGTTAACATTTTTTCCCAATGCAATATGAGCTGCCATAAGGGTCTCAGTCCTAAAGCAGCTTGATTTCTTCATATTTGGTGTTCCATGAACATAATGAGGAGAGCCCGTTTTTGTCCGTTGCGGAGCTGTCATTTAAAGTGGCCGCCACCTTCCACATTTGCCCCATCTGTCTTTTTTCAAGCCTGTCTTTGTTCTGCAGTGGAAAAATGGGCAAAGTAGAGATTAAAAACACGGAAACTACGATAGATTGAAAAATATTTGAATAATGCCCTTAAAAGTGGTTTAATCTGGGTTTCTTGAAAAAATAAACCTCAGATGTAAATAGCCTAAGAGCGAGTGGATCTTGTTTCAATATGAGGACTAGTTTTTCCGGGAAGCTGGACACTCTTAACGTGACTCTCAACCCTTGTGTCCTTGGGAAAGTAAGACTTAATGCCTTTTGGAGAATCAGTCTTGGGCCCTTGGCCATTTCTCATCTTGCAGGTTGCAGATCTTTTGACACAAAAGTTAGGCATTGTGATTTGCATATTAGTGTATTCCTTTGTGATTTCTGAGCAGAGAATATGCCATCTATAATAAGACTTCATATTTCTTCAGTTAAAATACACCAGAAACCAACATAAAATTAGTCACAGCATTCTTTAGTTACCTCTCCCCTAGGTTTCAGCACTCAGGAAGACAAAGAACTGAATATTAGATAGAACAATTCGGTTCAACAGACCAATATTGCAGGAAATTTGGGAGGTGAAAGAAGTGCCTATCAGATTCTTTGAATTTAGTGCTCAAGAAATGAAAATTCACTGACAGTGTGAGTTATGGCCATTCTTGATTCAGGAGAGGAGCAGAAGCATGACAAGACAGCCTCTTTTGTGTGTTGACTTGCAAGGGAAGGCACATAGCTCCTGCTCACGTAGGTTGTTCATTGAGTCCCATCTTGAGCATTTCCTTAATGGCACCCACTGTGGAGGTAGGAGGCCACCTGACATGCCAGCTGACAATGTCACCTGACAATTAGTCAATTTTCATAGGTTACCTCTTCATGTTACATAAGCTAAGACCCAGATGCCAATGGACAAAGAGTTTGTAGGTAGAAGGGCACCTGGATCACATATAAATTCATAATCTAGAACTGCCAACTCCATGTGTGTTATGAAATTCATAGATCTGTTCTAAGCACACATTTGTGATGTAAATTTTCAGATTCTTTTTTTCTTATGTTAATGGCCTACTCAAAAATTTGAAAGAGATTCTGAATGTAGATTTCAAGTGCTTTACTTTTATGTGGCAGGTATACTTTTCAATGCCATCATTTGCTATTTGTCGAGTGGCTAGATTACTACTGACTCTTTTTGGGTAGAGATTAATGGAGTAAAAGATACACTTTTTCTGAACTTTTGATGTTGTCATGGGTTGTAGAGAAAAAGAGGGTGCATATATGTGTATGCAAGGTTGCTTTTAATTCAAAACAATCTTGGGGAATCATTGGCTCCTTGAGAAACATTAGAGTAAAGAAATGGTTCCTGGTACACACTGGATAAGAGATGGGATAAATGGGTTTAATGCTTCCTGCATGGGCAAAAAGGACTCCCAGAGTCTTGTGTGGTGGACTCTGGGATGCAGGATGAGGTGTTGTTTAGCAGTTGAGGAAGTAAAAATTGTGGCAGACACTCCACGACATAAAGAATCCAAGATAGTACTGATAGGTCAGTGTTTAGGAGGCTAGAAAAAGTGGAAATCAGACAGGCTTATTCTTCAATAACATTGCCAGCCAACTTCATGACTGAGTCTAGCCTGGATGACCTCCAAATATTCTCTTCTGAGAGTCCAGGATTATGAAACAACAAACAAAATGGGGATAAAAAATACCAAATTAAAATAATTATGGAAAAGTGTTGTGAAAGTTAAATGTGATGAGTGTAAGGTGCTGCCTGGCATTTAATACACAATCATAAATGTGAAATGTTGCTGTTCTTAGATAACTATTATATGTAAGATATGATAATGACATTATTGTTAATTATTACCATAATCTTTTACAAGGAAGAAGAATAGGCTTGGAGGTCCAGGGAGGATTTTTGATTAAGTGAAGTTCTTTAAAAATTACAACCATAATAATGAAGATTTCTTGGTTTTCATCTAGTTAGAAATACCTACTGGGTTCTGATTGTTTCCCACTGTAGTGAAATTTTACTCTTAGGAATCTCAAGTGGATTGGCAAGGATAATGGGCCAAACAAGGCTTGTGAGCCTCAGGGAACCTGAGTCACGCTATCTATGGCAGGATGCCTGAACTATGGACACTTCCAGGTTGTCTGGAAGCTCCAGTGTGGGAATGAAGTCAGCGCCCCTTCCCACGGTATGTAGAAACTCTTTTCTCCTCCCAGCTGTGCCTAAATTTATATCCCTTGGAATATCAAACAAATACATCAGCTGGCTGCATCTTCCTCTTCTAGGTTTTCTTTTCTTGGTCACACAGGGGTAAAGAAAAACCTATGGGTGAGCCCCACAGCTACACCCAGTATCTAAACTGAGTAGGGAAACATCCTCCCAAAAAGAAAGACAACATTCCTAAATGTGACAAGTAATGCTTCTCTAGAGCTGCGAAGAAAAGGCCCCCAGTACTTACGTTTTGCTATATCAATCAGCCAAAACTTGTTAGAATTCCATGACATGAAGTTACCGAGGAATCTGAGATGCAGAGAATGGGGTTGGCACTGGGGCTGGATAGTAGGAGGGAGATATGTCATAAGTGATACAAATAACTAAGAGTCATCATTCCTGCCCTCAATAAATTTCAACCTAGATGCCCTGTGTATTTGCAATGGTCCTTGAAAATCCCCCAAATATATTTTTATCCTAGTCAGTCCTACAACTTTAGGTGCTAAATTGATAGCTGCTTTTGGACTTGAAATTTAAAGTCCCTATGCTCAAATCTCAACTCACCTTGTGTTGTAGTTACTTCCTTAAAATGAAGTCGCCCATCTCTTCATCACCAAACTGGAAATCTCAACTTTTTGATTCCTCTTTCTTTCTCTCCCTGAGGTCAGACAGCTGCTGAGTCAGGTGGATTATTTGCCCACAGGGTCTGTCTCATATCACTACGTCTTTCCTACTTCCAACTCCATTATCTTAATTCTTGTACTCATTACTTTTATTCCAAACTGCTCTCTGCACCTTTCCCTCCTATTTGTTCCAATCTACCTACCTCCAACAGCTAGATTAGTCTTTCTAAGGAATTGATCTAAATATGATCAGAAAGGGAAAGTCACCTTGCTAAAACTAAGCAGTCAGCATCCTGGCATGAAAAAAAAGCTTTTATAAATCTGGCTCTTGCAAATCAACTTGCCAGTACTTTGTCACCCTTGGATGAATGGATGAAGCTGGGTTTTTGAACTCTCAAAGTTTGAAATATACGGAGACCTCATTAGAAATGCAATAGCCACCTGAGCTTCAGTCCAGGCCACCAGTCCCCTGATCTTATAATACTAGAGGTATAAGCAACTTCATCACAGCAATAAGGATGTAAACATTTGCCAAAGACTATGGTTTGGCAAGCTAGATGGATTTAATCCCAAGCTATAGTTCCTCTGCTTTGGGCATGGGTAAGTCATTTTGCTGTGCTGAGCTTGAAAAATTGTCTTGGGATTTTGTTTTAATCTGTGAAAGAGGAATACTCACGTCTACAATTTGTGTCTTAATAGGAGTAGTGAACAATAAACATATACGTATATTTCAACATGGCAGAACCTAGTACATAGTGGCTACTTTAACAATCATTATCCTTACAGATATTATTATTACTTTCAGGACCCTCTTGCTGTTTGTATCTTAATTCCTAAAACTGTAATATCAACTAAGCCTCTCCCAAAATGTTATTCCTTTCGTGTTCATTTTAAATGTCAATGTTCATTTTGCTGGGATCCAAAAACAAGTGGAACTGCAAAAATCTCATTCAAAGCAGGGGAGAAGGGGGCGATCAGCTGCTGACCTCAAAACCATCCTCGGGATTCTCTTTTCACTCATGCAAATAAGGGGAAATATTGAGCCACGTTCCTGAAGGACATGTTTGGACTTGTTCCTCTATTACCTCTTTTTTCCTGCTAATAATCAACCTTCTCCCTCTCTAGAGGAATAGTTTTCTGTAAATGATTGAAAAATGCATTAGCAAACAAACAAAAAACCCACCAAAAGCAACAAAAAATAAATATCCAGCTGTTTCTTCTCTTCTCTTCTTTTGAGCAAATGATGCCAACCACTGCATAAAAACCTAGCCCAGGACAAAGGCAACAAGAGAGGCATTCCTTTCCCAAAAGGAACAACTCATCCAAAGCCATTTTGCATTCTAGTGAGTCCTTCTCATGATGGGCTCCACTAGGTGTACTCAATAGGCAGGAAGGAGAAAAGCAGGAGGGAGGGTGTGCAGTCACAGACAGCAACTTTACTGCAGGAGAAGCTCCTAGGCTTCTGGTGAATGGGGAGCCTGAGGCTGAGGCTCTAGGCCCTGATCCATCTGGGCTTCTGCAGCCAGAGCTGGGAGCTGTGCCTCTGCAGCGAGAGACGTGCCTTCAGTCAGGAAGGGCTTCAGGATTGTCCTCATCCCCTTCTGGGCAATTAGAAAGTGTCTTTAATTTGGCTTCTTTTCATTCCACTGATGTCAGCGCCTCCTTGTCTTCAGTCCAAACTCTGTTCCTGTCCCACTGACTCACTGTAGTTTAAGAGCATGTGGGGGTGGAGAGAGGGCTGAGCCAGGAGGTGAGAGGCCAGCATTTGGGTTTCTGTTCTATGACTGACCTTCCATGGGACCTTGGGTGAATTGTTTAGCCCAGAACCCTTCCCTGTCTCCTAATCTGCTGAGAAAGAGGGAATAGCAGGTAACTCACGTAGCAAGCGGGGCCTCTGTGAAAACCAAATAAGGTCATGCCAGTGAGAGGGTAAGGTGTAGTGCGAGTAGCAGGGATTTCTGTGATGTCCTTCCACTTAAACTGTCAGTTTCCTTTACTCTCAGATGGGACTAATGAAATGAACACACTGCAGGGGGTGTGCTTCCATTAATAAACACACGATCCACCCCTGAATGAATAGAATGGAAGATGTGTGGTGCAATCAGATCCAAGCAAGTACAACTACTCATTTTAGTAGATACTGTTTAGAAAACAACAACTTGAATCTAGACACTGCAGACCTCTTTAATAAATATCTTCTTAATTGAATCTAGACACTGCAGACTTCTTTAACAAATATCTTCTTAATTGTCTGAGCAAGTGAAAACCTTAGGCAAGCCAGGCATGGTGGGTCATGTCTGTAATCTCATCACTTTGGGAGGCAGAGGCAGGAGGATGGCTTGAGGCCAAGAGTTTGAGACCAGCCTGGGCAACACAACAAGACCCCGTCTCTACAAAAATGTTAAAAGTCAGGCAAGTGTAGTGGCTTACAGCTGTAGTCCCAGCTACTCTGGAAGCTCAGGCAGGAGGATCACAAGAGCTCAGGTGTTGGATGCTGCAGTGAGCTATGATTGCACCACTGTACTCCAGCCTGGGCAACAGAGTGAGACCTCATCTCTAAAATAAGAGGAAGAAGGAAGGCAGAGGAAAGAGCCTATGAATCAATGTTTGAGTGGGGGCAGACGGCCAGCCATCTGGGTTTCTTAAGGTGTATCTCTAGCCGGCATCTTGTTGACCAAATTACAGACACCAAGAGCTGATGCTAATGTAGCACTAAAATCAGGCATAGGGAAACCTATGAAATAATGAAATCAGGCATAGTGAAACCTACATTCAGCACGTGCAGGCCAGCGACCAATAGGGAAGGGAGAATAAACCAGGGATCAGAAGAGGGCGGGACTTGTAGAGTTTCTCACAAGGGTAGGAGAGGTTGGTAAGACCTAAAGAAGGAATCTTGAGGCCAGTTTAGGGAAGGATCTTTCTCACCCGGAGAACATTTGCTTTCAAGGTTTTGAACTTCCTTTTAAATTTCCTTTTGATAATTGCCTTTGAAAATTCTAATCTGGTAGGGTTATTCTGAGAGAAAAGACTGGTTCAAGGTCAAGCAAGGAGAAACAAAGGATCCCTGGTGATAAGATGGTAGAATGTGGCAACTTCTCTATAAGGAATATGAGGAAGGGAATGGTAAGCTGGCATGAGGGCCAAATTTGTGACACAGCTTTCAGAGCAAGTGTTGAGACAGTAGGAATTGCACCTTTTCGTAGACTCAGAGGCTTTGCGAACTCACTATTTCTTTTCTTTTTTTTTTTTTTTGAGACAGACTCTCGCTCTGTCCCCCAGGCTGTAATGCAGTGGTGCAATCTCAGTTCACTGCAACCCTCCACCTCCCAGGTTCAAGTGCTTCTCCTGCCTCAGCCTTCCAGGTAGCTGAGACTACAGGCGCAAGCCACCACACTCAGCTAATTTTTGTATTTTTGGTAGAGACGGGGTTTCACCATATTGGCGAGGCTGGTCTTGAACTCCTGACCTTAAGTGATCCGCCTGCCTCTGCCTCCCAAATTGCTGGGATTACAGGTGTGAGCCACTGCACCTGGCTGCTAGTTTTAACATTTTTAAAACTCCACTCAATGCCAAAGTCATCTCTGGAGTCTACAGGCAAACTAGACTGGATCATTCCAAGTGTTAGTGCAATATCCTTCTTACAACCACAGACACTGTAAGTTGAAACCAACTTTTGTGATATGAGCACATGTGTATTGGATCTACCACTTGGCCTATAGTTACGAGAAGCAGACTGGTCCCAGATCTGCAGATAGGTCACTGAGAAACTTAAGGTAAATCACATTACTCCTTCACTCCCTCTGAGCTTTATATCCTCACCTATAAAATAAAAATTTTGGCCTAAAATTTCTAAAATTTCAATTAGACTGTTTTCTCCTTCTACTAGTGTTCACAGAATTACTGAATGATAGAGTTGGAACAAATTTGTTTGTAATGGCTTCATTCTTATCTTGTAGGTTGCAGCTTATATGTTATCTTCTCTGAGTGCAATATCCTGATCAACTAATCTTGTCCACAACCCCTAGATATTCTCTGTCATTACACTGTGATTATGCTATTGTACTTAAGATAATTTCTAGTGATATATTAATCATTTTAGAAAGTTAAATGTAACATAATATGAAAAGCATAGTATATTACAACCAGGTGAATTTTATTCTAGGAATGCAAAGCTGATCTGTCATTCAAAAAGATGATTGATCAGTTAAAAATAATTTTAAAAAGCTACAATGTATTACAGGGTTTATAAAATATATCAAAATAAAATGTAAGGAAATAATAGCATAGGGAGGGAAGTAGGAAATGGAAGAACACTGCTGTAAGTTTCTTAGATAATAGATGAACTGATATATTATCACAAGGTAGACTGAGAATACAGTTATATAGAAGAATTACAAAAATGAAATGAAATATTGCTAAAAAGCCAATAGTAGAGATGTAATGAATTTTTTTAAAAGGGCAGGAAGAGAGGAAAAAGGACAATAAAACAAATATAATAAATAGAAACTATGTAGCAATATGGTAGATTTCAACCTGGCTAGAGTTATGTTTACATTAGATTACATTAATTGTGAATGGTTTAATGGTAAATGGTATTACAAGTTTGAATTAAAGGGCAGAGATTGTTGGCCTGGATTAAAAAGCAAAACACAAGTATAATGTGTCTACAAGAAACTCACTTTAAAGTGGGTAAATGTGAAATCATACAAAACGGTAGCCTATGTAAACAATAATCAAAAGAAAGCTGGAGTAGATACATTAATATTAGACAAAATGAACTTCAAAGCAAAGAATATTGTCAGTTATAAACAGTAACATTTCATAATGATAAAAAGTTTTTTAAAGATAACCTTCTTTATTGTGTATGTATCTAATGACAGAGCTTTGAAACAGACAAAGCAAATTCTAAGAGAACTGAAGAGAAAAACAAATTGAGACGTATGGTTGAAGATTTTACTGTTCTTGCTTTATATTAGGCCGGTGCAGAAGTAATTGCAGTTTTTGCTATTAAAAGTACAAGAATGCCAGGCACAGTGGCTCATGCCTATAATCCCAGCACTTTGGGAGGCTGAGGCGGGCAGATCACTTGAGGTAATGAGTTCGAGACCAGCCTGGCCAACATGATGAAATCCCATCTCTACTAAAAATATGAAAATCACCTGGGCATTGTGGTGGGCACCTGTAATCCTAGCAACTAAGGAGGCTGAGGCAGGAGGATTGCTTGAACC
Source organism: Homo sapiens (assembly GCF_000001405.40). Taxonomy (NCBI): domain Eukaryota; kingdom Metazoa; phylum Chordata; class Mammalia; order Primates; family Hominidae; genus Homo; species Homo sapiens. Next base: position 33,700,479 of record NC_000010.11, on the reverse strand, counting down.
TGGGAGGCAGAGGTAGCAGTGAGCCAAGATCATGCCACACTCTAGCCTGGGCAACAGCGTGAGACTCTGTCTCAAATAATAATAATAATAATAAATAATAATAACAAGTACAAGAACAAGTAGAAAAAATAAGTTAGGGTATAGAAGATTTGAACAACATTGCCAACCAACTTGACCTAGATGATGTATATAGCACATTTCACCCACTGGCAGCAGAATATACATTTTTTTTTCAAGTATATGTGGAACATGTACCATGATTGGCTAAAGTCTGGGCCATAAAATGTGTCAAATTTCAAAGAATTGAAATAGTACAGAGAATATTCTTGACCTCATTGGAATTAAATTAAGAAACTATTTTTTAATCTTAAAAATTTTCCAAATACTTAGAAATTAAGTAATAATTCTAAATAATTCATGAGTTGAAGAAATTACAAAGAAAGATAGAAAATATTTTTAATTTAGCTTAAAATAAAAACACAATATAAGATAATTGTGAAATGCAACTAAATCCACATTTAGAAGAAGATTTAAAGCTTTAAATGCTGGTATTAAAAAAAGGGTAGGAGGTGCCAGGCACAGTGGCTCATGCCTGTAATCCCAGCACTTTGAGAGGCCAAGGCAGGCAGATTGCTTGAGCTCAGGAGTTCAAGACCAGCCTGGGCAGTGTTGTGAAACTCTATCTCTGCTAAAAATACAAAAATTAGCTGGTCGTGGTGGTGCGCCCCTGTAGTCCCAGCTACTTGGGAGGCTGTGGTGAGAGGATGGCTTGAGCCCAGGAGATGGAGGTTGCAGGTGAGCCAAGATCGCACCACTGCATTCCAGCTTGGGTGACAGAGTCAGACCCTGTCAAAAAAAAAAATATAACAATGGTTCTTTATTATTAAAGCTTCCATCTTACCATGCTGGAAGAAGAAGAGGAAATTAAATGCAGAGCAAATGAAGAATAAAATGTTAAAGATAAGAGCAGATGTCAATGAAATATAAAACAAAAACAAAAATAGAGAAAATAAATAAGACCCAAAGATAGTTCTTAGAAAAAGAAAATTACTGTATTGACTCATCAAGACAAAAGGAAAATTATCATTACTATAAGTGAAAAAGGGGATATCACCCTAGATATTATGGGCATTAAAATAATAACTAAGAAATACTACAAACAGCTCTTGTCAAAAATTTGACCAGGGCAGGAAAACTATGGCAGTAGGTCAAATCTGGCCTGCCACCTGTTTTAGTTAAAAAGTTTTGTTGGAACACAGTCATAATGATTTGTTTATGCACAATCATCCTTCAGTATTTGTGGGGAATTGGTTCCAGGACCTCCCACAAATACCAAAATCTGCAGATGCTCAAATTTCTGATATAAAATGTGGTATTTTGCATATAATTCATGTGCATCTTCCTGTGTACTTTAAATTATCTCTAGATTATTTGTAATAGCTAATACAATGTAAGTGCTATGTAAATGGTTGTTATACTGTTTTGTTTAGGGAATAATGACAAGAGTAAAAGTCTGTACATGTTCAGTACAGGTTTCATTTTTTTCCAAATATTTTTCATCCACAGTTGGTTGAATCCATGGATGCAGTATCTATGAATACGGAGGGCTTGCTGTATTGTCTATGGTTGCTTTCATGTATGAGTGGCAGAATTCATTAATTGCGACAGAGACTGGATGTTCCATAAAGTCTAAAATATTTAATATCTGTCCCATTATAGAAAAAGTTTGCTAACCCTTGACCAAGATGAAATGAAAACATTCCTTGAACAATGTAAATTACCAAAACTAATAAAATAGAAAAGTCTGAATGTCCTTATATCTATTAAGTAAATTAAAATCAAAGTGAAAAGTTTTTCACAAAATGAAATCCTGACCCAGATGAAACATTTAAGAGAGAAATAATATCAATTCTACAGAAATTCTTCAGAAAACAAAGGAGGAAACTTTTCAAAGCTTATTTCATGAGCACAGAATTACCCTAATATCAAAAATAAACAAAGACATTACATGAAAACTACAGATCAATATCCCTAATAAATGTAGATGCAAAAATCCTTAAGAAATATTAGTAACTAGAATCCAGCAATATTAAAAGGATAACATGCCATGACTATGTGGGATTTATGCCAGGAATGTAAGCTGATTTAACATTTGAAAATCAACTGAAGTAGTTTACCACATGTAAAGCTTTTTTTTAAAAAAAGAAGTCCACATTAGCATCTCAATAGCTGTGCAAATGCATTGAACAAAGCTTAACAACAATTCATGATTAAAAAGAGTAAAACATTGCAGCAAACTAGAAATAGAAACCAACTTCCAAACCTGATAAAAATCTTCTGTGAAAAATCTAGAGTTAACATAATACTTAATGGAAAAACTAAATGCTTTCCACCCAAGATCAGGAGAAAGATAAGAATGCCCACTCACACTGCTTTTATAGAATATTTACTATAGTAAAAATTCTAGCCAGTGATATAAGGCAAGAGGAAAAACAAACTTGACCAGATGAAATGGAATAAGCAGAATGTTTTAATTCATATAAAACATGATTTTGTGTATGAAATAGCCAAAGAAATCTACCAAAAAATGGTAGAATTAAAAGGTGTATTTAGCGTGTTCACAGAATACAAGTTGGATATTTAAAAAATTCAGCTTATATCTATATAATATCAATTGAATGGAAAAATTAGAAATTTAAATGAAAAACATGCCATTGTAATACTATCCAAAATGAAATACTTGAAAACAAATTTAACAACATATGCTTAAGACCTGCAGACCAAATTCTAAAAGAAAGTAGACAAAACCTAAATAAATGATATATACCATGTTCATGAACTGGAAGATTTAATGTTCTTAAGATGACAATTCTCCCCATTTTAATTAGTAGACTCAATGTAATCAATTAAAAAACCCCAGCTGAAAAGCTCTTTCTAATATTTATGTTAGAAAATCAAAGGATCTATATAAGCCAGAAGAATATTGAAAAAATAAAAAGAACAAAGTTGAAGAACACATGCTTCTAGAGTTCAAGAATGACTTTAAACCCACAGTAACCAATAATCACCTTTTATGGTTAATTGATTTTGTAAAAGATGCCAGGGTCATTAAATAGGGAAACAATAATCTTTTGAACAAATGCTGCTGGAAAGTCTGGATTTATACATGGTAAAATGTGAAAAGATGAATCTCAATCCTTTACTGACACCATACCCCAAAACCAAGGGGAGGTGACTCGTAGACTCAAAACTAACTGAAGGTGACTCATAGACCTAGCTATAAGGCAAAAACAGGGGTGTGCAAACTGGTCCACTGGCCAGATTTGGCCATGCTCATTTGTTTGTGTATTATCAATGATGCATTTATGCTACAACAGCAGAGTTGAATACTATGACAGTGACCATATGTCCCATAAAGTCAAAAATATTGATTATCGGTCGGGCACGGTGGCTCACGCCTGTAATCCCAGCACTTTGTGAGGCCGAGGCGGGTGGATAACAAGGTCAGGAGTTCGCGACCAGCCTGGCCAACATGGCAAAACCCCCGTCTCTACTAAAAATACAAAAATTTGCCAGGTGTGGTGGCAGGTGCCTGTAATCCCAGCTACTCAGGAGGCTGATGAAGAAGAATCGCTTGAACCTGGGAGGCGGAGGTTGCAGTGAGCCGAGATTGCACCATTGCACTCCAGCCTGGGGAACAAAAGTGAAACTCCATCTCAAAAAAATAAAAGGATTCCTGAGCAAGATGATCAAATAGGAACAGCTCCAGTCTGCAGCTCCCAGAGAGATCAATGCAGAAGGTGGGTGATTTCTGCATTTCCAACTGAGGTACCTGGCTCATCTCATTGGACTGGTTAGACAGTGGGTGCAGCACATGGAGGGTGAGCTGAAGCAGGGTGGGGCATCGCCTCACTGGGGAAATGCAAGGGGTCAGGGAACTCCCTCCCCTAGCCAAGGGAAGCCATAAGGGACCGTGCCGTGAGGAATGGTGCACTCCAGCCCAGATACTATGCTTTTCCCATGGTCATCACAACCCACAGACCAGGAGATTCCCTCAGGTGCCTATACCACAAGGGCCCTGGGTTTCAAGCACAAAACTGGGCGGCCATTTGGGTAGACACCGAGCTAGCTACAGAAGTTTTTTTTCATACCCCAGTGGTGACTGGAACTCCAGAAAGACAGAACCGTTCACTCCCCTGGAAAGGGGGCTGAAGCCAGGGAGCCAAGTAGTCTCGTTCAGTGGATCCCACCCACATGGATCCCAGCAAGCTAAGATCCACTGGCTTGAAACTCTCGCCACCAGCACAGCAGTCTGAAGTCAACCTGGGATACTTGAGCTTGGTTGGGGGAGGGGTGTCTGCCATTACTGAGGCTTGAGTAGGTGATTTTCCCCTCACAGTGTAACCAAAACCACTAGGAAGTTCGAACTCAGCAGAGCCCACCGCAGCTCTGCAAAGCTGCTGTAGCCAGAATGCCTCTCTAGATTCCTCCTTTCTGGGCAGTGCATCTCTGAAAGAAAGGCAGCAGCCCCAGTCAGGGGCTTATAGCTCCCATCTCCCTGCGATAGAGCATCTGGTGGAAGGGGCAGCTGTGGGCACAGCTTCAGCAGACTTAAATGTTCCTGCCTGCTGGCTCTGAAAAGAGCAGTGGATCTCCCAGCAGAGCGCTCAAGCTCTGCTAAGAGACAGACTGCCTCCTCCAATGGGTCCCTGACCCCCATGCCTCCTGAGTGGGAGACAACTCCCAGCAGGGGTCGACAGACACCTCATACAGAAGAGCTCCAGCTGGCATCTGGCGGGTGCCCTTCTGGGACGAAGCTTCCAGAGGAGGGAAGAGGCAGCAATCTTTGCTGTTCTGCAGCCTCTGCTGGTAATACACAGGCAAACAGGGTCTGGACTGGACCCCCAGCAAACTCCAACAGACCTGCAGAAGAGAGGCCTGTTAGAAGAAAAACAAACAGAAACCAACAGCATCAACATCAACAAAAAGACGACCATGCAAAAACTCCATCCAAAGGTCACCAACAGCAAAGATCAAAGGTAAATAAATCCACAAAGATGAGGAAAAACCAGTGCAGAAAGGCTGAAAATTCCAAAAACCAGAATGTCTCTTCTCCAAAGGAGCACAACTGCTCACCAGCAAATGAACAAAACTGGACGGAGAAAGAGTTTGATGAATTAACAGAAATAGGCTTCAGAAGGTGGGTAACAACAAACTCCTCCAAGCTAAAGGAGCATGTTCTAACCCAATGCAAGGAAGCTAAGAACCTTGATTAAAGGTTAGAGGAAATGCTAATTAGAATAACCAGTTTAGAAAAGAACATAAATAACCTGATAGAGCTGAAAAACACAGTACAAGAACTTTGTGAAGCGTACACAAGTATCAATAGCCAAATCAATCAAGTGGAAGAAAGGATATCAGAGATTGAAGATCAGCTTAATGAAATAAAGTGTGAAGACAAGATTAGAGGAAAAAAATGAAAAGGAACAAACAAAGCCTCCAAGAAATATGGGACTATGTGAAAAGACCAAATCTATGTTTGATTGGTGTACCTGAAAGTGATGGGGAAAATGGAACCAAGTTGGAAAACACACTTCAGGATATTATCCAGGAGAATTTCCCCAACCTAGCAAGATAGGCCAACATTCAAATTCAGGAAATACAGAGAACACCACAAAGATTATCCTTGAGAAGAGAAACCCCAAGACACATAATCATCAGATTCACCAAGGTTGAAATGAAGGAAAAAATGTTAAGGGCAGTGAGAGAGAAAGGTTGGGTTACCTACAAAGGGAAGCCCATCAGACTAACAGCAGATCTTTCTGCAGAAACCCTATAAACCAGAAGAGAATGAAGGTGAATATCCAACATTGTTAAAGAAAGAATTTTTAACCCAGAATTTCATATCCAGCCAAACTAAGCTTCATAAGTGAAGGAGAAATAAAATCCTTTACAGACAAGCAAATGCTAAGGCATTTTGTCACCACAAGGCCTGCCTTACAAGAGCTTCTGAAGGAAGCACTAAATATGGAAAGGAAAAACCAGTACCAGCCACTGCAAAAACAAACGAAAATGTAAAGACCATCAACATTATGAAGAAATTGCATCAACTAATGGGCAAAATAACGAGCTAGCATCATAAAATTCACACACAATATTAACGTTAAATATAAATGGGCTAAATGTCCCACTTATATGGCACAGACTGGCAAATTGGATAAAGAGTCAAGGCTCATTGGTGTGCTGTACTCAGGAGACCCATCTCACAAGCAAAGACACTCATAGGCTCAAAATAAAGGGATAGAGGAAGATTTACCAAGCAAATGGAAAGAAAAGAAAAAAAGCAGGGGTTGCAACCCAAGGCTCTGATAAAACAGACTTTAAACCAACAAAGATCAAAAAAGACAAAGAAGGGCATCACATAATGGTAAAGGGATCAATGTAACAAGAAGAGCTAACTATCTTAAATTTATATGCACCCAATACAGGAGCACCCAGATTCATAAAGTAAATTCTTAGAGGCCTACAAAGAGACTTAGACTCCCACACAGTAATAGTGGGAGACTTTACATCCCACTGTCAATATTAGACAGATCAACGAGACAGAAAATTAGCAAGGATATTCAGGACTTGAACTCAGCTCTGGACCAAGTGGACCTAATAGATATCTACAGAACTCTCCATCCCAAATCAACAGAATATAAATTCCTCTCAGCACCACATAACACTTATTCTAAAATCAACCACATAATTGGAAGTAAAACACTCCTCAGCAAATGCAAAAGAATGAAAATTACAACAGTCTCTCAGACCACAGTGCAATCAAATTAGAACTCAGGATTAAGAAACTCACTCAAAACTAAACAACTACGTGGAAACTGAATAACCTGCTCCTAAATGACTACTGGGTAATTAATGAAATTAAGGCAGAAATAAATAAGCTCTTTGACACCAATGAGAACAAAGACACTATGTACCAGAATCTCTGGGACATAGTTAAAGCAGCATTTAGAGGGAAATTTATAGCACTAAATTCCCACAGGAGAAAGTGAGAAAGGTCTAAAATCGACACCCTAACATCACAATTAAAAGAACTAGATAAGCAAGAGGAAACAAATTAAAAAGCTAGCAGAAGACAAGAAATAACTAAGATCAGAGTAGAACTGAAGGAGATAGAGACATGAAAAACCCTTCAAAAAATCAATGAATCCAGGAGCTGGTTTTTTTTTAAAAGTTAACAAAATAGGTAGACCACTAGCCAGACCAATAAAGAAGAAGAGAAGAATCAAATAGACACAATAAAAAATGATAAAGGGGAGATCACCACTGATCCCACAGAAATACAAACTACCATCAGAGAATACTGTAAACACCTCTACACAAATAAACTAGAAAATCTAGAAGAAATGGATAAATTCCTGGATACATACCCACTCCCAAGACTAAACAAGGAAGAAGTCGAATCCCTGAATAGACCAATAACAAATTCTGAAATTAAGGCAGTAATTAATAGCCTACCAACCAAAAAAAGCCCAGGACCAGATGCATTCACAGCCAAATTCTACCAGTGGTACAAAAAGGAACTGGTACCATTCCTTCTGCAACTATTCCAAACAATAGAAAAAGAGGGACTCCTCCCTAATACATTTTATGAGACCAGCGTCATCCTGATACCAAAACCTGGCAAAGACACAATAAAAAAAGAAAATTTCAGGCCAATATCCCTGATAAACATTGATGCGAAAATTCTCAATAAAATACTGGCAAACAAAATCCAGCAGCACATTAAAAAGCTTATCCACCGTGATCAAGTTGGCTTCATCCCTGGGATGCAAGGTGGTTCAACATACACAAATCAATAAATGAACATAACCCATCACATAAACAGAACCAATGACAAAAACCACATGATTATCTCAATAGATTTAGAAAAGGCCTTCGAAAAAATTCAACACTCCTTCACGCTAAAAACACTCAATAAACTAGGTATTGATGGAACATATCTCAAAATAATGAGAGCTATTTATGACAAACCTACAGCCAGTATCATACTGAATGGGCAAGCTGGAAGCATTCCCTTTGAAAACTGTCACAAGACAAGGATGCCCTCTCTCACCACTCCTATTCAACACATTATTGGAAGTTCTGGCCAGGGCAATCAGGCAAGAGAAAGAAATAAAGCATATTCAAATAGGAAGAGAGGAAGTCAAATTATCTCTGTTTGCAGATGACATGATTGTATCTTTAGAAAACCCCATCATCTCAGCCCAAAAACTCCTTAAGCTGATAAGCAACTTCAGCAGTCTCAGGATAAAAAATCAATTTGCAAAAATCACAAGCATTCCTATACACCAATAATAGACAAAGAGAACCAAATAATAAGCAAACCCCCATTCACAATTGCTGCAAAGAGAATAAAATACCTAGGAATACAACTTACTAGGGATGTGAAGGACCTCTTGAAGGAGAACTACAAACCACTTTCAAGGAAATAAGAGAGGACACAAACAAATAGAAAAACATTCCATGCTCATGGAGAGGAAGAATCAATATTGTGAAAATGGCTATGCTGCCCGAAGTAATTTATAGATTCAATGCTATCCCCATCAAGTTACCATTGACTTTCTTCACAGAATAAGAAAAATCTAGTTTAAATTTTATATGGAACCAAAAAAGAGCCCATATAGCCAAGACAATCCTAAGGAAAAAAGAACAAAGCTGGAGGGATCACGCTACCTGACTTTATACTACAAGGCTACAGTAACCAAAACAGCATGGTACTTGTACCAAAACAGATATATAGACCAATGGAAGAGAACAGAGGCCTCAGAAATAACACCACACATCTACAACCATCTGATTGTTGACAAACCTGACAAAAAACAAGCAATGCGGAAAAGATTCCCTATTTAATAAATGGTGTTGGGAAAACTGGCTAGCCATGTGCAGAAAACTGAAGCCCTCCTTACACCTTATACAAAAATTTACTTGAGATAGGTTAAAGATTTAAATATAAGACATAAAACCATAAAAACCCTAGAAGAAAACTGAGGCAATGCCATTCAGGACATAGGCCTGGGCAAAGACTTCATGACTAAAACACCAAAAGCAATGGCAACAAAAGCCAAAATTGACAAATGAGATCCAATTAAACTAAAGAGTTTCTGCACAGCAAAAGAAACTATCATCAGAGTGAACAGGCAACCAACAGAATGGGTAACAATTTTTGCAATCTACCCATCTGACAAAGGGCTAATATCCATAATCCACAAGGAACTTAAACAAATTTACAAGAAAGAAACAAACAACCCCATCAAAAAGTGGGCAAAGGATATGAACAGACACTTCTCCAAAGAAGATATTTTTGTGGGCAACAAACATGAAAAAAAGCTCATCACCACTGGTTATTAGAGAAATGCAAATCAAAACTATAATGAGATACCATCTCATGCCAGTTAGAATGGTGATCATTAAAAAGTCAGCAAACAACAGATGCTGGAGAGGATGTGGAGAAATAGGTATGCTTTTACACTGTTGGTGGGGGTGTAAATTAGTTCAACCATTGTGGAAGTATCGGGGGAACCCACCCCCAATATTTCAACGTAGGTTTTTTCTATTTTCCCTAAGTGTCAGCTGGTCTGAGAAACAAAGAGAAAGAGTACAAAGAGTACAAAGAGAGGAATTTTACAGCTGGGCTGCCAGGGGTGACATCACATAGCAGTAGGACCATGATGCCCCCTTGAGTCACAAAACCAGCAGGTTTCATTAAGGACTTCAAAAGGGGAGGAGGTTTATGAACAGGGAGTAGGTCACAAAGATCACATGCTTCAAAGGGCAAAAAGGAGAACAAAGATCACATGCTTCTGAGGCCAATAAAGATCACAAGGCAAAGGGCAAAGCAAAGATCACAAGGCAAAGGGCAAAATCAAAAACTCCTGATAATGGTCTATGTTCAGCTGTGCACATATTTTCTTGATAAACATCTTAAACAACAGAAAACAGGGTTCGAGAGCAGAGAACTGGTTGGACCTCAAATTTACCAGGGGGCAGTTTTTTCCCCACCCTAATAAGCCTGAGGGTACTGCAGGAGACCAGGGCGTATTTCAGTCCTTATCTCAACCACATAAGACAGACACTCCCAGAGCGGTTGTTTATAGATCTCCCCCCAGGAATGCATTCCTTTCCCAGGGTCTTAATATTCCTGGCTAGGAAAAGAATTTAGCAATATCTCTCCTACTTGCACATCCGTTTATAGGCTCTCTGCAAGAAGAAAAATATGGCTCTTTTTTCCCGACCCCGCAGGCAGTCAGACCTTATGGTTGTCTTCCTTTGTTCCCTAAAAATTGCTGTTATTCTGTTCTTTTTCAAGGTGCACTGATTTCATATTGTTCAAACACACATGTTTTACAATCAATTTGTACAGTTAACGCAGTCATCGCAGTGGATCTGAGGTGATGTACATCCTCAGCTTACAAAGATAACAGGATTAAGAGATTAAAGTAAGACAGGCATAAGAAATTAAAAGAGTATTATTAAGGAAGTGGTAAATGTCCATGAAATCTTCACAACTTATGTTCCTCTGCCGCAGCTCCAGCCGGTCCCTCTGTTTGGGGTCCCTGACTTCCCACAACATGGAAGACAGTGTGGCAATTCCTCAAGGATCTAGAACCAGAAATACCATTTGACCCAGCAATCCCATTACTGGGTATGTACCCAAAGGATTATAAATCATTCTACTATAAAGACACACGCACACGTATGTTTATTGCAGCACTATTCACAATAGCAAAGACTTGGAACCAACCCAAGTGCCCATCCAGGTTAGACTAGATTAAGAAAATATGGTACATATATACCATGAAATACTATGCAGCCATAAAAAGAATGATTTCATGTCCTTTGCAGGGACATGGATGAAGCTGGAAATCATCATTCTCAGCAAACTAACACAGGAACAGAAAACCAAACACCACATGTTCTCACTCATAAGTGGGAGTTGAACAATGAGAACATATGGGCACAGGGAGGGGAACATCACACACTGGGGCCTGTTAGGGGGTGGGGGGCAAGGGGAGGGATAGCATTAGGAGAAATACCCAATGTAGATGACAGGTTGATGGGTGCAACAAACCACCATGGCACATGTATACCTATGTAACAAACCTGTACATTCTGCGCATGTATCCCAGAACTGAAAGTACAATAATAAAAAAAAAAGAAAAAAAATAGATTATCTGGCCCTTTACAAAAAGGTGATCTAAAAGAAAATATGGAAGAATCTGAATATTTCCCATGATCTAAAGAAGAATGAGGGAGAATATCCTTGTGACATTGGAATAGGGAAATATTTCTAGTATAGGACACAAAAGTCACTAACCATTTAAAAAAGCAAACAAATAATTTTATTGTATTAAAATTTTGATAATTTGCTTTACAAAAGACACCACTAAAAAAATGAAAAGGCAAGGAAGAGACTGAGAGAAGACATCTGCAGTTCCTACATCAAACAAAAAATTTATATTCAGAATATATAAAGTACTTGTTTAATGTAATAACAACAAGACAAACTATCAAATTTAAAAACGAACAAAGATTTTAACAGATACTTCACAAAATAAGATAAATGAATAGCCAACAAACTCATGAAAGATGCTCAATATTATTAGTCACCAGTAAATAAAAATTAAAAACACAGTGAGATGCCACTATAGATCCACTAGAATGGCTAAAATTAGACTGACAATTCCAAATGTTGACAAGGATGTAGAGCAACTAGAATGCTCCTACATTGATGATGGGGATCTAAAATGGTCTAACACTTTTAAAGAACAGTTTGACAGTTTCTTATAAACTTACCAGTACACTTTTCACGTATCCAGCAATTGCATTCCTGAGTACAGTATTTATCCAAGGGAAATGAAACAAAGACTTGAACACAATGTTCATTATAACTTTATTCCTAATAGATAAAACCTAAGCTACTCAAATGCTCACCATTTGTGAATAGAGAGACAAAATATAGTACTTTCATACTATAGTATACTACTCACCTATAAAAAAGAACCAGCTACTGGTAACATACAACAATATGTGTTACTAAAACACTAGGAGTTCTTTGTAGATCCTGCTGCTCACCGCACAGTAAGCCAATCACTGAGACAATGAGTATTGCCAGGGAAGAAGGCTTTAATTGGGTACTGCAGCTGTGGAGATGGAGATCACTCTCAAATCCATCTCCCTGACTGACTAAAATTAGAAGTTTACATAGCAGGGAAGAATGTAACCATGTGTAAAAAAACAGGAACAGGGAGGGGTAAGGAAGAGAAGTTGGTCAATGGGAAGCAGGTGGTAGGTTAGGCATCACGATGGGTAAGAGGTCTGGTGGCATCTCATTGCCCAGATGCAGTGATCTGGTGAGTTTCAGCTCCTCCATACTGTCTGGGAGGCCGAATGGTTGGTTTCTTGAGAAAGGAACTCTGATAAGACAATTGTAACTGTCTCAAGCTTTAAAACCGGGTGGGTAAATTTCTGTGCTTATTCAAATGAAATCATAAACAGCAATTCTATGGGACAATGGGGCTAGTTTCATATAGATGAATCTCAAAAACATTATGGAGAATAAAAAAAGCCTGGCACACATCCCCAAAACAAATACTATATGATTCATCTTATAGGAAACTCCAGAAAAGGCAGACTAATCTATACTGCAAGAAAACATATCAGTTGTTACTTGGAGCTGGGGACAGGAATGGGTTGGGACTGATGGCAAAGGAACAATAGGAACTTACTGGAGTTTTGAAAATATTCTGTATCTTAATTGGGGTCTTTGGTACATGAATGTATACATTTGCCCAATCTTATTGAACGTATTGAATACATTTCAAATGGGCACATTTTATTGTATGTCCATTTTATTGTAAAAGCAACCTTATCAATATTGCTTTATAAACATATTTTCTTGCACTGGATTTATCTGGTAAGCATTTCATTGCCCACCTTCTACCACTACCCTGTGATTATGTAGGTGTATATCAAACAGTCAGAAAGCAGCCCTCACCTACCCCAGACACTTTCAGCTAATACCCCATTTGTCACCAGCCCTATCGTGGAATGATGCGTATCTATCACACTATCCACAGCTATAGAAGGCTTTTGCATATATTCTGGGTCTGATTGAAAGAATCTCTCCTGCTTAAATTTATGCCAAACTCCTTTCAATTATTACTCTGTGGACATTAAAAATGGCGCCATTTTCTTTAAATAAAGACATGTTGACTTGAGGACAATAATTAGATCATTTCTTTCAGGCCAAGTGAAGCAGTACTTACAAAGTCTCTGCCTGCCCTGTGTCCAGTGTCCCAGATACTCTGTACCTCCAAGAACTTGGAACAACCATCTCTGAGCATGCAAAACTGATGCTGCATTGGGGAAGACAAGGTTCTAAACAGAGAGCAACCATAAAATGGTACTTAGGAATAAAAGGTAAAAATCAGAATATGCAATATATTCTAAGGGTGTTGGCAATTCAGAGAACTAGAAAAGCAGCCTCAGGTAGGTAGTCAGAGAAATCATTTAAGAAGATAAAATTTAAATAAGCTCAGAGCAACTGTAATCCCTTTAAATGTTCTTTCCGGAACCATTATTCTATCCCTGGAGTCACTTCAGGCTCTCTTCTCAGGAACTCATAGAAAAAGAAAAAGGATGGGAGAGGCGGATCATTTCATTAGTAAAGCTGGTGGTGCTAGGGTACACCTTGGGGGGTTTGCTGAAGAAATATGCAAAATGGGCATCTCTCTGGATCACAGCTGGGAGATTTTTGCAGGGATCCAGAGAGTAGAGTTTTCTACTTTGGAGTTTGTTTTTGTCATCTTAATTTCCATTTGCTTTCTCGGCAGCTCAGTATGTCACAGAAATATCACGATCTGGGAGTTGCAAAAGGAAGCATTTAGGTTGTCAACTTTCTTGCTGGGTCTAGTAGAAAGAAAAAGAGCACCAGGAAAGATGGCAAGGTTTTTAAGTAGGGCACTATGAGTAGAGAATATACTGTAAACACAGCATGTTATGTTCAGTCTTTGACCCTTCAGCTTCATTAAGCTTTTGTCTATAATATTTAAGATGAAACAGCTCTGAAAAGTGAAACTGGGAAAAATACACTCTGCCTATCAATATTTACCTCATAGGAGCATCAGAGCTACACAAGGGGTAAGATTTCTCTTCCCACTAATCATTTTTACATCTGATATTGGCTGCCCTGTTTTAAAACAGGTATTTATGATCAAGTGGGCAAAAACACACCTCATCTTTTCTCAATTTTAGGGGACTTAGGGTAGTTGAAAATAATTGCTGTGTTCTTGGCAAGGTTTACCTTGCACAACAAGACAATTCCAAGTTTCTAAAGAATATGGTCTGTTTATGACCTCTTCCAAATGACCAGCATTCTTTTAAGGCCTCCCAAATTCCATTAGTGAATTAGGGAAGGTGTTGACAGGAACCCCAAATTAGCTCTAAATATATTACCTAAAAGATGATAGCATATTCATCCTCTCCTTAATTTATCAGAATAGCTCATTTTGTCCTGATGGAGAGAAAGAGCTTGAGAGAAAAGATGAGGAGTGCTTACCCTAACCTTGCATCTTCATATCTGCATAGACCAGACTACCAGGAGTCAAAAAGTTTGAGCCCCATGAACTTCAACCCAATTTGAGAAAAATCATCCTTTTTTGCTGATAGTGGTCAAGGTGGTTTTTCTCCTCCTCCTTCTCCTCCTCTTCTTCTTTTTACTCTTTGGTATAATAATTCCTATTCTGCCAGATTTTTACTCTTTGACTCTGATTCTAATTTTGTAGCTCCATTTTTTCCCTCGGAATTAACAACAAACATTCATTTCCCTGAATTTCTTCCTTCGAACTTTCTGAAAGGCAGGATTCGATTTGCTCCTGATTCTTCCTACCTTGACTACTGGGGACATGAATTCATGCTATTATAGCTCCAGTTCCCAGCACTAAATCCAGAGACTGCTTATTTTCCTGGCCTTTTACACAGCACAGATGATCTGAGAAGGTTTGGAGGGCATTGCAAAGAATAAGGCAGAAATATCCAGGCAAAAACAAGGACACCAGGCCCATGAGAAGGGTGCAAAGACAGACTAGAGCTGGTATACCGTATGTTCTAGCGTGCTGTGTAGGCATCTAGGCTTTGCAACTCACAAGAGTGAGGACTTATTCTCTGCCCTTCAAATTTCCTTAAAGGTGTAACAAAAAGAATTCAGGAGTGAAAGTATAATCAGAAGGATACATACCAAATGTCAGGCCAGGTGCAGTGGCTCACGGCTGTAATCCCAGCACTTTGAGAGGCCGAGGCAGGTGGATTATTTGAGGACAGGAGTTCGAGACCAGCCTGAGCAACATGGAGAAACCCTGTCTCTACAAAAAAAATACAAATAATTAGCCGGTTGTGGTGGCACATGTCTGTAATCCCAGCTACTCAGAAGGCTGAGGCAGGAGAATTGCTTGAATCCGGGAGGCAGAGGTTGCAGTGAGCCGAGATCATACCACTGCACTCCAGCCAGGGTGACAGAGTGAGACTCCATCTCAAAACCAACAAACACAACAAAAAACACAAAGCAAACAAATCCAAATGTTAAATATAGGGAATTATCATAATTAACTGTGCTCTCTTAGTTTCTCCATCAGTGAACTGAGTCTCATAGTAACTGCACAATCAACTTTCTAGGATAACAGAGATAATATCAGAAACAAAGAGATGCAAATGTGCTTCATAGTACATTTGAAAAAGTATTCAGTTGATGGAAAATCACAGGCTGTGGACTCCCCCTTCTCACATCAAATCCATGGAAATAAATGCATATGCATTATTTTACTTGGAAAGAAGAGAACTATCAGGGAACCAGAAACTATGAAAAATCTTAAAAGAATGCAAATGGAAAACTACAGAGGGAGCATCAGCCAGGAAGAAAAGCTGGAGGCCAGGACAAGCCCAGGAGACAGCTGCAACATAAAGGCGGGAGAAGCCCTGAGCAAGCTCCTGTCTGGAGGTGGTAGAAGCCAGGACTCAAAGGTGAGGAAGAACCACCAGGAGACTGGTTAGTTGTGATGCCACAGGAGGAGGGGCCAGTTGGGTTCATCCTTGCACTTGGCTTCCCCTGCTCCATAAGCAGCAGTAGCAGATGCTTCTGACTCAGGAAATAAAAGTGACCGTGAGACCTCAGGAAAGAGAGAATTCAAAGAGCTTTGGCTGGCTTGCCACTCCCAGAAAGTAAAGGACTGCACCACGTGGAATATTAAATGCTATGGTGTCCTGCGCTATAGCAGGCTCAGCTGCTCCCCAAATTATTTTGGAAACTACAAGTGAACTAGCCTCACAACAGAGGTAGCCAACAGACTAACAGTAAAACCCTGTTTAGCCAGGTGTGGTAGCCCAGGAAGTTAAGGCTACAGTGAGCCGTGATCACACCACTGCACTCCAGCCTGGGTGACAAAGCGGGACCCGGTCTCAAAAAAAAAAAGAATAACAGGGAATCGAATCTCAACTACAGAAACAGGCACTCAAGTGAGAAGCCTCCACTATTTGAGAAGAGTCAACACTATGAGAGAGAAGTAGTAACATCAGCAAATGGAAGAACTTACACAAAGACTACAGAGTTAGTAGGACAATTGGAATAGGATTTAAAGAAAGAGTCCAACATCAGATTTCCCATCTAGAATATACTATGTAAAAGTATGAAGTAATTTTGAATACAGAAATGAAATGATTATGAATCTAAGTGACAACACTTCTAGTTTTCTTTATAATATCTTTTTCTCTTGCTTCTCGCTAATTAACAATACTCCAATATTACTTAAAGTAGTAACATGTCCACTTAAAAATACTTCTCCAGAATCCCCTGTAACTAGAACTGTCCATCTGACATAGACATGTAAGCAGAAAGTTATAGGGTGGAGGTCTCTGGAATTCTGTTTTTCTAATAAAAAGGAATAGACACAGCTGACCTATGTATACTATCCTTCTCCTTGTCCTATCTTCTTCCTCTCTGGAATATGGACTTAATAATTACAGGTACACAAACCATTCTGTGACAATGAGAACTAAAACCACAGCTTAAGGTTTGCTTATAGTAAGATAGAAGGAGTTTTTGACTACTTCTCTGAGCAATTGCACCAGCCTAAAGAATTCCAATCTCCAGCCTCTTACTAAATAATAAAAGAAAATACCTGTCTTTTGTCAAGCATCACACTAGCCCCATACACCAGTCTCTTTGGTCAGGTTGCTATCCCTTAGCCAGATGCAATTCCTAACTTATAAAAGTTAGATGTCTATACCTAGCTAAACTATCATTCAAGAGGTGCAATAAAATAAACATATTTTTAGAAAACAAATACAGAAAGTTTAACCCTTCATAGATCTCTAAAAAAATTATAAGGAAAGATACTCCAACAAGAGAGAAAAGAATTGCAAGAATCAATGGAGAATGCAGGTACATATTACCTGCATAATATTAAAAATGTTATAATAATATAAAAAGATATTAAATGCAAGGTAATTAATACAATTGTTTGTCAAAATAGGTCACCAAAACAATACATTTTCAATTATATATATAAAATTGAAAAACAAATATATATATTTATAGAGAGAGAATTGGCAGAGCTTTTACATATATATTTATATACGTAAAATTATAGATATAATTTCTCATTTTATATATAATATATAAATATATAATACAATTATATATAATTATAATATATACATATATGTATAAAATTAGACTGTACATTTATCACTAAAAAAATAGGTATTTTTGGCCAGGCACGGTGGCCCATGCCTGTAATCCCAGCACTTTGGGAGGCTGAGGTGGGCAGATCAGGAGGTCAGGAGTTCAAGACCAACCTGACCAAAATGGTGAAACCTCCCCCCACTAAAAATACAAAAATTAGCCAGGCGTGGTGATGCACACCTGTAATCCCAGCTACTCAGTAGGCTGAGGCAGGAGAATTGCTTGAACCCGGGAGGTGGAAGCTGCAGTGAGCCGAGATCACACCACTGCACTCCAGCCTGGGTGACAGAGCAAGACTCCATCTCAAAAAAAAAAGGGGGTAATTTTGTATAGTCATATACTGGTTCAAAATATTCAGTACATTCTATCTCGCTAGAACATCAGTTAAGTTGGAGTGGGAGACAGAGATAGAGAAAAACAGAGAGAACTCTAGATGTGTGAAACCATGAGCTACCTGCCAAATTCATTCTACTTACTCACCAAAGGCCCTAGAGATATTGGAAAGACCTACCAGATTTAACATTTATTCACTCATTTTTGAAAACAAGACTGAAACACAAACTATGACCCAGCAGTCCACTTGCAGGTTGGAGGTGATGACAAGGATGATGATGAGGAGAAGAGAGATGACGACAAGCATGGCTGCAGCAGCTGGGAACATTTATTGAGTGCTTACTGCATGCCCTGTGCTTAGTGCTTTCCATGTGTTATCTTATTCACCTATTTGGAGTCTCTTTGTGCTCTGCAGTTGAGAATTTGGGTCATTTACAGGTCAATGAAGATGGCAGGTGAATTCAGCAACTCAGCCAGAGGGGAAAGGAGAAATGAGAACCACTGCAGCTATTCTTCTTGGGGGGAAATTGCAAGACAGGGAAACTCATAGCTGCTGAGGCCATGCATTTGAGCTCTCCACTCTTCCTCTTCCTGTTTGCTTTCATAGTATATGATAAATGGGTCTCTTTCAAACACTGCCTCACGTAGATCTTTAGCATCCAGATTTTGTTTATTCTGGCTGACTAGGGAAGAAGAACAAGGGAAAAAATGTACAATAGAAGAAAAATAGATAAAACTGACTTCCAACATTTGGTTAGAAAGATATTTCTCTCTTGATTCCCACCCCCACACCCAAAATGTGCCTTCCACATTAACTTGCTATATATTCCTTTCTCGTATAGAAGCCAAATGAAAAAAGACACAGGAGAGATAAGAGTAGAAAGATAGCTCAGTGAAGGGGGAAGAAAACATTGGTTCACTCTTCTTTGCTGTTTCCGTGTTGGAATGCTGACTTGCTATTCCCCTTAGAAGATTATGTATGACTTTATCAGAGAATTTCCTCCCCTTATTCACCTACATTGTCTTCACCTGTCACTGGGCAGGAGTGTGAGACTTCTTTGTACCATGTTCTCTCCTTCATTTCCTCTAAGCGCTGCATAACCAAGCATCAGCAATATGCAAGTTTTCAGGTCTGAGGCTGGGTAACTCCTTCCCTAACAGGTAAGCAGTCTAGCATATTCCTCAGAATTGGTGTGCAACTTATGGCTTATGAACACAGATTGTTCCAGTGTCATGGTCAAGTCAGAATTAGTGATTTCATGTCTTCAATAATTTTTTAGCGGAGACCTTTCTCCGCTAAGTTGGTCTCAGTTTAACTAAGTTAGTCTCAGTTCCTGGTTGCCTCCATTTCCACTTTTATCTCTAGCTAGGATCCTCTTTTGCTGGTGCTCCTGGCAGCTCAGATGACAACTTTCTGAGCTCTGATAAAGGATTTGAACCTGCAATGCCCCACCCTGTCCACAGAGAACTTCCCCATGTACTTTCATTCCTCTGTAACTCATAAAATGATTATAGTAGTAATTGTAGGGAAAACACTGGGTTTTGAAGATACCTGGGTTTGAAACATGATTCTGCCAAGCACTGGCTGTATGAGTTTTTGAATAGTCACTTCACCAGTCTGGGCAAATCACTTTAAAGATAAATGATGAAGCTGGCCTACCTGGATGGTTTCTGGGTACCCTCAGGCTGTCACGTGCAAAGATAGGATGGGGTTATGCAATTAACATTGCATACAAATAGTACAACTTCAGATCTATTCTGGTTTGAAGCAGGATACATATAAATAGGTATATTAAACATATAGATGATTTAGGAATCTTACTTGAAAAACTACAGTAAAATTTCTTTGTTTATTTAGCATGTTGTTAAAGATATGAGAAAACAAGGAAAATTATGTCTTTTCTTCTCCAGGCTGAATGGCTCAGTTCTGAAGACCTCGTATAACCTGGCCTATGACACGCCCCCACTACCCACTTCACCTTGGATTCTGTTACATCTTTTTGTTCTCTGGTCTTCCCACAACAGATGTCTTGTTGGTATTTTGGTGTTAAAAGCAGAGAGAAAGAATGAGACCTTTGTGAGGCTCTGGTGGTGACTGTGTTGGCCAACTGATAGTCTGGCCTGAGAGCCACTTGAAGCAAGTGCTAGGGCCCCCTGTGATGGATGGACTCACTGTGTGAGACTCACACCCCACAGCTGATGCTCAGACTGAGGTCCTCCGGGGTCACCAGCAGTCATTCTGCCCTAAAGAACTCTGCCCTGGCTGAAGGATCTCTGCCGAGCCCATCTCAGCAAGAAGTCTCACGTCTCAGAGTTTTTTATTGGTCTGTTAACTAGTGTTGACACTGTGTTATTTTTCAGGAGGCAATTTGCTTTTCTGGGCAGCATCTTAGGGACAGTGGGCATCGCAGTTGTGGCAGTAACAGAAATGTCATAGAAGTAACAGCAGGCTCTTCCGGCGTAATGAAAGTAGATGTGGTTGGAGTTGCAAGATCTGGAGGAGGGAGCCCAGATGACTTGTCAGTGGCCATTCAATGCACCTCCCTTCCCCTGCATTTTCCTTTCCATTCTGTCTTAGAGCTTTGTTTCAGACAAGTCGCCTGTGGCAGTGGGCTGGGAAGATGACTCTGAAGAGGCTTCAGCCCACACAGGGACATATGTGACAAATTATCCTGACAAGGCTGCTACTCCAATATTAGCAGCTCGTTAGAAGAGATGGGTGAAATTCATCTCGGCTTTGATCAATTTTCTGCTAGCATTTCAGGACTTTCAAAGAATCCCCTCTTCCCCACCCTCTCCCATCCCGGTCCCTAATTTCTCATGGTTTTTTGTTGTTGAGGCCGCACTTGGCAGGACTTCCCAAGGGCTCAGAGAATCTGGCAACAGACTGACCAAGTCCTACAAATGTTTATGCCCAGTTTTAGGAGGAAGAAAGGGAGCATGAACCTGGGTTTTTACACTTATCCTCAAGGGAATGAAGGAATAAAGAGCTTGGATGACATAATCTCTAAGGTTCTATCCAACTCTCACACTCTGTGATTCTACCACGAGAGTTGGAAGACAGGGTAGGGGAGAGAAGGAGGCCTTTGCTCATGTGATTTCCTCTTCCCAGGGAGTCTTGAAGCTAGACAGGCCCACAGAGAATGGCCAGCCCAACCCTATAGCTGATGAAAACCTTGATGAAGGGACACAGATGAGACAAAGATCTGGACTTCCTGATTTCCAATCAGGTGTCCATCTGATATGGTTTGGCTCTGTGTACCCTCCCAATTCTCATCTTGAATTGAAATCCCCAAGTGTCAAGGGAGAGAGCTGGTGGGAGGTGATTGGATCATGGGGACAGTTTCCCCCATGTTGTTCTCATGATATTGAGTGAGTTCTGACGAGATCTGATGGTTTAACAAGTGGCAGTTTCCCCCGCGCTCTCTCTCTCTTGCCTGCCACCATGTAAGATGTGCCTTGCTTTCCCTTCAGCTTCCTCCATGATTGTATGTTTCCTGAGACCTCCCCTGCCAAGCAGAACTGTGAGCCAATTAAACCTCTTTTCTTTGCTAATTACCCAGTCTCAGGTATGCTTTATAGCAGTGTGAAAACAGACTAATACACCACCCTACTTGACTGCATCACCACAAGGGGAAAAATAATTGAAAGCAAGAATATCAGAGTTCTTCAGAGAAACAGAACCAGCAGGAGGTATATGTATGTGTGTGTGAATGTGTGCATGTATATGTGTGTGTATTAAGATTTATTTAAAGGAACTGGCTCACATGATTGTGAGGACTGGCAAGCCTGAAATCTGTAGAACAAGCTGACCGGCTGAAAACTCAGACAGGGGTTGATGCTACAGTCTTGAGACAGAATTTCTTCTCTAGAAAGCCTTGGTATTTGCTTTGAGGGCCTTCGATAGATTGAATAAGGCCCACTCTCATTGTTGAGGACAATCTCCTTTACTAAATCAACTAACCACAGATATTAATCACATCTATAAAATACCTCCTATTTTAGTGCTGTTTCTCACATTTGTGTGCTTTTCTTGGTGGTTTTGCAATTTAAAAAGGTCTCTAAGCATAGTGCTGAAGTGATGTCTAGTGTTCCAAAGTGCAAGAAAGCTGTGATGTGCCTTACAGAGAAAATATGTACTTATCAGCCGATAAGCTTATCAACTGATCTGCTTTATTCAGGCAGGAATTATAGTGCAGTTGGGAGTGGGTTCAATTTTAATGAACTAACAATATATATTAAATAAGGTGTCTTTAAATAGAAACACACACAAAACAAGGTTATATGTTGGCCAATTGACAAAAATAATATGACCAGGTGCTCAAAGCAAACAACTCTGTATTTCGGCTAGAAGCAATGTTTGAGTATTTGCTAATTCAATGTTCTCTGCAAATCTGTGTTTGTTGTTTGTTTGTTTGTTTGTTTTTAAAGAAAGGATCTCACTCTGTCACCCAGGCTGGAGTGTGGTGGTGTAATCACAGCTCACTGCAGCCTCAAACTCCTGGGCTCGAGTGATCTTCCTACCTCAGCCTCCCAAGTAGCTGGAACTACAGGTGCATACCACCACATCCAGTTAATATTTTATTGTTTTGTAGAGATGGGGTCTTGCTATGTTGCCCAAGCTGGTCTTGAACTCCTGGCCTCAAACAGTCCTCCTGCCTTGGCCTCCCAAAGTGCTGGGATTACAGGTGTGAGCCACTGTGCCCAACCCTCAGCAACTTTATAGAACATAACTACCTCAGATAACAAGAACCAACTCTATGGTACTGTGGGTTTAATCCTAGAATCACCCTATTATTCCCATTTTCAAGGTGAGGACTCTGAGGCACAGAGAAGTTAAGTAAGTGGTGGACTGAGAGTGAAATCCAGGTAGTTTAGGTTCCAATGTCTGTGCCCCTGACACAGCACTGTGCTACGTCCCTGCTATGGCTCTGCTGATAGTACATGTCTCCTCATGCCTTTTATCTTTACTTACCCCTTTATGTGTTATGTCTTGTCCCACTGTTTTAAATTTTAGTGTTCTGTGGGTCTTATTTTATGCTTTTTTTTTTTTTGTATATTGTAATGCACTTTAAAATGGGAACATGTAGAATCATGAAAGCAAGATGAAGCAATAAGAAACATGGAAACTTTCTATTGCGCCTTTGGGATTTTCTGAGAGTTCCAGGCTTTGGTGATGAGCCAGGAAGACAGTGCATGGGGACATTTAAGACCAAGTTGGGGACAGTACGTCAGAAGCAAGGGAAGACAGGTTCAAATGTGTTTACGTAGATTCCCACGAGTCATTTTCAATTACATGTAACTTAGAATGCAATGTTATTCTCCCTCTGTCTTCATTAGGTGGATTTCTGAACAATGGTTCCTGGGCAAAATACAGTAGGACATCATGCTTGGCACAAGCTTTTCTTGACCTGTGCTGTGAGGCACCATGCAGAGTTCCTGCCTTTGAGGATTTTATTTTGTTTGAGGAAATAGACGAACACAGTAACTTCAATGCCGTCCTGGAGATATTTCAGGCAGCGGGAACCTTGTGGACAAAAATATTGAGGCAGGGAAGTGTAGGGCTTGTTTCAGGAAAGGCAAGTGATTAGAACGTCATGATTGGAACAGGAAGGTCCGAGGTCAAGGCCATCCCTCTGGAGAACTCCATAAGGCACCATCCCATTGTCTTCTAGGTGAGTGGAGCCCTCTGGAGTTGTCCAGGGCAGCTGTCCCCAACATTTTTGGCACCAGGGACCAATTTCATGGAAGACAATTTTGCCATAGAAGTGGGGTGGAGGTGGCTTTGGGATGATTCAGGCACATTACATTTATTGTGCACTTTATTTATATTATTATTACATGGTAACATATAATGAAATAATTCCACAACTCACAATAATGTAGAATCGGTGGGAGCCCTGAGCTCGTTTTCTTGCAACTAGATGGTCCCATCTAGGGGTGATAAGAGACGGTGACAGATCATCAGGCATTAGATTCTCATAAGGAATGCACAACTTAGATCCCTCCCATGCACAGTTCACGATAGGGTTTGAGCTCCTATGATAATTTAATGCCATTGCTGATCTGACAGGAGGCAGAGCTCAGGTAGTAATGCAAGCAATGGAGAGCAGCTATAAATACAGATGACTGGTACCACACCGGTACAGGTCCCCAGGGTTTGGGGACACCTGGTCTAGTGCACCACTTGAGAGCCTGAACAGAGAGGCCCTGGGGGAGGTTGGGAAGAGAGATCCATAATTATTTTTCTCTTTTTATGTAATGAGGGAGAAGATTTGAAGGGGGAAATGACATCAGATTTGCCCAATTCTAAAAAGACAAAAGCTCTATATTTTCCTGGATCAGCAAAACTGTCAACTGGAGATAAGGCGTTTGTAACTAATTCCCAAGGTACCTGCTTCAAATACTAATATGAGTGTTAACGTGGAAGTGCCAAATCATAGAGTGTTCATGTGTGATAAGTGCTTTGACTTAAGGTCAAGAACCAGGTCAGAAAAACAATCTGTCCAAGTCTTCAAGCATTTTGGAATGACATGCAGAGGCCCTTAGAATATACTCCGTGAAAGCTGGAAAGAATTTTAGAAATACCGTATTCTAGTCTCCTTTACAAGTGAGGCAAAGGATCTTTGCAAACTTAACCATAAGCCTCAAAAGAATAAGGGCTGAAATTCACATCTCAGCTTGATAATGGTGCTCTTGCCTCTCAACTGACCTGCCACTGAAATAAACAATAATAATCAATTGTCACAGTCTTTTAGCAGGGATTGAGATGCTGGGCCAATCTTTTCCTCAATGGTTTTTTTTTCTGTTTTCCGTTGCCTCAAGTTAGTCCCAGGTTTGTGCTGGAACAGAGTCCAAACAGGATAAAATACCCTGAGAAGCTTTGTTCAGATTGCTGCAGCCTGGCCAGAGACAGGAAATACTAGAAACCATGAGAGAGAGCCTGTTCTGACGCGAATTCCAGCAGAGTTTGATTCGATTCAAACGAGTTCCAAAACAAAAGAAAAATCCTTACATGATCGGCCAATATTTTCAGGGTATTCCTCCAAAACAAACAGAAATTTACATCTTTAGAAGGCCCCACATCTGGAGCCCAGCCAGTGCCCAAGTTCCTTGGGCAGCCCCTTCCTCTTTATCAGGAGAGGGCCCATGAAGGGAAATCACAATTTTGTGGAACTTCAGTGACACCACTGCTTGTCATGAGCCTCCGGGATAACTCTGCCCACGAGCGATTTCCTAAGTCTGCAACATAGAAAACTATTGAGTTTCATTTTTCTTGTGCTGGATAATATGCCAACCTTAATTGATATGATGCTGTCATTCTCTCACCCTGTAAAAGAAAATCGCTACAAGTTCATGGCTTAATCTGTGCCCATAGGAGGCTTAATAAAAGCTATAACTTCAAAAAAAAAAAAAAAAAAAAAAGGAGAGGTGAGCCTTGTTAATCACTCTGTCAGTGGGAAAAGAATGCTTTCTGCTGTACTGCTGTTCACTGACCTAAGACAAATTTGAAGAAGAGGTCCAACTCTCCTTTATGCTCCAGAGGCCATATTGTTTTGCAGATGGTGAAATAAATAAAATATTTCCTGAAGAGCGAACACGTGCAGGAAAGAGCAGAGTGTGAGGCTATGCTGCAATAAGACAGGCTAGCCAGGTGTTACTGCTGACCTCCACTCACTGGAGTCTGATTGCCATTGGGGTTGGGTTTCTCCAGCTGTTTGGAAGAGGTACATGGAAAGTCAACTCTTTCCCAAAACTAAGGGGGCCACCTGCAAAATATCCCCTTCATTGCCATTGGGATTTCCATGATGTGTACTTCCAGGATCTTGGATCCCTATTTTTCAATATACAGAAATGTTATAAAAAGGATTACAGATTTATCAGCAACCAGATCTCTGAAAGAGAGCTGTGTATTATTTCCGCCATGATATATGCTTAGAGTGTCAGCAGGATCCTTCTGAATCCATATTTAATGTTTAGTTTCAGTGCAATTTGAAATGTCGATGGCAAAGACTAAAGCCAACAAGCTAACAAAAAGCACACATGCATATGTGTATATGTGTGTTTATGAAAGTGGATGTGTGTTGTGAACAAGTTTCTACAAATGGAAACCATCTATAAAACTGTCCGCTGGAGCCAATGGAACACTCACTAATTAGAATCATTTCTGGAAACTATTGTTTCTGGAAAGTGGTAATTCCAGGAAGCCTTGTAGATTTTATTTATTTATGTATTTATTTATGTAGATTTTTATCGCTGCAGCTTTAGCTAAAATTAGCCTCATGAAGCAAGGACAGCAAACTTGCATATTTAAAATGTGCCTTAAAACTGAGCATTAGTCATAATAAAACTCCAGATATCCCAGGATTCAAAACCAGCAACTCTGGTAAAACCACAGAAATTTTGATCCTCATGTATAGATTGGTTAGTTGAAATTTACCTTTGCATTATGTACAAAATAAGGGGTTTGGGAGTAAATTGTGAATGCAAATTAAATCACAGGCCAGGTTTAAAGAGAACAAACTTGTTTCAAACAGACCCTTAAGCATTTCAGAAGCAGCTATTTACATGTAAGCAATTGATGCCTGAATTACAAATCATTCTTATCTGTTCATTAAAACAGCCTCCCTAAGGACGTCCATTTGATTTTTTAAAAAATCTAGAACAATAAATTCCATACATTTGAAAATAAGAATGTGTACCACTATTCATCCTTCACTAATTCAGATTGTCCCATTAGGCCAGGCAAGGTGGCTCATGCCTGTAATCCTAGCAATTTGGGAGGTTGAGGCGGGCAGATCACTTGAGGTCAGGAGTTCAAGACCAGCCTGGCCAACATGGTGAAACCCCCGTCTCTACTAAAAATACAAAAATTAGCCAGATGTGGTGGTGTGCACCTGTGATCCCAACTACTTGGTAGGCTGAGGCAGGACAATCGCTTGAACCTAGGAGGTGGAGGTTGCAGTGAGCCAAGATTGCGCCACTGCACTCCAGCCTGGGTGACAGAGCAAGACTCCACCTCAAAAAACAAAACAAAACAAAACAAAACAAAAATAAAACAAACAAAAAAACAAAAAAACAAACCAAACCAGATTGTCTCATTTGAGTGATTTTGAGCGAGATTTTCACTTGCTCTTAGAGCAAGAGCAGGTCTTAGTGACAACACTGACGTTGACCTCTGAGGTCTTGGAGGCTCAGGCTGACCTCCTTGGAGTATAAGAGCAGATCATGTTTGTGTGTCCTCAGACAAGAAGATTATTTACCTGATGTAATTTAAGGGGTCCACCTTGCCCCTCAATATCTTCCCACAGGTGTCTCCAGCATTTAACTTTGCTACACTTGGACTTGCTTGAAGGAAAGCAGATAGCTTTTTTGAGGACTCCCTTTTTAAATGAAAATATCTTCTCAGAGGAGGACAATCTGTGAGCATAGTTGGGTTTACTGACCCCAGGGTGGCTCCAGGCTCAGAATGGAGGGGCACAGGAATGGGGCATGGTCAGGCAGGCAGGGTCTGAACCTCAGATCCTTCACTCCCAGTGCTAAAGAGAGAGCAGATATAAGTTCCTATTTTTAATTTTAATTTTAATTTAATTAATTTTTTGTTTTTGAGACAGAGGCTTGCTCTGTCACCCAGGCTGGAGTAGTGCAGTGGTATGATCACTGCAGCCTGTAATTCCAGGGCTTAAGCAATCCTTCTGCCTCAGCCTCCTGAGTAGCTGGGACTGCAGGTGTGCACCATCACACCTGGCTAACTTCTAAAATTGTTTTGTTTTTGTAGAGACAGTATCTTGCTATGTTTTCCAGGCTGATCTCAAACTCCTGGCCTCGAGTGATCCTCCCTCCTTATTCTCCCAAAGGGCTGGGATTACAGGTGTGTGCTACTGTGCCTGGCCAGATGTAAGTATTGATAGCATAATGATTACAGGAGCCAGGCTGGGGAAAAGGGAGAAGTTTTCAGGGAGGTGGAAAAAATGAAGGAGGGAATTAGACAGAACAACTTCTAAGAACTTCATAATTGTGCTGAAGGCCAGGTGTTTTCAACACCCTGGATTGGCTTTATCTCCCAAAAGAATTGGCTCCGGGGATAACTTCTAACCTCTTATCCTTTGTTCTTTCAAGGCCGAAGCCTGTTGTTCTGTCTCATGCCAATCCCCTCCGAAGTGGCTTCCTCTAGTTCATGATAAGCCCTTCAAAATCCTGAGAGCTTCTCTTTAAACATCTGTATACTCTCACAGGGGACACTTTATCACCCATGATCAAGCGTGGCCCTCACTTCTGCATAAATCTCTCGATTTCTGAAAGGAAGGTTTCCAAAATTAAAATTCAATCCCAGCAAAGCATTTCTAGGATATCATGAAATACAGTCTGGCAACTATCACATTCCACATGCTGACAAGTCAAATATATAAAAAGTCAATGCATTTATATGACCTACTGAGCATTTACACGTTGTTCAAAGCCTGACTTTTAAATGTTATTTTAGCCTGAGGTGATATAGCTACTAAAATCCATATGAAAATACACCCAAGTAGATGTTTTAAAATACAATTGCCTATTGACCAGTCATCTTTCCCATATATATATGGAAAAGACTATATTATATATATATATATATATATATAGTCATATATATATATATATATAGTCATATATATATATATATATATATATATATATATGAATAGAATAGCTTTTAAGAAAAGCCTATCTTCCTTAGAGAAGGTAAGTAAGAGCCTGTTTTACTTCCATTGCAAATGCTATTGGCCAATCTCAGAAAAGCCCTCACCCTCTCAGCCTCTTTCTGTGTGTCAGGCAGGTGACAGGCCTCCTTTTACCTTCTTTCCTAACTGCACCATTTCTATGACAGTCCAAATCTTACAGATCGTTCACTGTCTGTAGAACTACAGCTTTTCTTTTCCATTTCCTTCCCTGTAAAATGGAGCTGATGCTTTTCTACTCCTGGGAGATTTCTATTCGAAGCTTGGGGATCTGTGATTGTTTGGTGAGTCATGTTAGATATGTACGTGGGGCAAGATAAACTAGAACTTATGCATATAGGGGCTGATTTTCTCTGCATGAATTTCCTAGGCCCCCACCCATCCCAGAGAAAAATGGTGAAAAAAATTTTGAGCCTGATAATCAGGCCCTCAGGACACTCTGTAGAGACTCCTAAGATGCTTGAAAAAAGAGGAGATGCACAAAATGTTCCAACTAGATGGGCATGCATGGTGAATGATACTGTCCCGAGAAAGCCAACAACTTGCCATGTGGTAGGAGAAATTTGCAGCACATATGATCAGCACTCTCATCTCCGCATCCACAGAGTCTGTATCCACAGGGGGTTGAACCAACCTCAGATTGAAACTAATTCAGAAAAAAAAAAACTATAAAAATAATACAAATATAAAACTATACAGTCTAACACGATTTACATAGCATTTACATGGTATTAGGTTTTATAAGTAATCAGAGATGATTTAAAGTAAATAGGAGGATGTGCATAGGTTATATGCAAATCCTAGGCCATTTATATCAGGGACTTGAGCATCTGTGGATTTGGGTATCCACAGGGGTCCTGCAGCCAATCCCCAGTGAGTGCCAAGGGATGGGTACATCTCTTTTCAGGATATCAGCCTATGGCTAGAGAAAACACTTTTGGGCATGACCCAGTGGAATGCCAGTCATCCTCAAAACCAGTCCCAAATGGTCATCATAAGCACCAATGGTGCCGGGTGTGGTGGCTCACGCCTGTAATCCCAGCACTTTGGGAGGCCAAGGCAGTGGATCACTTGAGGTCAGGAGTTCAAGACCAGCCTGGCCAACATGGTGAAACCCCATCTCTACTAAAAATACAAAAATTAGCTGGGCATGGTGGCATATGCCTGTAATCCCAGCTACTCGGGAGGCTGAGGCAGGAGAATCGCTTGAACCCAAAAGGCAGAGGTTGCAGTGAGCCGAGATCAAGCCATTGACCCAACCTAGGTGACAAGAGTGACACTTTGTCTCAAAAAAAAAAAAAAAAAAAAGAAAAAAGAAAGCACCAATGGAAGCAACAGCCCAGGAGAACAAAAGCAGCCTGGCCCCTGGATCCTCTCAGTGGGGGGACTTACAATTTAGTAACAAAGCAGGGTGAGGCCTTAGCACTAAATACCACTGATCATCACCCAAGCCCTGGGCGATCCCAGGCTGATAAAGCCTGAGAAACCAGGAGTTAGATATGTCTAAATCCAAACATAAATATAAACGTGATTAGACTTAAACTACGCATTATGGCAGATCTCACCACCTGTTATTCTTGATCCCCTCTGAATCATGCAAGCCCAGAGGGGCAGGGAGAAACAAAACTCCCTTGTCCCTAAGCAGAACTCTGCTTTTCACCGTCCGCTTGAACTTTAAAGTGGGCTTAATAGTTTATGACTTAATCCACCTATAGCTCTGAGTACTGATGAACAGCTGAGCTGATATTTGATTCCCAACGGGAAGGTGCTGGAGATGAGAATGTCAAGTGCAAATCAACTGGTTGGGTGTAAAATCTGCTTATACTAACATATGGAGTTTTATCTCTAAAATTATTTTTCTCTTTGGCATTGTGAGCCAAAGCACTATGAATGCTGAAATGATCTGAAATGGTGATGCCTCTGAGCCTCAGCAGGAACACTCAAGCACAAGCTTTCCACATCTTACCCATGCTCTCTGGCCCTTCCTGTGGGCAGTGTCTGAATCTCAAACTTTGAATCGATCCTATTGCTGATTATGTCAAGATGTCCAGTCATTTAACAATTGTCCCATGGACTTAGGAATGAAATTCAACATGGAAGTCAGTAACTTTTAGTTTTCCAAAGTTGCTGGATTTTTAACCTTCCTCAGCACCCCGACTGAAAAGAAACTTAAAAATGGTGACAACCAGAAGGAAAACAAGTGCACTCATTTTACCTCCGAGACTCACTGAAGAGTTGTTAAGGTCAATAGATATATTTTTATTTTTTAGAGATAGGGTGTTGCTCTGTCACCCAGGCTGGAGTGCAGTGGTGCAATCATGGCTCACTGCAACCTTGAGCTCCTGGGCTCAAGTGATCCTCCCACTTCAGCCTCTTCAGTAGCTGAGACTACAGGCACAGGTCACCATACCTGGCTAATTAAAAAAAAAAAATTAATAGAGGTAGGGTCTTGCTATGTTGTCCAGGCTGTTCTTGAACTCCTGGCCTCAAGCAATCCTCCTGCCTTGGCCTCCCAAAGTTTTTGGGAGGAATTTCAGGCATAAGCTACCATGCCCAGCCAATAGATATATTTTGGATGGAACATCATTTTTAGCCAAAATAATCTGTGAATGTTTTGTAGTAGACTTCTCTTCTTTATCCTTCTCCATCTTTTCCCTAAAGATTGTTGGCCTTAATTTTTTGGTTTTATCATTTTGTTCATGATAAGGTGGAAATTTTGCACTAGAAATTATCATATGTTCAGTTAAAAGCATCTCTTCATCTGATTCTGGAAAAGTCTTAACATAATTGTGAAGAAAATATCTTGGCTCAAAGACATTTCTGCAAGACTCCTCAGAAATTCTGCAAGCTAGTGATTAAGGCAGCTTCATTACAAATATCAAAGTAGACATGGGTCACTGAATCAGATGTGGCAAGAAACACATCACCATGGTGAGTTCAATATGGTAAATGCTTAGGGGATTCACGTGGCACTGCACGTGTGTCCACATCTAACCAGAAACCAGATTTTGCCCTGTGTGATGCTATACAGAAATCTTTAAAGCCAGTGTCTTCAGCCAAAATGCTTTTATTGTCAAAGGAACACATGGAAAAACCAGATGAAAGAACAAGACTCAAGGCCTGGCCCCCATCCTGTGAGGTGCTGGAGGGTTTGCTAACCTGAGAGAAAAATCATTCAATTGGGGCATAAAATAGTGTGTTTATCTGTCAGTGTGGCCATGTTTTTATTGAGGAAATAAATAATCCAGAGAAATGTGTATTGTTTATCGTCCTGTCTGACGGAGAGGTTGCTTCTAAGTCACACCTTTTCCTTATTGTCAAGCACTCAGCCTCAACAGGCTTCCCCAAGAAGGTGGCCCAGTTCTGAAGCCCAGGCTCTTAACTCATTCATTCATTCATTCATTGGTCATTGATTGATAACCAGTGATGTGCCAAGACATTCATTAAAATCTGATTGTATAATCAGAAGACAAAACACAGTTCTTCCTCATGATCTAGTGGAAGATGTAGACACAGAAACAGAGAATTATCTGTTTGGATTATATGAAATTTGTCAGAAATGGTCAACATAGGCAATTTTATATGGTGCACATTTTATAATACAATTTGTTAAGCTCATTGATAGAGATATGGATGAAAATTTTTGTCTTCATTGTTGTTTGTTAGTTTCCATTTATTGTATGAACAGGAGGCTTAAGCTGGGGAGCGTGGACTGGGGAGCAGGGAGGAAGCTGACTGTGAAGGCTTGCTGGAGGACACCTGATCATAAAAGATGAAGGAGATGTGAAGCTGGGTGTGTGGCATGTGTCTGTAATTCCAGTTACTCTGGAGTCTGAGGCTGGAGAGTCGCTTGAGCCCAGGAGTTCAAGTCCAGCCTGGGCAACATAGCAAGTTGACTTCCCTTCTTTATCCTTCTCAAAAAAAAAAAAAAAAAACGATGAAGATGTGGACTGCAAGTGTGGAGATGTTAAAGCCAGTGTCGATGAAGCATGAAGAATCTTCTGGAATAGACTGCCTTTAGAAACTTATCTGGAAGAAGCCCTTGATTGTTTAATCAGTGAACTTGCTCAGAAAGAGAACATGAGAACAGAAGTGCCAATGTCGAAGGTGCTGATATAGATACCTGCAAGTATCTAATCAACCCCTTGATTCCTTTGCTCTTACTGGCAAAGACAGAAGTATCCCACACCCTCTCTTTTCCAACTTCCCATCTTAGTCCCTGGAGGTGATTCACTGACCTGTAGCTCCCATAAGAGACGGAAAGACCTTAAATGCCTCACTGACTGTCATCTTGTGCGAAGACCGCTACTGCTTCCTGAGAGTGGGGTCATCCAGTGGTTTGAACTCTTGCTTTGGGAATAGTTCTTATGCTAATAGCTGGATTTGAAGCCCTGCTCTTTTGATTCAAGGTTGATAACTTTAGGCCCATGAGGACTAATCTTGGCTGGGTTTACTGTTGTCCTCACCCTTGCAAAGTCTTTATGTTTCATTTCCTGACTTTCAAAACCTCCACACCTAAAGCAGCTGGCTCCTCCCACACATTAAGCAGGCCCCATCCTCTGGTTCTGCTTTCTTTACTGAGTGAGCACTCTCAAGTCTTGGAAAAAAGCCATTTTGAAGATCTAACACAAGAGCACAGGGGACCAAAGTATATTGAGTTAGACTCCAATAAACCCTTGCAGCAATTCAAAGTTCTCTTCAAGTTCATTGAAAGTGTGTTATCACATCACTGTCTGGGAATCAGGATCACGGTTCAGGTTGCCAATGGTTTCACTTTCCACACTGTGGGTTACCACTATTATAGGAGACAAGAGCAAGCTTTCAGCCTAAGAATTCATTAGCACTGGAAAGCTCGTGGTTCCTGAAGATATAAGTTTGTCTCTATGCACATATTTCTGGGCATGCATTGCCACTGAATGATGAGAAAGGATGTAGGACAGTTAAGGGGAATTGCATCCTTCAGAAATCCTCTCGAAGGCCCCCTGCATTACAAAGAGATTGGACATTATTGGACTTAATATCTCCTAACATTACATCCAGGCCTATAGTCCTGTGACTTGAAAATGACCTGAAAAAGCGTTTTTATTTTTTCCTCCTCAAATGTGAAATAGGGTCTTTTGTTACCAGACATCACTAAGGTCATGTGATAAATGGGTGCTATTACTATATGTTCCATGAAGCGTGTGCTGCTTTTCTGGGGACATTTTAACTCATGTACTATCCCAAGCTTTTAATCATTCTAGGAAAGTCCTTCAACCCATCAACCACTGCAACAGACTGTCTTTGTAGAAGGTGGCCCAGGGCTTTGGACAATGATGTGCTTTGAGACAGAGCTGGAGATGTTATTTAGGGCCACCCTACTTGTGTTTTTTTCTGCTGCCCAGGAATAATCACTCTGGGTTGGGGAGGGAGGAACACATTTTAATGCCTCATTCTTACTTGTTTAGTAAAGTCAACCAGGAACTTGTTTTCTGTGATCACAAGATGCATCCCAAATTACTCTAAAACCGATATTGATTTTTCTACAAATAATAAGGCCAGTTGTAGAAGAACCATAAAACTTGAAGTTGTTGCTTCACTGAGTGTTACCATGTAATGTCAGTAGCTTTGGTTTTTATTTAATTTTGTGATTAAAATTTTTATTGATTTCCCTGCAGGGTAGAATATATCAATACCTTTGGTTTCAAAGGAGCATTCAGTAACAAGGAAACATAAAAGAACTCAACTACGGGAAACTGGTGCTTTATTTTAAAATTTAAGAAACTGCCACCTTGCATCCCTAAGGTGTATCTCTGGAACTAGTTTTGGATGGGACCACTTAAGCTTGTGGTGGTGTTAATCTCTCAGGGAAGCAGCTGGCTCATGGGCCTATGAAGTTGAGTTGAGAAATGCTTAGCTAGTCATTATTAGAAATAATATTGTTCTGCCAGATGTTAATACATCACCAGGTGACTCACAGCCCATGTTACCATAGATCACATGTGCTTCTTTCTCTTCACCAGAAAAGGGCTACTCTTACAATGTCAGTTTTTGGAAGCCCTGCACTGTGGGTGATTTTTGTGTATAGGAGAGATTATTGTTTTCAAAGGTATTCAGAAACACAGTCCATATTGAGACTGAATCTCTGACTCAGGATGGACCCCCCACCCACCCCCAAATGATTCTAGAGTGTTTACAAAACTATACAGAAAATAGGTTTCTGGTAAAATTAGAAAAGGCCACGTACTCCCACAAAGTCACCCAGTGTTGTTTTGTTTTGTTTTGTGT
Source organism: Homo sapiens (assembly GCF_000001405.40). Classification (NCBI taxonomy): domain Eukaryota; kingdom Metazoa; phylum Chordata; class Mammalia; order Primates; family Hominidae; genus Homo; species Homo sapiens. The sequence continues at coordinate 33,665,364 of NC_000010.11, read as the reverse complement.
TTTTGAGATGGAGTTTCACTCTTGTTGCCCAGGCTGGAGTACAGTGGTGTGATCTTGGCTCACTGCAACCTCTGCCTCCCAGATTCAAGTGATTCTCCTGCCTCAGCCTCCCTAGTAGCTGGGATTACAGGTGCAGTCCACCACACCCAGCTAATTTTTGTATTTTTAGTAGAGACAAGGTTTCACCATGTTGGTCAGGCTGGTCTCAAACCCCTGACCTCAAGTGATCCACCTGCCTCAGCCTCCCAAAGTGCTGGGATTGCAGGCGTGAGCCACCGCAGCTGGCCAAGTCACCCAGTTTTATATGTGATTTTCTTCTCTTCCAATTCAGGCTTGAAAGTTCAACAAGCTGCCTTTTTCGGGGTGGGGGATGGCATGGGGGCTATTCCCCCAAGACCAAACTACTTCCTACTACACAGATCACCTGGTTATGTATCCTTAACACAGTTAAGATTAGCATTTCACAGGTGACCTTTTACCTCATCCTCCTGACAGCATCCCAGAGGTATATTTTCCCAGCCTATGCCGCTGATTAGTGTTACTGAAACCCCAGGGGCTTGGTCTAGGTCATGTTGCTCACTGCACAGAAAGCCAATCACTGAGACAACAAGTATTGCCAGGGAAGAAGGCTTTAATCGGATGCTACAGCTGCAGAAAACAGAAGATTAGTCTAAAATCTGTCTTTCAAGGAGACTAGAATTGCTGGGTTTATATAGCAGGGGAGGAATATAAAACAGGAATTACGGAGGGATAAGGAAGCAGTCGTGAGGAATGAGGGGTCTGTCATCTCATTGGCGGTGATCTGCTGAATTTCTTTCTCTTGTCTGAGGGTCAGTTTGCTAAGAGAGAAACTCAGATGAGACAAATATAAATTTTAAGTTTCAAAACTGGCAGGGTAAATTTCTATGTTTATTAAAAAAACCCATAGATATCATTTCTATGGGACAATTGGGCTGGTTTCATCAGGAAACCAACCCTTGAAGGGACACTAAAGAAGCACTTCATGACCTGTAGGCAGCAGATGGCAGAGCTAAAATTAAACCCAGGCCTCTTGGCTACTGGCCTTTCCATTCACTTTACCACACTGAGGTCACATTAACCAACCAACTCTCTTAACTTATGGTGCTGGCAGATTCATTTGACTGGTTTTTATGTCTGAGTCAACTCGTGGTTCTAGCGTGGTCCAGTGTTGGGGCCTGGGCACGGGCCCATCTGCCTCTGCACACTGGTCCATGTGCAGCCTTCTGTATTTCTAGTAACCAGGAATGACCTTCCTTAGAGCAAGCCTGTTCTAGCAAGGAGACAGGGCATCCTTCTATGCTGGAGAAATAAAACCGAGAACAAAGACACCATCCAGGCAGGCTTTGCAAGCTCAATAAATTGTCATTTGTCTGCAATCAGAGAGACACAGTAATTCTGACTTCCCTGTCCTTACTCCTTAAAAATGCATTCCCCTTTGTTTATAATTCCAGGCAGTTTCTAAAAGAAGAAGACAGTGTGAACTCGGTGGCACACAATCCTGAAAATATAATTGAGTGCACCGCAGCCAGGAAATGGAGTGAGATGGCTGTTCATCAATAAAAACAATATTGAAAAGGAGGCCTCGTCCTCTGGCTCCATGACAGTTAGCCTGCCTTTGCTTCTTCATCCTGCCTTGAGAGAAACAAAAAGAAAAGGAAAACCCCCACTTAAATCAAAGAATGAGGAGGAAATTCATGTTTGATTCTCACTTCTGGAAAATAATCCATATTTAGGTTCTCATCTGATCTTCCAGATTGTTCACTTGAACATTTGTGCTACCAGAAAACGTTACATGGTGAGTGGAGCAGGCCGGGTGCAGTGGCTCATGCCTGTAATTCTAGCACTTTGGGAAGCTGAGGGAGACAGATTGCTTGAAGCCAGGAGTTTGAGACCAGCCAGGCCAATATGGTTAAACTCTGTTTCTACTAAAAAAAAAACAAAAACAAAAATTAGCTGGGCGTGGTGGCAGGCACCTGTAGTCCCAGCTACTCTGGAGGCTGAGGCAGGAGAATTGCTTGAACCCAGGAGGCAGAGGTTGCAGTGAGCTGAGATCACACCACTACACTCCAGCCTGGGCAACAGAACAACACTCTGTCTCAAAAAAAAAAAGTTCTATGGTGAGTGGAGCAGTCCTGAGTAGCTTCAAGGCTCCAACTTCAAGGACATTCATGCTGTTTCCAGGTGCCAAGGTCAGAGCCAAGGATTGCCCGGAAGTCTGGTGTCATAGGAGAGAGGCCAAAAAACAAACCAAACTGAGAGGTGATATATAAAATTTTTATATAAAAATATTTTCCTATCATTTTGACATCCCTGTATTAATAAATCCTTTGGGTTAAGATATTGTTGCTATTTTAATAAAATACTAAATGATAGGATTATTGCCTGATATTACTATTGGCCAACAACTATGAATACTTGAATGAACTAACCATATTGTTCCTTTTCCCCCCCAGAAAGACTGGAAGAAGGAATTGACACGGGAGGCAGGCAATGGAGAAAGGGTCTATAACCCTTCCTTGCAATCGGGGGTCTTTGGCTGTTTGAAGGTAGGTAGGAGGGAAAGAGCCAGAAAGAGGCAGGGAAAGACATCGGAACGATGCTGACGGAAATGTTCACAGTCAACTTTAGGAAAGTATGCAGTTGGGTCAGTTTGACTCCCCTAATTGGGCTAAGAGGGTCTTGTTTCTTGTAGCTGTTCCAAGAATTGGCACGGTAGGAGGCCGTGGCTTTTTGCAAAATACCCCTATTCTTTTTGCAAAATATCCTTATTCTAAGAATAGGCCAAAGAAAGAGGAAGAGAGTGATGTTGCTGGGACAAGTACCAAGACAAAGAGATTTTCAGATTTCTGGGGACAAGAAGAAACCATGTGAAGGGAACTTTCCCTTCAACACACACACACACACACACACACACACACACACACACACACAGCCCTCCGAGTATGTATGTGTGCACGTGGTTAGCAGCGGTTGCATTAATTAGCCCAGCAGCATCAGCTTTAAATTAAAACAATTTAAAATGTAGCAGCAGCAAGCATGGCAATGGGACACAGTCTTAAAATGAGCACATGAACAGAATATGGGGAATTAGAGGCTGAGCCATTTCAAAGAGTGAATCCAGACCATATGGAGCCGAGGACTGGAGGAGTCAGGCGAAGCTGCAAGCATCTGGGATGCTAAGAGTTTCCTCTTGTGGAGCGGAGGCGTGGAGGGGTGCAGTGGGGAGACAGGAGGAAGGGACGGTTGCCAACCCATCAACAGGTCTGGTGGCAGGGCCAGATGGCCTCCTACCAGAGGGCTGGGTTCTCGTGACGGTGGCCTTTGGGCAGAAGGGGAGGAGAACAGCCCTGCGGTTTCCCCGAAGACAATGAGGAAGGAGAAACAGCCCCTGGGGCTGCTGGCTCCTGCGCCTGCCGCCTGCAGATCAGATGCCAAGGCTCCCCGGACAGGAAATGAGTGAGACTCCATGGAGGATAGCTCAGAGATTCAAGAGGAAACCATAGACCCTGGCAACAATAGGAAGAAGAGAGGGTGGGGCAGAGGAAAGAGTTTGTTTGCTTAATGTGGACCTCTTAAAGGTCAGTGATAAATGTTTGCAAAAGTCCTCGTGCTGGCTCCATGCACAGAGTTTCAGAGAACCGAAGGGATAAAGTTTCCTGTGCCTGGCACAGGGGATCTAGGGTTGTTTGGATCAGAAGGAACAACTGTGACCCTGGGTGCTCAACAATACCTTTGACCTCCCTCCCCCGGAGTAAGGCAAAATGCTTGCCTTGTTTGATGATTCTGTCAAAGTCCTCAACAAGTGATGTTGGCCTTGCTATTTGTTTATTTCTTAGCTCAGGCTGAGAAGCAAGAACTTGATTTCTAACTTTTTATAAAATTTACCAGGTGATGACTCGGGCAAGTTGCCTCAGTGTCTTCATTTTAAATTGCAAATAACTGGTTCTTAGAATGT